>NC_000002.12:234459314-234762345 GCF_000001405.40 Homo sapiens | reverse complement strand
GCAGAATACCGCTCTCAGAGAAGTCTGTATTGGATTTCAGTTTCTTTTATTATTAAAAAGAAGAACAAGCTCTTACAAGGGTACTACATGTTTTGGGAAACTACTAAGAGTGGTCCTTCATTAAAAGCAGACATGGTATGTATTGGCAATCTTTCAAAAGTGAGTAATCACTTGCTGACACCTCGACCTTTATTGCTCGAGATGAGGTCTGTGGACCATCCCACTGACAGCACCCAGGAGCTGGTGGAGATGCAGAATGTCTGGCCTTACGCCAGACCCACTGGCCTGGAACCTGAATTTAAAAAGATTCCCAGGCGTATCACATGCACATTAAAACTGGAAAATACTGCCCTGGCCTGCTGGATTGGGGAGAGATTCAGGACAGGTTTTTGGCTTACAGAAACATAAAAGTGTCCCTACTAATGTTTATATATATGTGAGATACGATATAATATGATATGATATAATACAATATAATATAGCAGAACATAATATAATTTACCAATTCAAGAATTTCAAATTGGGTTAGACACTCCTCTTTTAAAAAACAAGTAGAAGATTTTTGGAAGCCGGTAGTGCAGTCGCCACATAGTTTTTAGATCTTCCTAAATCCCACGTGAAAACAGACAGAATATCTGCATAGCCAAACAAAATTAACGAACAACATTTACAAAAGAGCTAGATGACAAGATATTTTCATAACCTCTGAAATTTAGTTGGTGGGGACACATTGCCAGTAGCTACAAGACTTGTGTGTTATCAGCTTCTTGGGAGATAAATTGGAATGAAGAATCAGGGTGTCAGACCTTGGAAAAGGAGAACCCACAAAATAACCAACAGCTATTCACTGGAAAGCATGGTGGGCCAACCAGAGAAGAGAAGATTAGAGTAGAGTATTTTACCTGCTGTGATTGTAGAGAAATGCTCAGAGCCCTTGGTAAGGTCTGAAAGGCTGGAGGAGTCTGATCCTGAGAACACTTGACGCTGGCCAGCCGGAACTTTCTAGCTGGATAGGACCCTACAGTGAGGAGCAACTGCTGGAGCAGAATCATGTGGACATGGAGGTGAAGAGAACGGTTTAGATAAAAACAGGGCAAGAAAACACAGCCAGAAAATCTCAGAAAGCTAGCCTCTCTATATATAATTTAACATAAATAACACAATGTATACAAATATATATTTAACACTATGTGAAAACAATTCTAAAAATTCAGGTTAATTGAATTCACTCAAAGATGAGCAACCAAAAAACATCAAGATTAAATTCCATGCTAAGTTACTATAGTAACTTATGAAAAGAAGAGCAGAATAACATCCTTGTATACTAGGAAAAGATGTTTAAAATAAACAGATCAAAACTGTAACATCTTTTCAAAAGGAATTAAAAGACATTAAGAATAATATGCAAGATATAAATGAGAAAAACTCAGAATGTGGTGACAGAACTCAAGATTTATTGACTTAAGAGTTAGAAATAAGAAAGATAATCATTTCATCATAAAGATTAAACAGGCAAAGAGGATCCAAAATATGGGTAATAGGAGCCTCTGAGAAAGACCATCAAAACCTAGCACTAAAAGCAATACTGCAAAGAAAATTTCTTGAAATTGAAAAATACGTACTTGAAATTATGTATTGAAAGAACTCACTATGCTTCTGAGAGGATCAATGCAGACCAACTAACACCAAAACACTCTAATGCCATTATTGGACTTTAAAGAAAAAGAAGGAAAAAATGAGCCCTTGACTTATAAAGGAAAGAACATTCCATTGTCATTAGACTCTTTCACTGTATTGCTTTGTGCCAGAAGAAAATGGAGTAACATATTTAATATACTCAATAAAAGAAATAAACAGACAAGGTTTTAATCCAATAAAACTGTTAAGTGTAAGAGGACACAATAAACTGTTATCAACATGAAAACCTTCTGAGAATACTGTTCTTGTGAGACCCTCCTCAGAAAGCTACTGAAAAATGATTTTCAACAACCCAAATGACCAGAGAGTCATAAGGACTGTTGGTGAGCACTAACTACATATGAACTTGCAGGACTAGGGCTACATGAAGGTTAACAGGGAGAGAGGATGACATGTGCTGGCTGTATGGATGGACAATTAATATATGTTACAACCACTACAAAATAGGGGGAACATTGTTTGCTGTTATTAGTCTTTATAAGTAGTAGTGCTAGTGTTAATATTCTGAGACTGTTGTGTGTGTGATAAGGGATAAAGCAAATGAATAATTGTGGAATACTCTGATTCTATCATCTCTTGTGTTTTTGAGAGTGTGGATTCTTGGTATGGAAGACAGGATATACAGGTGTAATATAAAAGAAATTAAGTACAAACCCTTTAGTTCTGAATTTGAATTTAAAATATCAGTATAAACCAAAGGGATATTTTTTATGTGTATGTGCACATACACCCACACCTGCTCATCCACACACACACACCAAACACACACACACACACACTCCAGTTGTGGGGTATACAACTGGTCTAAAGGCCTAGATTCTTTATTAGATATATTGTAAGGAAGAGAAAGAATGGCAGGGAAATCAGTTGATTAAGAGACTTAAAGTTCAGAGCAAGTTTTTAAAAAATGGGTAAGGCAGCTGGGTGTGGTGGCTCACACCTGTAAGCCTAGCACTTTGGGAGGCCAAGACAAGTGGATTGCTTGAGCTCAAGAGTTCGAGACCAGCCTAGGCAAGACGGCAAAACCCCATCTCTACAAAAAGAAAAAAAAATACAAAAATTAGCCAGGCATGGTGGCACACACCTGTAGTGTCAGCTACTTGGCGGCAGAGGCAGGAGGATTGCTTCAGCCCAGGAGGTCAAGGCTGCAGTGAGCCTTGATCGTGCTACTGCACTCTAGTCTGGGTGACAGAGATCCTGTCTCAAGAAAAAAAAAATGAGTAAGACTACAATTGTTGTGTCTAAAGATACACATCTTGATGGTGAAACTAAAGAAATGCAAGAGAACTTTTACCGAAGAAGCTGGGATGATGGTTACTTTTGATGGGAGAAGAGGGGCTGTGTGGGGATGGTATGGGGACCATGGGGGTCTTCTGGGTTGGCTGCAAAGTTTACAAGGCTCATTTTATAATAATTCATGAAATCACACATTTCTTTAGTGTAGATTCATCTTTCTGTGATTCCTCTATTTATCTTACAGTGAAGGGTAAAAAGACAAGCAGAAGGAAATAAACAACAGCACCAAATGCTCTCTGAAATGGTTAATCCCACTGACACTTACATCTGTGTTGATTGCTCTGGCAAGGCAGGTGCGTGGTGTTGGTACAAACAGTCCTGAGACCAGCATTTTCCTTCTCCCTGAGCCTTTGCTGGTTGAGTGACCTCAGGCCTCTCCTAGCGTCAGTTTTATCACACGTAAAGTACGTGTAACGATACTAATGCATAATTCACAGGGATGCAGAGAGGCTCAAGTGAGAAAATGAACTGCAAGTTCTTTCTAAACTGCAAAACCCTCTACAAACATTCCTTCTCATTATTGCTGAAAGATTGAGGACAGTGAGTTCCCCATAGCAATTATTTTTCTAACTTATTGCTTGTGTTGGCATATTCCCCTCTCCTGACCTCTTGTGAATATCTGATGTATGGGACAGGTATATTACCACTTTTAGGAAAGGCCAGCTGAACAGATATGCAATTATGAGGCCCTGCCTAGTTGCAAGCTTTAAGGGAGTAAAAGTTATGGAAACTTTGATCAAGTACTTAGGTTCATTAGTGGAAAAAAAAATATTTCCCTGCTCTTAGAGAAGTTATATTCTAGTAGGGCAGAAAGATGAAAAAGCAACAAGTAAGGAAAGTATGTAGAATGTTTGAAGGTGGTAAGGATGAAAAGTTGATCAGTGTTCAGGGAGCTGACAATATACTCTTTATATCGGCTGGACCATTGACCTGATAGAAAAGGTGCATTTGAAGAGAGACCTGGGGAGGTGAGGGAGGGAGCTGGGTGGCTATCTCAGGGAAGAGCATTCCAGGCAGAGCCAGCAGCCAGTGCAAAGGTACTGAGGCAGGAGTGTGCCTGGCACCTCAAAGGGAGAGCAGGGAGGCCAGTGTGGCTGGAGGGAAGAGAGCATGGGGGGACAGGAGGAGATGGGGAAGAAGGAGGGAGGCGGATCATGGAGGGCATGTGGGGTCATTGAAGACTTAAGGCTTAATTTTTCTCTAAGGGAAATAAGGAGCTGGGGAGGATGAGGAATGGAGGAGGGATATAATGAGATTTAATTATTATTATTATTTTTTGAGACAGAGTCTCACTCTGTTGCCCAGGCTAGAGTGCAGTGGCGCGATCTCAGCTCACTGCAACCTTCACCTCCTGGGTTCAAGTGATTCTTCCGCCTCAGCCTCCCGGGTAGCTTGGACTACAGGGGTGTGCCACCATGCCTTGCTAATTTTTTGTATTTTTAGTAGAGACGGGGTTTCACCATGTTAGCCAGGATGGCCTTGATCTCCTGACCGCGTGATCCACCTGCCTCGGCCTCCCAAAGTGCTGGGATTACAAGCGTGAGCCACTGCGCCCGGCCAAGATTTAATTTTTATTTTATTATTATTATTATTTTTTGCTTTTTTAAAATTATTATTATACTTTAAGTTTTAGGGTACATGTGCACAATGTGCAGGTTAGTTACATATGTATACATGTGCCATGCTGGTGTGCTGTACCCATTAACTCGTCATTTAGCATTAGGTATATCTCCTAATGCTATCCCTCCCCCCTCCCCCCACCCCACAACAGTCCCCAGAGTGTGATGTTCCCCTTCCTGTGTCCATGTGTTCTCATTGTTCAATTCCAAACTACCATCAGAAAATACTACAAACTCCTCTACGCAAATAAACTAGAAAATCTGGAAGAAATGGATAAATTCCTTGACACATACACTCTCCCGACTAAACCAGGAAGAAGTTGAATCTCTGAATAGACCAATAAGAGGCTCTGAAATTGTGGCAAAAATCAATAGCTTACCAACCAAAAAGAGTCCAGGACCAGATGGATTCACAGCCGAATTCTACCAGAGGTACAAAGAGGAACTGGTACCATTCCTTCTGAAACTATTCCAATCAATAGAAAAAGAGGGAATCCTCCCTAACTCATTTTATGAGGCCAGCATCATCCTGATACCAAAGCCGGGCAGAGAGACAACCAAAAAAGAGAATTTTAGACCAATATCCTTGATGAACATTGATGCAAAAATCCTCAATAAAATACTGGCAAAACGAATCCAGCAGCACATCAAAAAGCTTATCCACCATGATCAACTGGGCTTCATCCCTGAGATGCAAGGCTGGTTCAATATACACAAATCAATAAATGTAATCCAGCATATAAACAGAACCAAAGACAAAAACCACATGATTATCTCAATAGATGCAGAAAAGGCCTTTGACAAAATTCAAAAAACCCTTCATGCTAAAAACTCTCAATAAATTAGGTATTGATGGGACGTATCTCAAAATAATAAGAGCTATCTATGACAAACCCACAGTCAGTATCATACTGAATGGGCAAAAACTGGAAGCATTCCCTTTGAAAACTGGCACAAGACAGGGATGCCCTCTCTCACCACTCCTATTCAACATAGTATTGGAAGTTCTGGCCAGGGCAATTAGGCAGGAGAAGGAAATAAAGGGTATTCAATTAGGAAAAGAGGAAGTCAAATTGTCCCTGTTTGCAGATGACATGATTGTATATCTAGAAAACCCCATTGACTCAGCCCAAAATCTCCTTAAGCTGATAAGCAACTTCAGCAAAGTCTCAGGATACAAAATCAATGTGCAAAAATCACAAGCATTCTTATACAACAATAACAGACAAACAGAGAGCCAAATCATGAGTGAACTCCCATTCACAATTGCTTCAAAGAGAATAAAATACTTAGGAATCCAACTTACAAGGGACGTGAAGGACCTCTTCAAGGAGAACTACAAACCACTGCTCAATGAAATAAAAGAGGATACAAACAAATGGAAGAACATTCCATGCTCATGGGTAGGAAGAATCAATATCGTGAAAATGGTCATACTGCCCAAGGTAATTTATAGATTCAATGCCATCCTCATCAAGCTACCAATGACTTTCTTCACAGAATTAGAAAAAACTACTTTAAAGTTCATATGGAACCAAAAAAGAGCCCACATCGCCAAGTCAATCCTAAGCCAAAAGAACAAAGCTGGAGGCATCATGCTACCTGACTTCAAACTATACTACAAGGCTACAGTAACCAAAACAGCATGGTACTGGTACCAAAACAGAGATATAGATCAATGGAACAGAACAGAGCCCTCAGAAATAATGCCGCACATCTACAACTATCTGATCTTTGACAAACCTGAGAAAAACAAGCAATGGGGAAAGGATTCCCTATTTAATAAATGGTGCTGGGAAAACTGGCTAGCCATATGTAGAAAGCTGAAACTGGATCCCTTCCTTACACCTTATACAAAAATTAATTCAAGATGGATTACAGACTTAAATATTAGACCTAAAACCATAAAAACCCTAGAAGAAAACCTAGGCAATACCATTCAGGATATAGGCATGGGCAAGGACTTCATGTCTAAAACACCAAAAGCAATGGCAACAAAAGCCAAAATTGACAAATGGGATCTAATTAAACTAAAGAGCTTCTGCACAGCAAAAGAAACTACCATCAGAGTGAACAGGCAACCTACAAAATGGGAGAAAATTTTCGCAACCTACTCATCTGACAAAGGGCTAATATCCAGAATCTACAATGAACTCAAACAAATTTACAAGAAAAAAACAATCAACCCCATCAAAAACTGGGCAAAGGATATGCACAGACACTTCTCAAAAGAAGACATTTATGTAGCCAAAAGACACATGAAAAAATGCTCATCATCACTGGCCATCAGAGAAATGCAAATCAAAACCACAATGAGATACCATCTCACACCAGATAGAATGGCAATCATTAAAAAGTCAGGAAACAACAGGTGCTGGAGAGGATGTGGAGAAATAGGAACACTTTTACACTGTTGGTGGGACTGTAAACTGGTTCAACCATTGTGGAAGTCAGTGTGGTGATTCCTCAGGGATCTAGAACTAGAAATACCATTTGACCCAGCCATCCCATTACTGGGTATATACCCAAAGGATTATTAATCATGCTGCTATAAAGACACATGCACACATATGTTTATTGCGGCACTATTCACAATAGCAAAGACTTGGAACCAACCCAAATGTCCAACAATGATAGACTGGATTAAGAAAATGTGGCACATATACACCATGGAATACTATGCAGCCATAAAAAATGATGAGTTCATGTCCTTTGTAGGGACATGGATGAAATTGGAAATCATCATTCTCAGTAAACTATCGCAAGGACAAGATTTAATTTTTAAAGGATCCCCCAGATGCTGTGTTGAGAGCTCTGTCGGGCACCAGGATAGAAGCAGGGAGACACATTACAAGACTTATACAAGAACTCCAGCAAGAGATTGAAGGTGACTTGGATTAGAATGACAGGCGCTCAGGTGGGGTGGTTGTCTGGGCTCCCTCTTAACTCCTGTGTGCGGGAAGGATATCTGGGAGTCTGGGGTCTTGGCCACAAGTTATTGCCTCCCTAGTGAGTGTGTGATTTTAGCCTGAATTCTTTTGTTTTCTTTCTTTTTTTTTTCTCAGGGAGGGACACAGGATCTTGCGACGTTGCCCAGGCTGTTCTCAAACTCCTGGCCTCAAGCGAGCCTTCCTCCCCAGCCTCCCAAGTCGCTGGAACAAAAGGCACAAACCACCGCATCCAGCTTTCCACCTAGATTCTCCTCTCCTCAGGCTGCAGTCTTCTTGGTTGGTCACTCCTGAGTGTCAGTGTTGGGTTTCATCTCCGGTGTGCATTAGAGAGGATCATGTCAGTCGGGGCTTTCTGTGGGGGACTGGCTCCCTGAATTGTCCCCTCACCCCTCAAAGCCACAGACATTCCTTCTCTCTGAGCAGCTCTGTCTTTCCCACTCACTTTCCCTCACCCGCTCTCTCCCTTCTTAGGTTTCCCTTGTGTAGTCAGACGTGACTGGCGCTTTTTGGAGGCCTTTCTGTCTGGTTAATTTGCAAATTCCAGACTTCATAGACACATACGCACACACGTGTGCATACATGATAAATTCCTGTGCTGTCTTGCACCTCTAATTGTTATAAGCCCGGTACAATTCCTAGCTAATTAGAAAAGATCTTGATTATAGCCACATACATTATTATTATTATACTGTAAGGCTTCCCAATTGTAAGTTAGTCCAATGTAAAATTCTAATACTTGTGGATTTACTTTCGATTTTTATATCAAGCTCGTTTAAATCCCAAGACCTATCTAGCCCGACCATGGGGCTGCCTGGCTGCCTCCTGTTGCCTGGCTGTGGCTCCCACCTCAGCTCCCTACTGGCCTGATATTCCTCACATTCTTCCACATTCTCACCAACTCTCAAGAGAATAGATCATGTTTCTTTTTGAGTGAACACTGACATTTGGTGCTTAGGTTTCACTATGTTACTTTAATTTCCTGCTAACTCAGTAATGCAACATTTAAAGAATTATGTGTTTGCTCACATTTGGATAAAGAAAGTATGATCTTTAAACATATGACTCAAGTCAGTCGGTGGAGAAGGTGTTTGGAGAGTTTCAGGACTAGGATTTAATTTTTTAAAATCTTAAATCTTTACATTTTGATTTTATTTATTTATTTTAATATGTCTGAGATTCATAGGGCACAAAATTCCGAACTGCAAAAGGGTATAAAGTGAAGAGGACATCTCTGTCCCAACTGTGCCCATCCACCCAGCTGATTTCCCAGGGGCAACCACCATCATCAGCTTCCTGTGCCCCTTCCAGGGAGACGACGCACACATAAGCAGGTGCACAATGTCAGGGCTCTTGTAGGTCTGCCCAAGGTGAGGGTTGCCGGCCGGAGAATAGGGTCTGGAGGCAGGGAACCTAAGGCCAATTCACGCTGACTTCCTAAAACTAAATCAAAAGGAAAACACCAACTTTCCACACCTAAGTAACAAAAGGATGGGAGGCTAGTCCCTTTGCAAACCCCGTCCCTCTTTCCATCTGTGTAGCAGATGGAAAATTGAAAGTATATCTGATTGGTTGCTTTATGCAACCAATTAGACATTTGCATAGGAGTGTAACTTTGTAACTTCAGTCTCTGATTGGTTGCTTTCCACAGCCAATCAGACTGATTGTGGGTCACTACTTTACATAGGGTGTACACCAAGTAACCAGTGGGAGACTTCTAGAGGGTATTGAAACCCCAGAAAATTCTGTATCTGGGCTCTTTGGCCCCTCTGCTGCAGCGCAGTCTTGCACTGTAGAGTGTACTTTGGTTTTCAATAAATCTCTGCTTTTGTTGCTTCATTCTTTCCTTACTTTGTGCATTTTGTCCAATTCTTTGATGCCAAGAACCTGGACACCTTCAACTGGTAACAGTTGGGCATTTATTTGATGTCGAAGGAACACATAATTCATAAAATGAAGGGGAAAAGCCTAGAAGACACAGGGTCAGTTCTGTGAGCAACATGACAAAATTGCATTGACATTTATTTTATTCAGAACACTGTTTTTAAAATTTGTTATCTTAGTAATTGTTTACAAAACAGTATAACAGGCTGAATAAAAGCCTTAGTATCCTAAACATCTTTTCATGCTCCAAATGATTTGGGATAAGTAATAATGTATCCAAATAACAAAATGAGAATAAAAGCAGCTATATGTGCCAGGCACTCTACCACTCAGCCCACAGTGGGGCTGCATTGCAGCCTCATAAATCTTCTGAGGCCATTTGTATTTACCCTGCTTTCTAGATGAGAGGCTGACCTGGGCAATAGGAAGTCACTTGTCCCTGGTCTCACAGCTGAGAATTGGGTGAGCTGGGCATGGAGCTCAGACAGACTGACCCTAGTCTCCTCTTTCCACGACAGCATGCTGTCTAGGAAGTGCTAGGAATTCACTTGTAATGGAGAATTTTAGGAGCATAACCAGTATTTGGGAAGTCACGCCATATGAAGGTTATTTGCCTTTAAAGCAAGAAGACCCATTGTGACTGAGGTCTATGGCAGAAGAAAGCACATCAGTTTCAGGCAAGGGGCATTTTGCAAAATGAGAGGCGTGGGTGGTTTTATTCTCAGAGATTATTTCCATTCCTCCTAAGTTTTTCACTTCTTTTTCTCATTTATTTCTATAGCAGCACATCTCAAAATCAGCCTTAGGTATTTGGAAAGTCAAATTTTATCCCCATCTCTCCTATGAATGTGTTTGTTGATACTGGGAAATCTGGTCATGATAATAATTAAATGCAGGTAGGAAGGAAAACTGCAAGGTCACATAGTTCTAAAATGGCAGAGAGCGTTTTTCCTGATGGGTTAGCTCCAATCAATTGGTAGTGGCTGCACTGAGAATAAGCTGCAGGCATGATGGCTCATTACCCCTTAACACTTCAGTTTTCTTCATGCAAGGAATTTTCTGCATGTGGGGCTCAGCTCTGAAAATCAGGAAATTAACACTGATACATTACACCATCAAATCCTCCAGACCCCATCTAATTGTCCCTACAGTGCCCTCCGTAGGCCAGGATGCAAGTCAGGATCAAGCTTTGCACCTGGTAGGTATGCCTCTTCAGTCTCCATCCAATTCCTTGTCTTTTTCTAATCTTGACATTCTTGAAGCATCCAGGCCTGTTACTTTGTACATCTCCCAACGTGTGCTTGTCTGATGTTTTCTCATAATTTAATTCAGGTGGTGCATTTTTGGCAGGAATCTCACAGAACTGAGACTGTGTCTGTCTCAGTGTTTTCTATCAGGAGGAATGTGGATGTTGGCAGTGTGTGCCATTACTAGGCATACTAAGTTCTTTTATCACCCAGTCAAGATGATGTTGGTCAGGCTTCTCTGCTGTTCAATAAACTGATTAAGTGTGAGGAACTTATTTGTTAATAAGGAGTAAGTAGCATGTGGGGAGACACTTTGAGACTATACAAATATTCTAATTCCTTATCAGACTTGCCCCTCCAGAATTTTCATCTGCTGATAGTTTTTGCTTGAATTAGTAAGACTGTGTTGGTTGCTAAACTGTGATTTTTCTAATCCCATAATTTCTTTTAGCTTTAATAGTTGGCATTCTACTGTGAGGAAGAGCTTCTCCCTAACTTTTACTAATTAATTAGTAATTAATCATTACTGATTCAATTAATTTTACTCAACACTGTTTTTTTAAAATTTTATCTTAGTAACAGTTTATAAAACAGTATAACAGACTGATTAAAAACCTTAGCACCTTAAAAATCTTTGCATGCCCCAAAGATTTGGGAGAAGTAATAATATATCCAAATAACAAAATGAGAATAAAAGCAGTTATAATTTACTGAGCACTTACTAGGTGCCAGGCACTCTCCTGGTACATAGTCAGTGCTCAGTAAATTAGTAATTAATTAGCAATTAGTAATTAGTTAGCATTTAGTAATTAATTCAGATAATTGATTACTATTTTTCTCAGAGACTTATACTCCATTACTATCACTAACAATTTTTTGTTTGTTTTTGTTTTTTTTTTTGAGACAGGGTCTCACTCTGTCACCCAGACTGGAGTGCAGTGGCACGATCACAGCTCACTGCAGCCTTGACCTCCCAAGTGATCCTCCCATCTCTCAGCCTCCTGAGTAGCTGAGACTGCAGGTGTGCGCCACCATGCTTGGCTAATTTTTTGTATATTTTGTAGAGATAGGGTTTCACCGTGTTGCCCAGGCTGGTCTCAAAATCCTGGGCTCAAGTGATCTGCCTGTCTTGGCCTCTCAAAGTGTTGGGATTACAGGCGTGAGCCACTGTACCTGGCCTATTTTTAAAATTTTGATGTTCAAATTATCCCAGACTTGACCAGTGGAAGCTTCTTCAAACTGGCTCCTGTGTTCTTTTGACATACTCCCATCATTCTGTGAGAACATCCGTATTTCTTGGCACAATAAAATATTTCAGGCTTGTATTTTCTATGCCCTAGACCTAACGTTAACCATCTGTTTGGTCAATTAATTATTGAGGGAAGTATGTTAAAATCTCCCACTATAAAAGTGGATATTTTTGTTTCTTTTCTTTTTTTTGAGAAATAGGATCTCATTGTTGCCCAGGCTAGAGTGCGGTGGCGTGATCAGAGTTCACTGCAGCCTCGAACTCCTGGGCTCAGGTGATTCTTCCATCTTTGCCTCCCAAGTAGCAGGGACTACAGGTGCATGCCACCACACCTGGCCAATTTTGGTATTTTTTTTTTAAACAGAAATTGGTTCTCACTGTGTTACCCAGGCTGGTCTTGAACTCCTGGCCTGAAGCCATTCTCCTGCTTCAGCCCCAAAAGTGCAGGGATTACAGGCTATTTTTGTTTCTATTTGTAGTTCTGTCAAATTTTTGTTGTCTATATTTTTAAGCTTTGTTAATGGGTACATCTACTGGATGAACTGTACTTTTAGCATTATATGGCACACCTCTGCCAAATTCATGTGCTGAAACTTAATCAGCAATGTGATGGTAATAGGTGGGGCCTTTAAAGGTGATTAAGTCATGTGAGTGACCTTTATAAAAAAGGCTTCATGCGTTGTTCAGCTCTCTTTCCCCTTCTATCTCTTTTGTCATGCAAAGAGAGGATGTGGTGTTTGTCCACATTGGAGGATGCAGCGACAGGGCGTCACCTTGGAAGTAGAGAGCAGCCCTCAGGGGATGCTGAGCCTGTGGAAGTATGGATTTTTTTTTTTTTTTTTTTTTTTTTTAGATGGAGTCTCACTCTGTCGCTAGGCTGGAGTGCAGTGGCGTGATCTTGGCTCACCACTACCTCCACCTCCTGGGTTCAAGCGATTCTCCTGCCTCAGCCTCCTCAGTAGCTGGGACTACAGGCACATACTACCATGCCCGGCTAATTTTTGTATTTTTAGTAGAGACAGAGTTTCACCATGCCGGCCAGCCTGGTCTCGAACTCCTGACCTCGTGACTGCCTGCCTCAGCCTTCCAAAGTGCTGGGATTACAGGCATGACCCACCGCGCCCAGACAGAAGTCTTGATCTTGGACTTCCTGTTCTCCAGGACTGCAGGAAATACATTTCTGTTCTTGATAAATTACCCAGTCTCAGGTATTTTTGTTATAGCAGCACAAATGGACTAAGATACTCTTATCTCTAGTAATACTTTTCTAAGGTTGATTTATCTGTTATTAATTACATACCATAGTTTAATTTTTGTTTAACATTGTCCTGGTATATTTTTTTCAACCTTTTACTTTCAATATCTTTGTTGACATATAATTTGGTGTGCCTCTTGTAAGTAGAGGTAGGTGGATTTAAAAAAAATCTAGTCTGATCTAAAAATGTAATTTGATATTTTTAAACCTGTAGTATCACATTCCCTTCAAAAATTGTAGTTATTAATATATTTGGATTTATTTCTACCATATTTATTTGTACTTTCTATTATCCTCCCTTTTCTATGTTTCCCCCTCCTTTCTCCCTTTCTTTGGATTTATTATTGAGTAGTTTTCCTATTTCATTTCCCACCTCTGCTAGTTTGTTAGTTATATACCTTACTTCCCTTCACAAGGTATTGGGAAGACATGAATTCTTGGAGGACATTATTTTTTTTCCCAGGCTATTAGTGCATTTTCAATGATATTTTATTCAGGATTTGCTTGTTTGTTTCAGCAGGGGAATGGGGAGTCCCCGGATCATTCAGTCATACATCAGAAATAAATGTCTATATATCTTTCTTTATTTTTTGCCAAGATGGTAAGCACTGTGATGTCAAGGACTGTGTCAATTCCATTTAGCTCTCTGTTCTCAGTGCCTAGCACAAAATTCTGTGTCACTGGACATAATTCCACCACAGTCTGGACCTTCACCTCTCTGTATCTCTTGATGTCAGGGGGAAAACCTCTGGTTATATCCATCTTCTGGCTGACACACACATGCCTGTCCTTTGCTCCCTCCTCATGACTGGATTGTTGATGAGCCAAGGACCCAGCCTCCTACTATTGTGGGTGAAGTCAGGAGTTAAACTCTCTCTGTTGCTTAAGATCCTCTGATGAGAAGAAGCAGTTCTTGGGAAATCACTTTGTCCTCCATTTAAGGGACAGCTTCCTAACTGATATGGTTTGGCTGTGTCCTCACCCAAATCTCATCTTGAATTGTAGCCCCCATAATCCCCATGTGTCATGCGAGGGACCCCGTGGGGGTTTTTCCTATGCTGTTCTCGTGGTTCTTGTGATAGTGAGTAAGTGTCATGAGATCTGATGGTTTTATACAGGGCAGTTCCCCTGCACATGCTGTCTTGCCTGCTGCCATGTAAGACATGCCTGTGCTCCCCCTTCACTTTCTGCCATGATTGTGAGGCCTCCCCAGCCATGTGGAACTATGAGTCCATTAAATCTCTTTTTCTCTATAAATTACCCAGTCTTGAGTATTTCTTCATAGCAGTATGAAAATGGACTAATACACTGACTAATGAATCCGTTAGGTGACTCTATCCCAACCCTTGTTTAAATACCACATTTTCTGCCACCATTCGTAAACTATGGGTGTCCCTTGACTCCAGTTTTGCTGGCCACAATTACATGTAAGTTATCTCAGGAAACACAGTGTGCAAAGGAGCAATCACAGGAGGGAGCGAGGAAGAAAGTGAGAAAATTCAAGAGTATAGGCAAAAGAGAGCAAAGCAGAATGGCAAAAAAAAAAAAAAAAAAAAAAAAAATTGCAACCATATAGCAACAATTACTAAGGATTTAATATATACCAGGCTCTGTTCTAGAAAAAAGAGCCAGAGCAAGAAGCAGGTACCAATTCATAAAGAAGTCATAAACATCCCTGGAATAAATTGGAAATATGGCACAGTTAATTAATTCAGGTTTCCCTATGCAACTCTTCACACAGGTGAAGAAAAGAGTGTAGATAAGATGCTATTCCTGCAGAAGCAGATGTCACCTTCCTGAAGAAAACAAAACAAAACATGGAGAAATAGTTTCTCTTTGGCCTAGATCTGTCTCTGCTGAGAACTTTGCACAATAACAGGCTTGCCTTTAACTAGATTCCAACAAACAGAAATTTGTTGGAAGGGGGCTGATGTAGTCTCTGGAAATCCTGGAGCCAAAAAACAAATGGTGTCATCCTGTTTCATAGGAATGAGTCATTTATGTTATTTTTTTAAACTTAAAACATTTAAGATTCCTCTTAAAAGATGAGACCTGTTGTTGAGATGCTTGAAGAAGTAGTAGTTGGTTGGTGAGAGATCAGGTGAATATGGCAGATGAAGCAAAACTTCGTAGCACAATTCGTTCAACTTTTGAAGCCTTTGTTGTGTGGTGTGCGGTAGGGCATTGTTGTGAAGAATTGGCCATTTCTGTTGACCAATGCCAGCTGTAAGTGTTGCAGTTTTTGGTGCATCCATCAATTTGCTGAGCATACTTCTCAGATGTCATGATTTTGCCAGAATTCAGAAAGCTATAGTGGATCAGATCAGCAGCAGACCACCAGTGACCATGACCATTTTTTGGTGCAAGTTTGGTTTTGGGAAGTTCTTTGGAGCTTCTTCTTGGTCTAACCACTGAGCTGGTCATCACTGGTTGTCCTATAAAATCTACTTTTCGTCGCATGTCACAATCTGATCAAGAAATGGTTCGTTGTTGTTGCATAGAATAAGAGAAGATGACACTTCAAAACGATGTTTGTTTGTTTTTTTTCGCTCAGCTCGCGAGGCATCCACTTATTGAGCTTTTTAAACTTTCCAATTTGCTTCAAATGCCGAAGGACTACAGACAGGTCGATGTTGAATTCTTTGGCAACTTCTGGTGTAGTTGTAAGAGGATCAGCTTCGATAATTTCTCTCAATTGGTCATTGTCAACTTCTGATGGCCAGTCACTATGCTCCTGATCTTCAAGGCTCTTGTCTCCTTTGCATAACTCCTTGAAGCACCACTGCACTGTTCGTTCTTTAGCAGTTCCTGGGCCAAATGTGTTGTTGATGTTGTGAGTTGTCTCCACTGCTTTATGACCCATTTTGAACTCGAATAAGAAAATCGCTAGAATTTGCTTTTTGTCTAACAGCATTTCCATAGTCTAAAATAAACACAAAAATAAACAGCAAGTAATAAGTCATTAGCAAAAAGACATAAAGCAAGAAATGCCTATTAAAACAATGTATAACATAACCACATTTTTAAAAGATGTATTCCAATATCAAATGGCAAATTCCAACAATTCAAAAAACCACAATTACTTTTGCACTCACCTAACTCTTAAAAGACGAGACATAATTTTAAAAATTATAAAAGAAAATAGAAATGAGAACAAGAGCTATAAGAAAATTGGGATTTTTTTTGTGTGTGGCCAACATGAAAGGTAAAAAGAAAAGCATTTCTGAGGCTATTAGGAAGAAGACCCTTTAGCTACGTAAAATCATCTCTACTCTTAATAAGTGTGACTAATGCACTTCAGTTATGAGTGACGGGAAAACTGTCAGATGCAAAATAATTTTGAAGAGTTAAAATGTAATGTTATGTCTAGTGTGAAATAAATATCTAGTTTAGAATATAAAGAGATATAAATGTTTTATTTGTCAAAAATCAGTTTTTGTTTATTCTACTCAGCACACAGAGCTCCTGTTTTTTTTACACCACTTGCTGAACAACCAGACCCATCCTCCTGGAGCCTGGTGCTCTCCTGGGTGAGGACTAGCAATGATATCACATGGATCTGAGGTTGTTGGTCCTGGCACCATATATTGCTATGTGGGTATCTTCCAGCAGGGGGACATGGAAATCCAGGCAATGATCAGGAAAACAGGACCATCCCAAGCTTTGTGGTCCTCACCAGCACGAAACAATTGATTGGATGATCAGTGATAGTGCAATGAAACAAACTGTGGTTGAAGCTTACCAAGACCATTTCATCACTAAGGATCTGTTTGGATATTTGGGTGGGGCTTACATGATGGTGGTGGTGGTGGCGTGTGGCAGTAATCCCAGGTACAGTACACGTGAGGGAATGAAAGCTTCCATCCCAAGAAGGTGTCTTTTACGTTTCTGAAAAACATGGAGAAGATTGCAGAAGCTACCTCTGGGAGGATTGTTACTGTTTTGTCATCATGGGTCTGCTTATTTCATCTCTTAATTGGAAGCATGAACAGTCTCACTGTGCTCAGAATCATCAATGAGACAATGTTCACTGCATCTGTTCATGGCTTAGACAAGAAGGTTGATGTTAAAAGAGTTATATTGATCTTCGAAGGTGGAAGTGGCATTTTGATGTATCTATTCTCCCTTCTGAAGATGGTATCTTTTATGTCAAATCTTCATCTGAGCAAATCCACTTGAGTTAAAGAAGACTTTGACAACTGAATGGTCAATGATGTCATTGCCAAACTCAAGTGTGAAAAAACCAAAAGGGATTTCTGTTACCTCCACACTTACTGCAAGCATCTAACCATGAATATGATTGAGCCCTCCTGCCCCATAAAGCAACTGATTCTCCATATCCATCCTCAGCTTGAAGAACTGAATGGTCTCTTGTCCACTGGCCCCTGGTACCTGAGCCCTTCAAAACAGCAAACTCATCAAGTCACAGATTTATTTATTTATTTGTATATTGCATTTTATTTTATTTTTTTGAGATGGAGTCTTGCTCTGTCGCCCAGGCTGGAGTGCAGTGGCATGATCTTGTCTCACTGCAACCTCTGCCTCCCAGGTTCAAGCATTTCTCCTGTCTCAGCCTCCTGAGTAGCTGGGACTACAGGTGTATGCCAAGACTTCCAACTAATTTTTGTATTTTTAGTAGAGACGGGGTTTCACCATATTGGTCAGGCTGGTCTCGAACTCCTGACTTCAGGTGACCCACCTGCCTCGGCCTCCCAAAGTGCTGGGATTACAGGCATGATCCACCATGCCCAGGAGGTCACAGATTTATAACATCACCCTAGTGGGGCACTCTGTCATATGTCAAAGAATAAGAAACCTACGTGGGACTTCTCAATGATAGGATGAGACTGTCACTTAGATAAAGCTGTCTGGACCACAATTTAATCTGGCACAGATCTAGCAATGTTTAGGATTTTTTTTTTTTTTCTCAAGGATCTTTGGAATAGAAGTCTCTGTTGGAATTATTTCTGTTCTGATCTGCTGGGCCACTAAGCAGTGCAGACTTTATTGCTTCTCAGACAACCAGCATCATACACTTACTCAGATTTATGAAAATGAGACAGCAATCAATGACCAATGACAACCTGCCTGAGGGTCCACAGCATTCTTCAAGTTGATCTAAACTATGACTCTGAGGCCTATGGGAAGCCCCGTGTGTCAGCAGAGCAGAGCACAGGCAAAGAGAAGAAGTTTGTGATTGTTGAAGACAAAGGATGTCTTTGAGAAAGGAAGATACTGAGTTCATGGAGCAAGAAGATGAGAGGCACAGGCAGAAGAGGAGAAGCACAGAGGCAAGCTGGGTTTCAACCATTCACTGAACTCCTGTGCTCTCAATCAGAAGGCCACTGTGGAAGAGGAGAAACTTCAAGACAAGTACAATGCAATCATCAACTGGCTGGACAAGAGTCAGTCTACTGAGAACAGGAGTTTCTATAAAAAATAAACTAGAGAATGTCTTGCCAACCCACCATCCTAAGTCTGCCCTGAGGGCAGAAGCCACACCAAGAAGATGTCCTAGGAGTTCCTGAGGGGCTGAGCTCCCTGTGCTGGTTCTGCATCCACCACCAAGACCAGTAAATGCACGTTCTACCCAGCTGGTCAAACATAGGAAGAGAGACTTCAGACCCAAGTTCCTACAGTGGCAGTATCTTAGCTGTGATACAAATTCTTGAGCATTCCGATACTTGATTATGCATATAGAAAAATAAGTGAACACTTTCCTACAATTTACTTTCTCACAGACCTGTTCGAACAAACAGGTCTATAAAAAAGTAAAAAAAATGCAACTCATGTCCTAGAGAATAAATATCCACTTAAAATTGACATTAGAAAAGGAAGAGAATAAATCACTTTTCATCTCCTGAATAAGCATTAACAAAAACTCAAAGAGTGTTCATCAGCTTGAAGGTCCTTCCAGTTATTAACCTACCTGAAGTAGACACAAAACTTTCAGCCCTAGGAGCTAAAGCTAAGGACAAGTTATATAATTCTCATTGCTAGACACCATTTCTTCAGAAGGCTGACTTTTTTGGGGTGTTAAATTCAGAGAGGAATTTATCTTGTGGATCCTTCTGAAGGGAACATTAAGCAAATTAATGACTAATGTTTTGTGAAGTTTTATAGAAAGTTCAGAAATGATTTTCATGGAGATGGTTCTTAAAGGAATCTCTGAGAAAAATCTGAGGAATCTCGGACACAAGGAGGCTCCTGTCACTTTACTTCAAGTCCACAAATATTCCTTGAGGAGCTATGAGATGCCAGACACTATGACAGGTCCTAAGACACAGCACTATGTGACATACATGTTCAACTTTGTATGATGATGTCTCAGGATTTACATTAAATTAGCAAAACAATGACAAAGCTATTCACTGAGGAGAAAGTAAGCTAGACTTGGGTAGGAAATTCTCTAGGACATAATTTTCTTCTTGTTGATTTTAATTTTGTGCTTTGTTCTTTATATAATTGAAGATTCAACAATTTTTGGCATATGCATGGTGATTTCCATTGTGACTTTCTGTTGTTATTTTAAATGTTTATCAAAGTAATACGTGTCTATAGTTTAAAGGATCTAGTGGTCCTTGGTCCTAGGAGGCTTATGATGAAAACAATAATCCCTTGTTTCTCACTTCCTCATCCCCATTTCCACTCTCAAAAGGTAAATCAATTTCAGTTGTTTATTTTTTTCTGATATTTCATCTTTTCTCAATAACAAAGATGTGCTACTATGTGTTGATTTAGAATTGTTGGCATTATCTGAAGGCCACCCTCCACGAAATATCCAAAACATCCCCCAGCTTTCTCAGCACCAGTCTCCTCCTGCCTCCCTGCACCACAGCCTCTTAAAGTGTAATGTTATAATTGAGTCAGATTGGCATTCTACATTTATATATTCTTGGATATATTTTGGCAATATTTACATGAGTCATAACTGAAAAACACTGTCTTCCTGTGATATCATGTCCTTTCTTATGCAACTTTTTGTTTTTCCTGGAGTTCACAACTACCTACCTTTTTCTGTTGTCTTTGTACTTGTCACTATCTAATCCTCAAATTTGGCCAGAACCCCTTACATCCCTTACTGATCATCCCCCAGGTCCTTGTTTTTCTTGGCAGGTTCTTTCAGCTTCTGTCCTCTAGCTTTATTCTGCACTGCTTATTTTTCTTGTCTAACTGCTGCCCAGTTGTTAAGTTGGGATCTTCCTTCACCGTCATCCTGGGAATAAATTCTCCCTTCTCCTACATTGGACTCCTGCTTTCTAGAGCCCTTCTCATCTTTTGTGGCTTGCTCTTTTGTCTTGGAGGCAGACATTCCATACTAGTTTCCTAATAAAGAGCCCTGGGAATATTTTTTTCTTTAAAAAGGAGAACTTGTATGCCTGAAAATGTCTTTAATCTATCCTCAAATTTGTTTGGCTTGGAATAGAATTCTAGGTTAGAAATGAATCCCCTTAGACATTTGAAGGCTTTACTCCACTTTCCTTTCAGTTCTAGAGTTGGTGTTTTGAAATTGAATGCTGCTCCAGTTCCTAACTTCCTGTTTGTGGCCTGTATTTTCTCTCTGGGAAGTTTTAGAATCTTCTCTTCATTCCTGGGTTCTCAATTTCTCAGCAGTGGGCTTTGGTGTGGGTCTGTTTTCATGCATTTGTGCTGAGCAATTGCCATGCTCTTCAGTCTGAAAGCTCAGATCTGTTTGTCTTTGGAAAACTTTTACATCAGGTTTTTTTTGTTGTTGTTTTTTGTTTTTGTAATCTCCTCTCCTCCATTTTCTCTGCCTTTTCCCCAAGTGTTGAACTCCTATCAGACCTTAGGCTGAGCCTCTAGTTTTCTTATTCATTATCTCCTATTTTCCTTATCTTTGTTGCTATCTACTTTTCAGAAGATTCTACCAATTTTATATTAGTTCTTCTGTTGTTGTTGTTGTCGTTATTATTATATTGAGACAGAGTCTCACTCTGTCACCCAGGCTGGAGTGCAGTGGTGTGGTCTCTGCTCACTGCAACCTCCACCTCCAGGGTTTAAGTGATTCTCCTGCCTCAGCCTTCCAAGTAGCTGGGATTACAGGCATCTGCCACCACACCCAGCTAATTTTTGTGTTTTTAGTAGAGATGGGGTTTCACCATGTTGGTCAGGCTGGTCTAGAACTCCTGACCTCAGGTGATCCATCTGCCTCAGCCTTCCAAAGTGCTGGGATTATAGGTCTGTTATTATTTTTAAAAAATTCTGCTACCATTTTCTTAATGTTTCAAAGAGCTCTTCTTTATTCTCTGAATATTCCCATTTCTTTTGTTTTGTTTTTTTAGTATCATTCTAATATTATAGATACAGTATATTCTTTGTTTCTCTGATGTATAACATGTGTTCATGTATTCCATTCTATTCTTTCTATTATTTATATTTCTTCCAAGTCTTCTTTTCTTTTGGGTTATGTCGATGAAAACTATGAAATTCTATAAAATATTTGAAGAGATTTATTCTCAGCTAAATATGAGGGCCATGGCCCATGACACAGCTTTCAGAGGTCCTGAGAACATGTGCCCAAGGTGGTTGGGTTACAGCTTGGTTTTATGTGTTTTAGGGAGAGATGAGATATCAAATCTTTTTTTTTAATTTTTATTTTTTTATGTATTTTTATTATACTCAAGTTCTGTGATACATGTGCAGAACGTGCAGGTTTGTTACATAGGTATACATGTGCCATGGTGGTTTGCTGCACCCATCAACCTGTCATCTACATTAGGTATTTCTCCTGATGCTATCCCTCCCCTTGCCGCCACTCCCTGACAGACCCCAGTGTGTGATGTTCCCCTCCCTGGCCAATATGTTCTCATTGTTCAACTCCCACTTATGAGTGAGAACATGCGGTGTTTGGATTTCTGTTCCTGTGTTAGTTTGCTAAGAATGATGGTTTCCAGCTTCATCCATGTCCCCGCAAAGGACATGAACTCATTCTTTTTTATGGCTGCATAGCATTCCATGGTGTATATGTGCCACATTTTCTTTATCCAGTCTATCCTTGATGGGCATTTGGGTTGGTTCCAAGTCTTTGCTATTGTGAATAGTGCTGCAATAAATATACATGTGCATATATCTTTATAGTTTAATGATTTATAATCCTTTGGGTATATACCCAGTAATGGGATTGCTGGGTCAAATGGTATATCTAGTTTTAGATCCTTGAGGAATTGCCACACTGTCTTCCACAATGGTTGAACTAGAGGACACAAGCAAATGGAAAAACATTTCATGCTCATGATAGGAAGATTCAATATCATGAAAATGCTATTTCCATCAAGCTACCATTGACTTTCTTCACAGAATAGGAAAAACTACTTTAAATTTCAGATGGAACCAAAAAAGAGCCCATATGGTCAAGACAATCCTAAGCAAAAAGAACAAAGCTGGAGGCATGATGCTACCTAACTTCAAATTATACTACAAGGTTACAGTAACCAAAACAGCATAGTACTGGTACCAAAAGAGATATATAGACCAATAGAACAGAACAGAGGCCTCAGAAATAACATCACACATCTACAACCTCTGATCTTTGACAAACCTGACAAAAACAAGCAATGGGGAAAGAATTCCCTATTTAATAAAAGATATCACTTCTTAAGCTATTAGCTAAAGACCTGGAATCAATAGAAAGTGGTGTCTGAGTAAAGATAAGGGGTTGTGGAAATCAAGATTCTTACTATGTAGATGAAGTCTCATAGGTGACCACTCTTTGAGGCAATAGATGGCAAATGTTTTCCTACTCAGAAGGCAAATGTTTCCTATTCAGAACTTTAAAAGGTACCAGACTCTCTAGAAAAAAACAAGGGAAGGAGATTCTCTACAGAATGCAAATTTCCCCCACAAGAGACCACTTTCCAAAATATGCCAAATAAGCATATTTTATGGTAAAATACTTTGAATTTTTTCAGGACCTGCTATCTGTCATGTGATCCTATGCTGGAGCCAGGTTGGAATTGTGTATCTTATTGCTACAAATAATCTGCTTTGTTAGTCTTAAGATCTCTGTTTCAAAGTTAATGCTTGTCAGCTGTGCCTGAACTGCAAAGGGAGGAGGGTATAATGAGGTACGTCTAACCCTACTCCTTGTCATGGTCTGAACTTTTTTTTCAGGTTTCTTTGGAATCCCCTTGGCTGAGGGGGTCCATTCAGTCAATTGGGGGGCTTAGAATTTTATTTTTGGTTTACAGTTAGTTTTAGTCTTTCAGGCTCAAGGCTTTTCTTGGTTTGCCGTTCTATTTTAAGAAGTCACCAAGACATTGATTGGTAGTATTGTGTGCTCAGAGGGGGCTCACTGGCAGGCAGGACTCAGCCACTCTGCAGGAGATTCCACCAAATACCCACCTCTACAAGTCTCTTCCCTTGGTCTGGGACATACCCCAGAGGGTACTCCTCCTTTCCATGGTGGGGCCCTGCACACTGAGTGAGTATCAAATGGGTGAAATGTGAAGGGGTTCTCATGTTGCTTTCTTCTGTAGCTTTTAGGGCAGTTTCCGCCATTGTTCCCAGCTGTGTTCAGTTCAGAGGCTCTCCCATGTAAGGTCTTCAAGGAAGGGGAATGGCAGTTACCTGGCTAAGGGGAAAGGAGTTAGGGATGGAGCAGAATCAGACACCATTCCTTCCTAGAGAAATCTCTGTTCCCTTCCCACTTCCCAGCAGCCATGGGAGGCTTTTAGAAATAGAAACAGAAAAACAGACCAAAGAAGCCAAGTGGTCTTGGCCCCCTACCCCTCAAAATAGTGCCCACATCCTGCTTCCTATAGGTGTATATTTAATTAGTATGTTCCCTGTTCATTCATTCAACGAATATTCAGAAAATGCTCTTTAATGTGCCAGCCACTGTTCTGTCCACTGAGGATGCAACATTGTGCAAAACAGATGAAAATCCCTGCTCTTATAGAGTACCCATTCTTCAGAGGGGTGGGGGTGACCAAAAGCAAACAAATGAATATCTAAGAGGATGCGTGGTCTAGGGCTGTGCAGGGCAAGGGAAGGGGCTAGTGATGTTGGGGCATGCTGTTTCACCTCCAGCCTTAAGAAAGCCCTCTCTTGCAGGGGCCCCAGAAAAGTGAGGACCTGTAGCCAGAGGGCATGTTGGGAGAGGTGTTTCTTGGCCAAGAAAAGAGCAAGCAGAGAGGCCCTGGGGTGGATGCACATTCTACATAGCAAGGGCAGAGAGATACAGTCAGAGGAGAGCAGGATGCCATTCTCAGGGAGGTGATAGAAGGTGGGGGATAGATGGGACAAACACCATTTGTGTTTGAAAAGCTTAACTCTGGCCACTGTATGAGACAGCAGGAGCCCTGCAACACCACCCCCCTAATTAGGTGGGTGACCATGGGGGCTCTTGATCAGGTTCTGTTTACATATTTAAGGTGGTGCCAATAGGATTTCCAGATGAATTGGGTGCTAGGTGAGAGACAAAGGAGTATTGATGGCTCTGAGCATCAGGAAGAAGGGGGTCATCTTTTCTGATGTAGGAGTAACTTCTGGAGGGAGGTCCCCACCTGAATGTAAGACCTGTTTAGTTTAAAGTTTGAGTAGAAATGCAGAGAATATGTTCCTTGAGACCTTTGTCCACACTCAGGGACACCGTTCTGGGATCTGGGTAGTTTTGCTCAGCCTGCCTTTTGCCTTTCCTTATCTCTCCCGTCCACTCCTACCACCCTCCTTTTGGCTCCAGAGACCAGCACGGCTGGAAGAGAATAAAGGAAGAAAGTTTAGGTGTGTGTAGAGTTAGGAAACATAGAATAATAGTGGATAAACAGAAGTGGGACTATAGTCAATACTGTTTTATAACCTGCTTTAAAAACAAAAAACACTATATTGTGAGATTTTTCTCTTCATTATTAGTACTTTAGATTCCATTGGAAATTTTTTATGGCCACTTGGGAAAATCTTGTACGTTTTTGTGACTGATATTTCCCCTCTCTCCAACTCTAACCAGTGACTGTGTTTTGTGTTCTCTTGGTTCTCTTGGTGGGCTTGTGAACATAGGTGGTGCTCAGATTGGCCAAGAGAAGAGTACAGGGTGCCTGGGAGCTGGGCAGCTATTGTCTACCAGGTGGATGAGCACAGAATGAGAGGAAATTTGACCTAGGAGTTGGCAACAGAGCCCCAGAACTTGGTAATAGGCTGTGGGAGTGTTCTCAGGAAGTGATGATTGCTCCCAGGCTGTGTGGGGTTCCAATGCACCTGCTAGTGATAGGACAGGTCAAGTAACCTCAGATTAGCACCATAGGGCACCTCACTGAGGACAAAGACTGTATCTGTGTGTATACCTGTGTGTGCATGTGTGTGTGCATGTGTGTGCATGCACAAGGCCCACCCCCACACCTGAGATCATGTCACTTCTGGTTTAGGCCAGGAGAACTCCTTTTCAGAGTTCAGGGAAATCCCAAGGGCAGACTGTCCCATTCCCCCAGACTCTCATCCACACTCAGGGACATGGTTCTGGGTTCTGGACGGTTTCACTCAGCTTGCTGTTTGCTTTTGTTATCTCTCCCCTCCACTCCTACCACCTTCTCTTTGGCTCCAGAAACCATCATGGGCTGAAGGGAAGCTGGACTCTAGTCCACGGAAGAGAATAAAAGAAAATATATATATAGGTTCTTAATTATGGGGAGACAAGTGTGCCTTGGGGCTCCTGTCTTCAGAGCAAAGCAGAGGGTCCACTTGCAGGATGTCAGCCCAGGCAAATGGTGAGCCTGGTGGATAGCTTGATGGCAGATTCTTTGTGCCTCCTAAAATGGGAATTGATCAGGGCAGGGTGGCTGCCTTGACTGGCAGGGCTGGGCCTGGAGTAGGGGAAGGGGGCAGGGAGACTGGGACATAATATCCTCACTCTGTCCCTGCAAGCCGTGGCCACAACAGGATAGGTCAGCTGGCAGAGGGCATGTTAGGAAAATGGAAAGTTGTTTTCAGAAAATGAGCCAGAGAAGAACAGATGCCTGTGTTTTGCTGTTGCCATCACTATGTCTTCTCTGCATAACATATTCCCAAAAGATGTTTAAAAGGCCTCAAGAAATAATGTTTCATCAACATCTCTTGATGGCAGGTGGGAGGTAAGGAGGCGGCAAGACAGCTTGTTCTGTAGAGAAGTTTTCTTTCCAAGTGGAGGATGAAATCTGAACTGCAGGGGTTGAGGGTTGTAGGCGCAGGAGTTGTTCAAGTGGGTTTGGCATGTGCAAACACCAAGATGAGGGTCACTGTGATTCATTCATTCTGTTAGTATTTATTGGGGGCACCTCTCATGCCAGTCCCTCTGTTGGGTGCCAGGAGAACAACACTGAGCAAAGTAAACTCAAGTTTAAAAAAACAAAGAAGTTCCTTTTGAACATAGAGGTTTGAGATAAAATGAAGGATGTTCTGAAGGAAAAAGAAGCATGTAAAAGAATCACGGTAAAGGGTACTGTGAAAATAAATAATAATTGAAATATGAAAGGTACAAATCTGGAAAATGATCTTTTATTACCAAATGGGAAAGTAGATTAAATTTTTCAATTTAATTTTTGAATAGGTAATATGTTTACGTGGTTTAAACATCTAAATAATACAAAAAGTCATATCTGAAAAGTCTTGCCCTTTTTCTCCCTTTCTTACATAAATGACAGCAGATTTCATACAACAGGTGTATGAGTTTTCTAGGCTGTGTAACAAATTACCACAAATTTAATGGCTTAAAACAATGTGTGTTTATTATCTCACCATTTCTCTGGGCCAGGAATCTGGGTGTGTCTTGGCTGGGTTCTCTGCACAGGGTCTCACAGGGCTGCAGTTAACACATCAACTGGGCTGTGTTTTCATCAGAGGCTAGAGTGGGGAAGGATCTGTTTGCAAGCTCCCTTGAGTTGCTGGCAGACTTTATTTCCTTGCAGCTATAAAACCCATAGCAGTCTGCTTCTTCAAAGCTAGCAGGAGAGAGAGCTAGAAGAGCTAGCAGAAGACACTCTTTGTCTCTTCTAACCTAAAGAGAAGCCTATTTAAGGAGTTCCATCTAATTAGGTTAGGACTTCCCAAGATAGACTATCATTTGATTAACTCAAAACCACCTGATTTGGGATCTTAATTATACTTGCAAAATCCCTTCATTTTGGCCATATCTTATTAGCTAAGAAGCAAGTCAGGCTTTGTGCGAACTCAAGGGCAGTAGATGATCTAAGGCTTCAGTGCACTGGGGATCACCTTAGGGTGTGCCTTCTGCACCAGGGGCTGGCAAACAATAACCCATGGGCCAAATCCAGCCTCTACCTGTTGTGTAGATACAAGTGTTTTTTTTTTTGTTTCGTTTTTATTATTATTATTATTATTATTATTATTATTTGTAGAGACAGGATCTCACTGTGTCACCCAGACTGGAGTGCAGTGGCATGATCATAGCTCACTACAGACTTGACCTTATGGGCTCAAATGATCCTCCTACCTCAGCCTCCTGAGTAGCTGGGACCACAGGTGCCACTATGCTTGGATATTTATTTTTATTTTTTGTAGAGATGGGGTCTCCCTATGTTGCTTAGGCTGGTCTTTCAGTCCTGGGCTCAAGCAATTTTTCTGTCTTGGCCTCCCAAAGTGGGATTACAGGCATGAGCGACTGGGCCTGGCAATAGATATAGTTTTACTGGAACACAGCTACACTCATGAGTTTATGTATTGTCCATATCGACTTTCTTGCTAACACGGCAGAGTTGAGCAGTTGCAACAGAGAGCATGTGTGGCCTGCAAGCCTAAAATAGTTGCTACCTGACCCTTTACAGGAAAAGTTTGCAGAGCCCTAGATGCTCTTCTGCATCATGCTTTTCCCCTTACCGTTAAAACCAGGTGGTCTCTCCACATCAGTGCACACAGATTTTCCCCCTCTTTTATAGCTTCATAGTCATGGTATTCCATTTGAGATACCATAGTTTACTCAACTGTCCATGGCTACTGGACACAAGTGGTTTCCACTCTTTTGCTAAACACAGTCTTAGAAGTAAGAAATGTTGGGTCTGAGAAACTGATACCCCAAAATATGACACTTTGACATTCTGAAGTGAAGAAGAGGCCTCAAGGTCTCTCTGACGTCCTCTTAGCCCTTCCCCTGTCTCTCAATCCTATGTCTCTCCCAAAGTGCAGGATGGACTTATTCTTTGAAGTTCCCTTGTTTGTCTAAAGTCCAGACCTGCCAAAGGAGGAACAATGATTTTTAGTCCCTCCCTGAGTTTTCATTAACTAAACTCATATTGCAGGAAGAAAGACTGAAGTCTGTCTATGCAGCTAGGCACAAATTATTGTCACAAACGGTTGTCTGCTCTGTGGGCCCAACAGACTTTGTCCCAGGGCAGTGTATGTCTTCAAACTCCTTGAATTCCCCTAAAAATAATGTACTATCCCCCTAAAATCATCTGCCCCTTCCCATCTCCCTCTCCCCTAAGAAGAGGGGTATATAAGCATCAGATGTACCATTGCAAGTGGGACAGTCACTCTGTGATTCTTCCCCATGTACGCTAATAAAGCTGTATGTACTTCTTCCTATCAACCTGCCTTTGTCATTTGATTCCTTAGCACACCATCCAGGGGAAAAGGGACGTTTTCCCTTCCCTCAGACAGAAATTTAAAAATCCTGATCTAATGAAGTCAAATACATTCATTTCTCCTTTTATCATGCTTTAAGCAAAGCTCTCTTTGATGTTAAAAATATTTATTTTAGGCCAGGCTCACGCATGTAATCCCAGCATTTGGGAGGCCAAGGCAGGAGAATTGTTTGAGCCCGGGAGTTCAAGACCAGCCTGAGCAACATGGTGAGACCATCATCACAACAACAAATAAAAGATTAGCTGAGCACGGTGGCACATGCCTGTAGTCTCAGTTGCTCAGGAGGCTGAAGTGGGAGGATGGCTTGAGACCAGGAGGTCGAGGCTGCAGTGAGCTGTGATCTCACCACTCCAGCCTGGGCGACGGAGTGAGACCCTGTCTCAAAAAAAGAAAAATTATTTTTTGATTAAAAATGTAATACAAAAATATACAAAGTTTAAAACTTTAGAAATAAAAGGTGTCTCAAGTACAAGGCCTGGGCATTTGTGGGAAAACGGTAGGGAAGAAAGATGGTCCATGGAGTCTTTTTCTCACAGTCTCTGGAATGCACTATCAAGTGCCTTTGCTGAGCTCAGCCAAAGCGGGGCTACAAGGCATGAGAAAGCCTAAGGGTGTAAGAGGCTGAAGTTTGGTCTTTTCCAGGCTAGGGAGGGGCTGGGTGCCTGAGGCAGAGCCCTGGGGTGAGGCTTGGACTCCACAGTGCCTACAGGGAGCTCATGGAGACCTAGGGACCAGTCTGGAAGGGTGGAACCAGCCAGTGTGCTCTGTCCTGGAGGACTCACTGGTCTCCCTCAGAGGAGCCTCAGGGAAGTTGATCAGGTGATCCTAGTGTCCCACCTCTGTGGATGAGAGAGCAACAGCCTTGCAATAGGAAAAGTTCGGACCTGGGTGATGCTTCCCAGCTGCAGGCAGGGAACTGAGCATTCTAAGCTGCACAACAGGGCCCATGGGAGCAGTGACTTCTGGGCCCCCACCACCTGAGGGCTGCCACCAACAAGGTAGCCCAGCCAAGCATGGCTCCAAGGGTGAAGAGAGCTGCAAGGAGGCAAGGCAGGAAAAAAGGCATCTAAACCTTCCCAACAGACAAGGAGAGGAAGAATACTCAGTCAGCTTGCACAGAAACAGGCCTGCTGCTGGAAGCAGATGTGGCTTGAACCAAAAATCAGTAAGAGCACTTCAGAATCCAATTACAGCATGGACTGGAACTGAAGAATTATTTTTTAATTAAAAAAAGTTAAGCACATATCTTCAAAGGGATGGCATCTTCTACTTAAACATAAATTAGTGGCCTAGAAGATTAAGTGGAAGATATGTGTCTGAAGCCCAGAGAAACATTTGCAGATGAAAATTGTATGAGGGAACAAAATAAGAAACTTGAATGTTAGAGCCATAAAAGCTGATAGGCTGGCCGCGGTGGCTCACGCCTGTAATCCCAGCACTTTGGGAGAGCAAGGTGGACGGATCATGTAAGGTCAGGAGTTCGACACCAGCCTGGCCAACATGGTGAAACCCTATTTCTACTAAAAGTACAAAAATTAGCCAGGTGTGGTGGTGGGTGCCTGTAATCCCAGCTACTAGGGAGGCTGAGGCGAGAGGATAGCTTGAACCCGGGAGGCAGAGGTTGCAGTGAGCAGAGATCGTGCCATTGCACTCTAGCCTGGGTGACAAGAACAAAACTCTGTCTCAAAAAAAAAAAATCTAACTAACAAAAAACTGATAGAAAAATGATAGGGTAACAGTGTAGGAGAGGAATTCACTAAGCAGATGCTCGAAATAACTCTCCAAGTTGTAAATCACTGGAGTATATAGGTAAAACCAGTCACCCGAGTTCCACTGAGGACTCATGAAAGAGATGCCCAATGGACCTAGGCTGACCATGTCACCGCCCAGCAAGAATCAGTAGAAAATCTTACAAGTTTCCAAAGGGAAAGAAATAAAAGAAAATGCAACTGTTCTCAGATTTTCCACTGGCAGCACTGTAAGATACAAGACAGCAGAGCAATCGATACATACACTGAAAGGATAGGGCTGTCCATCAAGCCTTTGGACTAGCGTGGGGTCCTCTGCCGTCAGTTTGAAAATATGCTAGCATTGCATTCAGCCGGAGTGGCAGGAAGCCCTTCCTACCTCAGAAGAGTAAGCAAATGGGGGTTCAGTCATGTACAGGAAGCCTCTGAATGGGTACCCCAGGTACTCGGGGGCTGATGTGTGACTCCATGGTGGAGTTGGAGAAAATGGTATATTCGGGATATACTTATACTAAAAAAGTTATTCTCTGGGGGCCAGGCATGGTGGTTCATGCCTGTAATCCCAACCCTTTGGGAGGCTGAGGTGGGCGGATGGCTTGAGGCCAGGAGTTTGAGACTAACCTGGCCAACATGGTGAAACTCCATCTCTACTAAAAATATGAAAATTAGCCAGGCACAGTGGTGTACTTGTAGTCCCAACTACTTAGGAGGCTGAGGCATGAGAATAGCTGGAACCCAAGAGGTAGAGGTTGCAGTGAGCCAAGATCACACCACTACACTCCAGCCTGGGCAACAGAGTGAGACTCTGTCTTAAAAACAAAACAAAACTCAAATTTAAATGTACCTGAATGTCCGGCATTTCTTTCAGTTAATCGTTATTTATTCATTTATTCTTTTGTGCTAAATCTGGCAACTGTCTTCCATGATACTATAAGGGAATCTCTCAGGTTTGCCTTAGAAACAGTTGTGGCACCTCCAGGCATCACAGACACAGTTAGGAAGAGAGAAGAGAGGTGTCACTAGCAGGTGTCTGCCTATATCTAACTGACCAGAGCAGTGTCTTATGGCCGGCCACACCCAGTGGCCAGGGAAACTGGGCCATCAGTGAAGCATATGTAGCTTCTATAGAAAAGGTAGACAAGGGAGAGAGGCTGGAAGTGGGGTTGGCCAGTTGACACACCCACAGCACTTTCCAGGGCCAGTGCATCCGGTGTCTGCAGGTTGCGCTGCACACCACAGGGGGTCCATTTTTATTGTACTTTATGCGAAAGCTGCCCCAGAGGTTGTTTAATCAGTTAACTATTTCTGAGTATCAAACTATTCCACTAAGTAGTTTAGAATAGCAACCCTGTATTACTGCTTACGCATCTACAGGTCAGCTGTGTGGTTCTGGTCCTGCCTGGGCTCTCTTGTGTGTCTGCAGTAACCTCAGGGCAGTCAAGGGGCTGTGCTTCTGGGCTTGGCTGGCTCTCTGCTGGGGTGCTTCAGTCTCCTGCCACGTGGTGTCTCATTCCCCAATAGGCTAGCTGGGTTTGTTCACTGAGCAGCCACAACAGCAGAGAGGAAGCGTGCAAGGCCTTTGGAGGTCCACGCCCAGAGTGGGCACAGCATTGCTTCTGCCGTTTCAGCTGGCCCAAGCAGGTCACAGGACCAGCCAGATTCAAGAGATGGAAAATAGATCCTGGCCCCCACAGAGAGCCATTGAAAAGAGAATCTCAGTGGAGAAGAAAAACATTTTCGCTTCTCATTCACCAAAGATGTACTGACTCCCCAGTCACCACATGTCAGTCAGTGCTGTGGGATCTGTGAATAGCACAAGGCTGAACAAAAAGGCAACCCTGTCTGCCCACAAGAGGAAAATGTTTTTTTGTTTGTTTCCTCAGAAGGAGGGAAATAGAGACTGTATGTAGTCTCTTTAGAACATTGTCCTGCTAGCTGGGAGTGGTGGCTCATGCCTGTAATGCCAGCACTTTGGGAGGCGGAGGTGGATGGATCACTTGAGGCCAGGAGTTTGAGACCAGCTGGCCAACATGGTGAAACCCCATCTCTCCTAAAAATTAGCCAGGCATGGTGGTACATGTCTGTAGTCCCAGCTACTCAAGTGGCTGAGGGAAAAGGATTGCTTGAACCCGGGAGGTGGAGGTTGCAGTTAGCCGAGATAGAGCCACTACACTCCAGCCTGGGCAACACAGCAAGACATCATCTAAAAAAAAAAAAAGACATTCTAAAGAACATTCTCCTGCTCCTCTGTCTCCAGGTAAAGGTGACTCCCACTTCTCCCTGCAGTTGTTCATTAAAGCAAGCTTTTTCACTGAAATCTAATACACCTACAGAAAAGTGCACACATCTTAAGAGTCTAGCCTGATCAACTTTCACAAAGTGGCCACACCAGGGCAACCAGCACACAGATCAGGCTATCCAACAATACCCACCCCCAGGACCCCCAAACCATGTCACCTCTCAGGCCTCTACCTCTCCACACCAGCCACTGTTCCTACTTCCAACAAGATAGATTGGTTCTATCCGTGTTAGAATTTTAGATAAGTGGGATCATACAGCATGTAACTTTTATGTCTGATTTCCTCCTTTCTATTTTTTTTTTTTTTTTGAGACATCTCACTCGGTCGCCCAGGCTGGAGTGTAGTGGCACAAACTCAGCTCACTGCAACCTCCGCCTCCCGGGTTCAAGCGATTCTCCTGCCTCAGCCTCCCAAGTAGCTGAGATTACAGGCACGCACCACTATGCCAAGCTAATTTTTCTATTTTTAGTAGACGTGGGGTTCTACCATGTTGGCCAGGATGGTCTGGATCTCCTGACCTTGCGATCTACCTACCTCAGCCTCCCAAAGTGTTGGGATTACAGGCGTGAGCCACCGCCCCCGGCCAACTTCTTTCTTCCAATAGTATATGTATGAGCTTCATTCATATAGCTGCAGTTCACTTGTATTGATTATTATAGAAAATTTCTTCCTATGAAGAGGCCCACAGTTTATATATCCATTCTCCTATGGCTGGATACTGAGATTGTTTCTGATGTGGGACTATTATGAATAATATTGCTATGAATAGATTTGCATATCGTTTGACACATATTGGTATAAAATCTGTTGGTTATATACCTAAAAGAAGAAATACTGAACCACAGTGTATGCATATATTTAACATTCATAGATACCCTTAAACTCCCGAAGAGGCTATGCCACTGTGTACTCCCACCAGCAGAACGTGAGAGCTCCAGTTGCTTCACATTCTTGCTACCAACTGCTCTTCCCTGTAGGCTGGGAGTGGACAGTGGCTTAACCTCTTTGGAGATTTCTTTAGGGCTCTCTATTAAGGTTGAATAGAAGCATACTGTGATCCAGCATTTCCTCTTTTAGGTATACAACCAGCAGATTTTGTACAAATATGCACTGGAAGATATGTACAAATATAGTCATAGCAGTATTATTCATAATACCTCCACATCGGAAACAATTGTCATTGTGATGGGGTGTACTGCTATCGCATTGCTTTAATTTGTATTTTTTTCTGACAGTTGAGAATGTTAAGCATCTTTTTATGTGTTTACTGAACACTTTATATCTTCTGTGAAGTTAAATTCAGTCTTTTGTCCAGTTTTCTATTAGTTGTCTGCTTTTTCTTTTTTTAAATTGATTTGAAGACTTCCCTGTGTATAGCAGATTCGAGTTATCTGTCAGACACATTTATTACATATGTTTTCTCCATTCTATGGTCTGCTTTTTCACTCCTTTAATTTTGTCTTTGTTGAACACAAGTTCTTAATTTTAATATAGTCTAATTTTTATCATTTTCCTGTTATGTTTAGGACTTATTGTTCCCTAAAAAAGGAACTTTTGCTACACAAGACCATGAAGACATTCTCTTAAATTCTCTTCTAGAAACTTATTATTTTTTACCTTTCACATTTATGCCTATAATCCAAATGGTATTGATTTTTGTTTAAAATATAAGAAAGGAGTCAAAATTCATTTTTAAAAATAAAGATACCCAGTTGACTTTAGTGCAAAGATCAACTTTTCCTCACTGCTATAATATGTAACCTTTTCCATAAATAAAGTGACATTTTGTGGACTGTTGTAATCTTGTTTTGTTTTATTCATCTGTTTGTCTCTAGTTATGTCTTAGTTTCTATGACTTCATAATAAGTCTTGATATATAGTCATTTGAGACTTCCAACTTTGTTTTTTGAGATTGTCTTTGCTGCACTTGTACCACTGCATTTCACAAAAATTATAGAATCATTTTTTTCAGTTTTCATAGAAAACTTTCCGAAGTTTTTAATCAGAATTGTACTGAGTAAATTTGGAAAGAATGAACATCTTTCAATTTTGAGTCTTGCAATGTATGAACATCGTATATTCTTTCATTTATTTATATCTTATTTACTTTCTCTCAATGATGTTTTGTGGTTTTGTAGGTAGAGGACTTACAATCTTTTATTTGATTTATTTTTTGGTATATAATGTTTTTTGATATTGTCAAAAATGGTAGTGTTATTATATATAATAATTTACACCTTTTGTAATTATTCTATAGTTCTTGAATATTCTGTTCCATCTTTCTCATTCTTCTTTCTCTCCACGTTTCAGTTGTGGAAGCTCCTATTGACTTACCTTCAGGCTCATTGATTCTTTCCTTGAACGTGTCCAGTCTACTGATGAGCCCATCAAGAAGATTCTTCATTTCTGTTACAGTGCTTCTGATTTCTAGCATTTCCTTTTAACTCTTTTCCCTGTTTGAATTTCCATCTCTCTGCCTACATGAACCATTGGCTCTATTGCCTATTGTTCACTTTGTCCATTAAAATTCTTAGCATATTAACTAGTCTTTATTTTATTCATTTTTTGAGACAGGGTCTTACTCTGTCACCTAGGCTGGAGTGCAGTGGTGCAATCTCAGCTCACTGCAACATCTGTCTCCCAGGCACTAGGGATCCTCCTACCTCAGCCTCCCGGGTAGCTGGAATTACAGGGGCACACCACTACACCTGGTTAAGTTTTTTGTTTGTTTGTTTTTTGTTTGTTTTTTGAGATGGAGTCTCACTCTGTTGCCCAGTCTGGAGTGCAGTGGTGCAATCTCGGCTCACTGCAACCTCTGCCTCCCGGGTTCAAGTGATTTTCCTGCCTCAGTCTCCGGAGTAGCTGGAATTACAGGCGTGCGCCACCACGCCCAGCTAGTTTTTGTATTTTTAGTAGAGACAGGGTTTTACCACGTTGGTCAGGCTGGTTTCAAATACACCTGGTTAAGTTTTTAATTTTTTGCTCTACAAAACGGGTTTTCTCCATGTTGCCCAGACTGCTCTTGAACTCCTGGGCTCAAGTGATCCACCCACCTTGGCCTCACAAAGTGCTGGGATTATAGCCGTGAGCCACTGAACCTGGCCTACTGTAGTTATTTTAATTACCTTTCTGATAATTTTGAAATCTCTGCCGTATCTGAGTTTGGTTCTGTAACCATCCAATGAGTTCTTCCTCACTGTCCAGATAGAGTCAATTTATCAAGACAGGGAAACTGCAGTAGAGAAAGAGTTTAATACATACACAGCTAGCTAAATTGCAGAATAGAGTTTTATTATTGCTCAAATCAGCCTTCCTGAATGTTCAGAGTCTAGAATTTTTAAAGATTGTTTGGTAGACAGGGACAAGGGAATGGGGAATGCTGACTGGTTGGGTCAGGAATGAAATCACAGGGGACAAAGCTGTCCTCTTGCACTGAGTCAGTTCCTGGGTGGGGTTCACAAGACCAGATGAGACAGTGTATTGGTCTGGGTGGTGCTAGCTGGTCCAACAGAATGCAGATCCTGAAGAATACCTTAAACACCAATCTTAGCTTTCACAGTAGTAGTGTTATCTATAGGAGCAATTGGGGGGGTTAGGAATCTTTTGGGCTCTGGATGTGTGACTCCTGAGCCATAATTTCTAATCTTGTGGCTAATTTGTTAGTTTTACAAAGGCAGTTTTGTCCCTAGACAAGAAGGGGTATTTTTTTTTCAGGGAGGGGCTGTTATTATCTTTGTTTCAAAGTTAAACTATAAACTAAATTTCTCCCAAAGTTAGTTTGGCCTACGCCCAGGAATGAACAAGGGCAGTTTGGAGATTAAAGGCAAGATGGAATCAGTTCAGTCAGATCTCTTTCACTGCCATAATTTCCCTGTGTCAGGTTTTTCTCACTCTCCTGATTTTTGCAAAAGTGGGTTCTGATCTTGCTTTGTCTCTTCAGACTGTGTGTTTTGGCTTTTAGCACACTTTGTAATTTTTTTGTTGAAAGCCCAATACAATGTATTGAGTAATAGGAACTGAGGTGGATAGGATGTGAGTGTGAAGTTTATGTTTATCTGATTAGGCATTGGGCTGTGTTTACTATTGAAGACTAAGCTCTGATTTTTTTTTTTGTCCTCCCTAAATTCCTGTCTAAGGGGTCTAGGGAGTCATGCCCTACAAACCATAAATTCTCATCAGATGCATTTGATTTAACCCTGTATATTGTCACTTACTTTCCAATCTGACTCTGGCACAACAAGGAAGAAAATCAAAATATTTTACCCCAAAACATATTTCTCTGTTATGTCTTGAAATGGTCCTGCAAAGTCGTCCCTTGTGGGTAAAATCCACATTCTATAGAGAATCTCCTTTCCCCTTTTTTTTCCTTCTTTCCTTTCCAGATCCAGGAGATAATCAACTAAGAGCCCGGTGCTCTTTTAGGTCTGATAATAAACATTTTACAACATGCTCACTCTGAAGTTGGCTGTCTGAAAGCTTCCTCTACGCAGTAAAACTTGATCTCCACAAGCCTTTATCTTAACCTGAACATTTTCTTTCTGTTGATTCCAGGTCTTCAGATAAACTCAACCAATTGTCAACCAGAAAATGTTTAAATTTACCTATAGCCTGGAAGCCCTGCTCCCCCCGCTTTGAGTTGTCCCACCTTTCTGAACTAGACCAATGTATTTCTTAAATGCATATGATTGATGTCTCATGCCTCCTTAAAATATATAAAACCAAGCTGCACCCCCAACCACCTTGGGCACATGTTCTCAGGACCTCCTGAGGGCTGTGTCACAGGCCATGGTCATTCATATTTGGCTCAGAATAAATCTCTTAAAATATTTTACAGTTTGACTCTTTTTGTCAACACTGTTTACTGTGGCTGCAGTGTCAGAGGCTAAAATTTCCTCTAGTGCTCTTGTTTTTGTCTCCCCTGTTGTCTTTGGGTTTTCCTAGAGACTTTCAAAATTTTAAAATAGGGCCTAAGGCTTGCAGTTCTTGATCCTCCGTTATTACACAGGAGCTCTATTGAGAAGGCAATGAGGTGTGGGGGAGGGGAAGTGTCCTGTAGCCCTGTGATCAGGGCTCAGTCTTTAGTGAGCCCGAATTGAGTATTTCCCTTCTCTCAGGCCAGTTAGGCCTGGATAAAATCCCAAGTTAGGCTCTAGCAAAATGCTTTCCCCATGAGGGCAGCAGTTAAGGAGGGTAAAATCCTCCGGCCATATCTTAAAATGGTTGCTATTTCCCTCCCAGGGCGAGGAGTATGAGGGACCTTCACAGTGAGTAACTGGTGGTGTCAGAGGCACGTCTGAACCAGAGCAACTCCATCTTGAATAGGGGCTGGGTAAAATAAGGTTGAGGCCTACTGGGCTGCATTCCCAGACAGACAGTCTAAGTCACAGAATGAGATAGGAGGTAGGCACAAAATACAGGTCATAACGACCTTGCCGATAAGCCAGGTTGCAGTAAAGAAGTCAGCCAAAACCCATCAAAACCAAGATGGCGATGAGAGTGACCTGGTCGTCCTCACTGCTACACTCCCACCAGCGCCATGCCAGCTTACAAATGCCGTGGCTATGTCAGGAAGTTGCCCTATATGGTCTAAAAAGGAAAGGCATGAATAATCCACCACCTGTTTAGCATATAATTAATAAATAACCATAAAAATGGGCAACCAGCAGCCTTTGGGTCTGCTCTGCCTATGGAGTAGCCATTCTTTTGTTTCTTTACTTTTCTAACAAACTTGTTTTCACTTTACTCTATGGACTTGCCTTGAATTCTTTCTTGTGCAAGATCTAAGAACCCTCTCTTGGGGTTTGGCTTGGGACCCCTTTTGAGTAACAGTAGGGCTTCTGGAGGTGAAACTCCCAGCTGTGTGGCGTCTCCAAGACTGGCCCCTCCTGGAGTTTTAAACTCGAACTCGTCCAGCTGAGGCCGTCTGCTCCTTTTAAGCTGAAATTCTCTGTATCTGTCTGTCTGTTTCTTTCATTTTCAAGGCAGCAGATTGCCCTGGGACCTCAATTCTCTGACGGATGTAAGAATTGCTGATTTTCAATTTGTTCAGTTTTTTTTTTAATATGAAGATTTCCAAGCTCTTCACATGTTGGACTGGAAACCGGAGTTTCTTAACATTTAGTTGCTCTACATATGTATTCATATTTCATTGATTTTTGAATAGCAAACCAGTCTTGCATTGTTAAATAAACTTGATTTCATCATAATGTATTATCCTATTTACATAAAATGGAATTCAATTTGCTCACATTTTGTTTAGAATTTTTCATCTACATTGATAGGAGAAATTGTTGGTAATTTTTCTTCCTTGTAAAGTTCTTGTCAAGTTTCTTTATCAAAGCTTTTCTTCCTCATCAAATGAATTGAAGAGATGTTTATATTCTATGAAAAAGAAAATGTTTAAGATTAATGTCATTTCCTCTTAAAATATTTGAATGAATTCAAGTCTGGAGTTTTCCTTATAGGGAGCTTTTGACGTACAGATTCAATTTCTTTAGTAGGTATAGAACTATTCATGTTTTCCATTTCTATCAGTTTTGGTAAGTTATGATTTCTAAACTTCATACTTTTCTCATATCATCTTAAAATTTATTTAATGACACCTTTTATTTTTGATTTTGGTAATTTATGCCTTCTCCAATTTTCTTGATGAGTGATTTAAGTATTTATTAATTTTTAGTTTTTTTCAAAGAAGAACCAACTTTTGTGCTGATTCTCCATTGAATATTTGTGTTTTAAGCCCTTATTTCTGACCTTATTATCCCCCCTCCTGCTTTCTTGGACTTAATTTGCTTTTGTTGTTCTTACTTCTTCTAAATAGATATTTAGATCACTTTTTTCAGCTTCTCTTCTAATATATACATTTAGTGCTATAAGTTTTTCTCTAAGTACACCTTTATTTAGATACTATGAATTTTGACACGTCATTTTTAATTGTAATTTACTTGAAAATATTTTCTAAATTCTATTGGGATATCTTCTTCACATAGAATATTTAGAGGTGAATGGATTAATTTCTAAATATTGGGGATTTCTAAAGTATTTTTATTGATGCCAAACTTAATTACACTATGATGAGAGAACATACTCTGAATAATTTCAAAACAGAGATTTTTCATGACTTGCCTTAAGGCCTGGCATATGGCCAATTTTGACAATTGTTCCAGATAAGTAATTTTGAAAGCTTTTGGTCTCAGGATTCCTTTATACTCTTAAAAATTACTGGGATCCCCAAAGAGCTTCTGTTAATGTGGGTTACATATATTGATATTTGCCATATTAAACACTGAGAAAGTTTTACATTTGCTTTTTACTCAAAATAATAATTATTTGCTCCAAATATTACTTAAATATTATTACTCAAAATATTATTACTCAAATATTACTCAAAATATTATTACTCATTATTTACTCAAAATAATCATAAAAATCAAAATAATCAATAATCATAAACCTATTCCATGTTAGTCTAAATAATATATTTTATGAAAAATATCTCCATCTTCAAAAACAAAAAAATTTAGTCATAAGAGTAACATTGTTTTGCATTTTTTCAAATCTCTGATTTCTGGCTTAATGAGAGACAGATTCTCATATCTGCTTCTGTGTTCAATCTGTTTCAATCTGTTGTTCTGATTAAGGCATGTAAAGAAGATCCAGCTCCACACAATATGTAATTGGAAAAGGATGGAGTATTTTAATATCCTTGTCAGATGACTGTGGTTATTCTTTAATACTACAACAAAAGTCCACAAGTGGTAGTTTCTTAAAGATTGGTCACAATGTGAAATTTGAAGCCATATCCAGAAACTTTTCATACTCTATTACTTGGAAAGCCATTATCCTATCTTGCTCTTTGAATGAAACTTTTATGGATGCATGATTTTATAACATCATGCATTGGTCATTCAAAAAATATTTGTCGTTGACTTACACAAATCTTGCAACTGTTGACACATTTTATTATACAAAATCAAAACAGCATATTCATTAATATCATTATCAGTCCTATCAGGGAAGCCTTTTACTATTGGGATGCTACTAAGTTCCTGGTGACAGATTCAATTTTTCCAAAATTCTAATTTTCACTTAAATTCAAATTTTATATGCTATACTTCAGTATTTTTTCCTTTAAGAGACAGGTTCACTTTGTACATTTTTCAGAATGTCTTTCAAGTCCGATTAACCATAATTTATCTATCAGTTGCTAGATAGATAGATCTATCTACCTATAGGTATCATCTATAGGTAGATAAATAGATAGTATATAGATAGATCTATTTATCTATCTATTACTTGTTCCTTCAAGGACTATTGTCATTCCATGAAAAGAGGCTAATGCAGCTAACAACTCAAAAAAAAATCACACAATTCCTTTTCCCAGAAGCGACCATCACATTTCATTTCTCATCAGAGGTGCCTCATTTTGTCACACAGAATATTAGAACAATGTTTGCTGGAAGGTCAAGATTTAATAAAATTAATCACTTTTACTGAAACATCAAGGGTATTCTTAGGGGAAACTAACTTTGCTTGTTTGTCCCTTTTCTGTGAGTGCCTGGTGGTGGTGAATACAGTGACTCCTATGGCTTTGGAGCCATTGCCTTAATTTCGGGTGAGGCATCTACTATCACTTTTGCATCTTTAGGGCAAATGTCAACTCAGTGAGAAAGGCAAGGGTTATTATGGAAATAGTCTGAGCTGTTGAATGTCCTGGAAGAGTGTCTGGAACCCCCAGGGATCCGTGGATCTCACTTTGAGAAACACTGCATTAGGACGAGGTTCTTCAGGGCCCCCATGTGAGTGCCTGGATGTTATCAGGGCAGCTCTTCCTTGTCAGACCCTGAATTCCATTTTTAAGAATTTCTCCAGTGCTATGATGGTGCCAAAAGCCCTGTGTGGCTCCTCAGGCTTTTTACAGCTAATTTTTTTCTGCTTCTCTAGGTTCATGCCTTTTACAAATAGGCTGAGTTCCCTGCGGGGAAGGGGCTGAGACTGTTAGACTAGCTCCTTTCTGCTTGACTTTTTTTTTTTTTTTTTTTTTTTTTTTTTTTTTTTTTGAGACAGAGTCTCTCTCTGTGTCCCAGGCTGAAGTGCAGTGGTGCGATCTCGGCTCACTGCAACCTCCACCTCCCGGGTTCGAGCGATTCTCCTGACTCAGCCTCCCTAGTACCTGGGACTACAGGCACCCACCACCATGCCTGGCTAATTTTTTGTATTTTTAGTAGAGATGGGGTTTCACTGTGTTAGCCAGGATGGTCTCGATCTCCTGACCTCATGATCTGCCCGCCTTGGCCTCCCAAAGTGCTGGGATTACAGGCGTGAGCCACTGCGCCCGGCCTCTGCTTGACTTTTCTCTGGGATCTTGACCTCTCCAGTCTTGGCTAACTTGATGGCCCTGAACTACAACTTCTGACTCCTCAGATGCATGAAATGGAAAACTGCTCAGACTGAACTAGGAAGATCCTTCTAAGGAGGCGGAGGCAAGGATTACTGGGATGAGCATTCCAGACACAGGACCCTGCCCTAGGAAAGGCCCCGCGGCAGGACCAGCTGCCTCTCCTTAAAGCAGGGCAGGGTTTATGTGGCTGAAGAGCTGTGAGAGGTGAAGGAGGCAGCAGGAGAAGAGCTGGAGGCCCAGGCTGTGGTCAGATTCTGTAGGGTCTTAGAGGCCACGGCAAACCTTTGCACTTCATTGGTGTGGGCAGCTCTTGGAGAGATTTAAGCACGGCACCCTGTAGTTTGCATTCGGAAATATTTTCTTAAGTGTCCTTGGATGCCTTGTTTTATAACTGAGACAGAGCCCAGAAGGCAAGAAGGTTGGAGGGCTTCTTTTAGGTCACAAGCTTTTAGGGGCAGGCTTTGACTAAAATAGACATCTCTAAATCCTCCTGTCAGCCAGATGCAGAGACCTGCCTTCCTCCTCTCCGGGATGCTGGGAGGGGAAGTTGATGAAATACGCAAAGTCCTTTGTGCTTTCCATATACAAAGAAGTAAGGCTGTCCTATCTAAATTTGTTTCCCATTGAAAGCTTTCTGAGTGAAAGGCAATGAATTTTCCAACACAGACCTTTATTCCCTTTACCAACCTAAACTGGCTTTTTGCAGGAAAACGGGTCACACTAGAAAATAAGCTAGCATCAAACAGGAAAGCTATTCAGATTCATGAGACCACTAGGGCATGGAGAGGCTGCAGACTGGAGGTAGCTGCGTCTAGGATCTGGACTCTTTGTGACACAATGACATTGACAAAGTGCACGTTTTACCCTGAATCACTTCAGCCTGCTCAACCTGCTTCATGGGATGACGGGAAGATGTGATAGCTTATGGATTTATATATGGCTTTGGTACCCAGACAAAGATTTATAACTGTGTGCGTTGGTTATTGCTTGGTGCCTCCTGAAAGAACTGGATGATGATCTTTGATAGAAATCTTTTAAGGGCATGGCTGGGAGACACCAAAGCAGGGACTCTGGCAAGTATAAAGAAAAAAGCGTTGATATCATCTAACCAGACACACTAAGCACCCTAATGACATGCTGTGTAGAAATGGAAGTTAATTCCATCCTACTTTCCTTTTTGTATAGCTAGCGTTTGCTAGATGCACTTGGCTTAATTTGGCGAGGCAGGACCTGAGGCCTCTGTGACCCTCAGTTTCTGAGGTAGCCATCCCCACAGAAATACAATGCAAGCCACCTAAGGTAATAACCTATGTAATTATAAAAGTTCTAATAGCCACATTAAAGAAGTAAAAATTTTGAATAATATATCTTATTTAATGTAATAGATCCAAAATACTATCATTTCAATATGTAATTAAAATAAACTATTACCAATGAGGTTTTTTTTTTTGGACAGAGTCTCACTCTGTTGCCCAGGCTGGAGTGCAATGGCATGATCTCGGCTCACTGCAACCTCCGCCTCCCACTTTCAGGCAATTATCCTGCCTCAGCCTCCCGAGTACCTGGGATTACAGGCACATGCCACCACATCTGGCTAATTTTTGTATTTTGTAGTAGAGACGAGGTTTCACCATGTTTACACTTTTTTTTTTTTTTAGTATGTCTTCAAAATTCAGGGTGTATTTTGCATTACAGCACATCTCACGCACATTTCAAGGGCTCGCAGCCACGTGGTTGGTGCCCACCATATTGGACAGCACAGGTCGGAAGCAGATCACCTTGGTTCCCTGTGCCTTTTGTGTCTGTGCTCTGGGAAACAAGGCAGAATCGGAACTTTGCCAGCATGGTGTAGTAATGTTTTGTCTTCTCAGAAGATTGCATCCCCTTTTTTAGAGGACTTCTTTTTCTCCCACTTGAAACATATGGTTCTGGTGGGGCAGCCAATTAGGGTATCCGTACGCCTGGCCTTGCTAGTTGATTCAGCCATGGACTTGTGACCTCAGCTACCCAATTAGAGTCCCTCCCTGGATTTTAAAAAATGGCAGAAGTCTGTCTTGTCTGGGTGAGATAGTAGGCCTGTAGGATAAAGTGCTCTATGGTGTATGGTAGACTTATAGGGCCAGCTGGCCAGAGGGATTAGGCCAACCCAGAGAGAGAGAGTGTGTTCATGTGTGCATGTGTGTGCTGTATGTGTGTGATAGGGAGGTTGTTTGAATACAGTGTAGCTATTGCTGTCTTCACTCTGTTCTTTAGGTCCATAGCTAATAATTTTCCTTTTCCACTTAAGTTAGAGTTGGTTTTTGTCCCTTGCAAAATCATGGCTTATCTCTGGTTTTTAAGAATACAAACCTTGTCACCGTGAGTCTTGCTGTAAATCAGTGTCTCAGGGTCTACAGACAGACGAACACGACGCTCTCCTCCAAAAACTCCTGCCTTCTTATGAAAGCTGCAGGCCTTGGGGAAACGAAGATAATTTTTCCTATAGATTGAAAACACAGTTGTGATTGCTGTCTTATATCCAATTAATGCCTGTGCTAAGAGAGAAATCTAGCCTACTTTCAAATGACAAAATTGATTATGGGATTCAATCTGCTCTCTACTGACGTGTTCTGTTTTCAGCAAAATGCTATTTTTCATTGTTGCAGCCTCAGCCCTCTCCCGAGCAGAAACTATCTTTCAGCCAAATGGTAGGGTGTTTTTGTGAGGCATTTACTTGCTTAATTGATCAAACCCTCTCTAAACCCAGCTGTTTCACACTTAAGAGAATTTTAGCTTCTATCTTTTATTAAAATAGAAATAAACATGTCACTTTAAGTATAATAGTAGGAGCAATAAGAGCAAATTACATTGTTCATTTCTTTTCTTTTGGACTCTTTTAACTCAATCATGTTAAAACAGCCTCAAGTCAGCCTCATGTTGATGAGATATTTTTGCTATAGAATTCCTTTTCATGTGAAGATTCATGTGAAGATTCCTCTTCATGTGAACATACCTCGTGAAGATTGTCCTGTGTATTTCATATTTATCATCGTGATGGTGTATGGAATTTTCCTCCCATTACATTTTGTGTCAGGTTGTTATTGGTGTAAAACAGCCAATTTTAAGCCAATATTCTTTTTATACCCATCTAAGCAATGCTTGGCCACATAAACCACATTTTCCCTGTGCTATTGTATCCAAGGATCCAGAAAATTGTCTATGGCACTGCTCTAAGACTGCTCTAAATGTGTTACCCAGCCTGCTCTTCGGAACTTCCAAATCCTATTTAGCTGGCCAGTGCTTCTTGCCTTGGAACGTTGGAGAGCTGGTTTCACCCTGAAGCACAATGCTTGGAGCACTTTACGAGGCTCAAAAGTTATGTATCCAAGCTTTTGGGGAGGGGTTATGGGAAATGCAGGGAATTTGTATTAATCTACACGCTTCAGGGGATGGGAAAAAGCCAAGGGCATTAGCAACACCAAAAGGCCAAAGCAACAGCGTCCAGAGGGTGTCCTCAGAGATATCTGGGAGCCCTTGCTCCCTCCAGAGTCGATTTCTTATTTAGGCCCAGGCTGGGTCACTCTGGTGCTGCCTGTGACCATGAAAACTGCTCTCTGAAATGGGAGACCCCGGGCTTCCTGCTCCTGATCCTGTGCTGACTACAGTGGCACCGGGGTAGTCAGCCAGCACCTGGGGGGCCACTGTGAGCAATGGAGGCTGCCTTGAGCCTCTGAGCACGGCGGCCGAGGCCAATCTTCTCATTGTAATGGCCGTCAACACAGTCACTGATTTAGATGCCACTTCCCTGGGCCCTTGCTGCACAGGAAGGGAGAAGACCTTTCCCAAGCCAGTCAGGATACGTCCCTTCCCATCTCTCTAGTGGTGCGCTCAGGCTTTTTGCTTCCACTCCCTCCCAGCCAATCCTACGAGCTCTCAGCACAAATGCCCCGTAGACTGGGCTGAGAGCTCGGAGAACCGTTCTGCATAGGGGAGTACCCCATGTTTCCTCCGTTCTGTGACATGACTCCGGGAAGCAGATGCTCTGGCCACCTCTTCCCTTGGGAAGAGCCCACCTGACAGTCAGTAGGGGCACTTGTCTGACTGTCCCTGAGTTTGCTCAAGAGTGTCTGTTCTTACCCTAGAAATGCTCCCCAAAGCGCTTGATCGCTGCTGCTGTGAGGAGCTGTGTCCTGCCTGTGAGAAGCTCCACTTCCCACGGAGGCATCTGGGGCTGGTGTTCATGCTGGGACTTCTATCAAGGGATCCCATGGAAGCACCTCCTCTTGCCCCAGCGATTCCCCAAATCCCTCCTCAAACCCTGGACCCGGGCTCTTTCCTCCTCTGCCCTGTGGACCCACCTTACCCCGTGAGAGAGGAACTGATGTGCAGGGAAGGGCACCCTCATACTTAGCCTTCTCCAATTGCCAGAAATATTAATCCTTGCATTGAGGCAAGTTATTTCTTCCTGCTATTTCCACGTTTTGTTTTGTTTTGTTTTTTTGAGATGGAGTCTTTCTCTGCCCCCCAGGCTGGAATGCAGTGGTGCAAACTTGGCTTACTGCAACCTCTGCCTCCCAGGTTCAAGTGATTATCCTGCCTCAGCCTCTCAAGTAGCTGGGATTACACGTGCCTGCCACTGCTAATTTTAATTTTTGTAGTTTTAGTAGAGCCAGGGTTTCATCATGTTGGCTAGGCTGGTCTCAAACTTTAAGTTGATCTGCCTGCCTTGGCCTCCCACAGTGCTAGGATTACAGATGTGACCCACTGTGCCTGGCCTCACGCTTCCATCTTTTAACCCCAATTTGCCCTCCAGAATCATAACAATAATAAGTACAGTCCATCCATGTTTTGAAGATGACCTTTTTGTTTCCCCATGGACTTCTCTTTTTAGCCCAAACACCCCAAATTCTTTCCATCAGCCTTCATCTGCTGTATGTATACTCTCACTTATCTCCTGGTAACTTACAGAGAAGCTCTAGGTTGTAAATGTCTCGGGCTGTAGCTCTCCAAGGGTGATTTGTCCTGCAAGGAATAGCAAGGCTGTCCCCTTCCATGTGGCTAACAGGGACTTGCTGCCAGGATGGCCTTGGCTCAGACAAGCCTTCTTGGCCCTTCCTTGCAAGTTTCACCAAGTAATCCACCTGCCCCCTCAGCCCTCCCTACCTCCCACCAATCTCCCTGTGATTGTTGCAAGCTGAGTTTGACTTCTGGCAGAACTCAAAGCCTCGCTGAGCTCTTCCCTCCCACAGCCAATTCCTAGTCTTTGTACCAATCTACATGTGGAACTTGGCTCCTTTTCCTCGATTCGTATAACTATCTGTTTACAGACCTGGACTTAACTGAGCACTGGGACTTGTTCCGACAATCCCTTGACAATTCTCACCAGCACGGGCTCCAGGGTCCTGCTGCCATTTTGTTTGCTCTCTGACTTCCCGTTCTGCTCGTGGCATCTCCTTCCTCAAAGCAAATCCTTTCCATATGCAGAAGGATTATGTGGTCTCTCTTTTTTTGCCCCCAATACTGGGTTCTAGAGCTCTTCTTGCAGACTGAAAAGTCATCAGTGTCTTCTACTAAACCATGGGGTATCCATTTCAAGAGTAGCTCCTTCTCCTTTCCTTCCCAGTGTCAAGAAGAAGGGGTGGAATGGAAACTGAGTTTCACCTCTATGTGGATTATGCTGTCTGATTTCCACGTCTAAGAAGGCCAAAGGGCTTCAGCTATCAAGTTAGGTTTGGTTCCAAACAAGCGTTTCCTTCCATGATATTGTCAATGTAATAAATGTTGGAAGTTCTGGAGGAATTACCGCTCTCCCGGAAGTCTCTGGAACATTTCAAGGAGCCTCACTGACCCCCCAGGACTGCTGGGAAAATTACCAAGATGGTAATTTTCTTGGAAGCATCTTTTTCACTTTTACTATGCCTAAATGTGTTGGGATGTACACTCTTTGCTGAGGCTCCAGAAATATTATGTTGGCAGAATTAAATTCCTGATTGTCTAAGAATTACCATGATTTGAAACCATTCTTTTGATTCAGGGCAGAATCTTGGATTTTTCTGGAGGTCATTTTAAGACAATTTAGTTTTGTGATCATCTCCGTCTTCACTCATTAATCCAAGTAATGTTTATTGAGCACCTCCTGCGTCCCAAGACTTGGCTATGTACTTGGATATGTACCCAGCAAAGAATGGAACCGAGTCTTTGCCATTATTAAGTTTACAGCATAGTGGGGAATACAGACATCAGAGCAAATTAATACAAAGGTAATGAAAATTACGACAGAGAAAATGAAAACCACAACATCAATTGTTCCCTTTAATGAACATGATGTCTTCTCTCTCTAAGTAAAGTTTGAAGTGTTCATCTAGGACGTTGACATACCTCATGAAGATTGTCCTGTGTATTTCATATTTATCATCATGATGGTGCATGGAATTTTCCTCCCATTACATTTTGTGTCAGGTTATTATTGCTGTAAAACAAAGCTATTGATTTTTATAGATTTATTTTGTAACTAGGCACCTTATTAAACTCTTTTATTGTGTTTTAAAATTTGGTAATAGCTTTTCTACTGAAAGCAATTTTCGCTGACCTCAGGATGATGTTCTCTCTCTAGAACTGCCTTGTCTCTCTCATCATGTTGAAAGTAAAACTGTGTATGAAAAAAACGCTTTGGAAATAATTCTTTCCTTCTCCTTGGAGCAAGTCCACTTCTTAGGGGACATTGGTTCTAGTTCACCGTAATCGTGCCCTTCTCTTGAACTCCTTCATCTTTTATACATCCTTCACCTTTTTATACATTTTTTGTACTTCAACCTCACCCTCCACCCGCCCCCACCTGCCCATCATTCTTAGCCAGGAAGGGTGATGTTTGCTCAGAATGTGAACTTGAGGACATTTCTTTCAGAGATGACGTGGGCAAATCTTTAGTCTCAGGTGAAATAGAAGTCAGGAAGCTTGGGTTTGGATGGATAGGGAGGTTAGTCCCGTAAATTCACTGTTGCATCCATTTGCTTATTTTTTTCAGAGCCTTGGCTTGCTCTTCCCTCTTTCTGCAATGCTGTTCCCACAGGTGTCCATGGGACTCATTCCATTGTTTCATTCATTTCTCTGCTGCCCCAGCAACTTCTGTGAGCCTCATTCCCAACCATTTTACTTCATCTGCAGCCACGCTCCCCTATCCCCCAAGCCCTGCCTCCCTTACCTGCTTTCCTGTCCTTTCTGGGCTCATCTCCTCCTGACCTGGGATATATTGATCTCTTTATGGCCTCTATTAGAATGTAAACTTCCTTGGAGACTCTGACATTGGTTTATTCCCATATGCCCGGTGATTCAACCACTGTTTGTTCCTTTCTGGGCTCTCAAATATGTGTAAAATAAATGAATCCAGCCAACCCCCAAGTACCGGCTGTGTGCCAGTTTCTGAGTGAGCTCTGGAGATCCACTGGTGAGTGCATCAGACAGAGTCAGTGTGTCAGGTCCTAGGCCACAAAGGGAGAACTGGGCTCCCCAGAGAACTTTCTTTTCCCTGTGTGGGGTGCAGGCTCCATTCACTGGAGCATCACCATTTCTGTCTCAGGGATCCTGGGAGCCAACACCAGTCTGCTTGGTGTGACCCTGGAGCCCTTGCTGTGGTCAGTAGGTCATCCCTGTTGATCAGACACTGTCTTGCCCTCGTGCTCAGCTCCTGCCGCTGTGTCTTTGCAGATTTGAGTATATTCTGTCCAATACTGTCCAGGAGTGCTGCACTCTCACATGTGTGGAATCAGAGTGGCTGGGATACCTCCAACCCACTTCTATCCATACAGATAGTCCCCAACTTAATGAGGGTTTGGCTGAATGATTTTTCAACTTTACCATGGTACAACAGTGTTACACATTTGGTAGAAGCCCATACAAGTATTCTACTTTTCACTTTCAGTACAGTATTCAAGAAATTACATAAAATATTCAATACTTTATTGTAAAATGGGCTTTGTGTGAGATGATTTTGCCCTACTGTCAGTCGGCTAAGGTAAGCGTCCTGAGCACGTTTAAGGGAGGCTAGGTGAAGTGATAGTGTTCGTTGTTAGATTAGGTGCATTAAGTGTGTTTTTGACTTAGGATATTTTCAGCTTACGATGGGTTTATCAGGATGAACCCCCTCATAACTCAAGGATCATCTGACATCCCTCTAGGTTCGCAGATATGTACTGTTCCTGTTTTTCAGCCCATGTATTTTTCATATGCCTAAGTCTTTTCATTGTTAATCATTTACTGGGAATTTTGAAGGAAAGGGAAATTCAGAAATTGACTCAAGTCACCTTAAAAATTGTTTATTGTGATCATTAATGGTGATTAATAGACATGTTTTTCTTACATTTTTATTAAAATAACTTCAGTCAACTGCTACTTTTGTGTCTTCTCCCCTTCCTTCTTTTTAAAGTCAAAAAGTCTATCTCATATACCATATTTTTAATTATTCAAAAGACACATTTTTTCACCTTCCGATATCTTCGAAATTGGGATGCATACTACAGTTGACAGCTTCCTACAGTCTCTGTTGGCCCAACAACAATTAGGATATTATTGACATTGAGGACTAATTTGTGAGGTGCAATTGTAATCATTTCCAGCATTAAAAAAATGCTGTGTCATCAACATGAACATCAATGACACTGATGTTCACCTGAAATTTGAAAAGAAATCCACAAGTTTCAGACTTTAAATGTAAAAAAGCTTTAGGAATACCTTGACTAAATTATGTCACTTATATGACAGATTTGTCTATATTTTAATCTAAAATAATTCTTTCAATAAAATAAAAGTTCTAAGGTACTAGAAATCATTGCATTATAGTTTAATTGGCAGGCTTTTTCTTTCTTTTGTAGTGGTGCACGAAATAATAGTGCATCTTATAACTTTTGCTATCTTAGGTTTCATGAAATACATGACACGTCACCATGAAATATATTCACAGAGATGTTAATAATTTCTTCCCTGCTTTTTTCTTTACACAGTCCTCTACTTCGTTCCAATCTATTTATCGAAGAAATAACAAAGTTCATGTTGAGAGATCCATTTTATAACTTTTACTTGTATAACTTTACTTATTTGCTTGTTTGTTCTGTTGGGAAATGCCAGGTTTCTAGATCAGAGATAGATTTTTAATTGCTCACATAGCCATCATTGCACCAGTCCCCATGCATCCATCCCCCTCAGAGTGACAAACCGAGATCCAGATGTAGGAATTTGGGCCACCGGAGAGGAGTATAAATTCTGGAGCTTACATAAAAGCTGCTGACATAGCTGCTCCTCCTCTTCTCACCCCAGGTAGAGAAAGAGAAAGAGCTTTTGCTCTGAAATGTAAACAAAGGCTCTCTGGGGAGAGAACGAGAAGGTCTCTAGGTCCATCAACCATTGGAATATAAATACCCATCGCTAGGGGAGATGCTGCTGCCAATCTCTCCAGAAGTTACTACTTTAACTTCCAAGGTTTGTTGCCACTCAAACGTCCTTTAACCCAGGTTGCCAGCACCTTTTGCTCAGAAAGCAGTGACCATGTAAACATGGAAATACGATTTGTTTCCCCCAAATCATGCTGATTTATGCTAATATCTAAAGAAGAGTCCTGTGGATTGGGAGGTTGGGGGAGGCAAACAGCAAATTTTAACAACTGCTTGATGAAGTGGGAGAGAGAACGTCAAAATCTCCAGAAGTCCTTATTGAGAGGGCCCTGTATTTGTTCAGAGGGATTGCATTGATACAGTGAGTGGAGGTAGAAGTTAATTTCTTAGAGGAACTGGGTATGGACTAAAGGATAGGGCCAGAATCAAGTGGGGAATATTTTGACTGTACTAGAAGGAAAGGAGTCAGAAAATAGAAGGAAGCAGCGTCAACACAGGCAAGCTGGTGCAAGTGTATTTGTGTGGTGAGTGATATGACTGTTTCTTTGACAAACAAAATCTTCAGTGCGAGTTTAACAAAAATCACAAAATACTTGATGTGAATGGATTTCCTGTGGACCCTACTGAAGGGGAGAGTTCTGTGTCTCAGCATCCACTAGTGACAGCCCACGAGGTGGCAGGAGCACAGAAGGGAGAGGAGTGAGGCTATGGAGACCCAGGCATCATGGTGGGGGCTTCCACCTGCCACAGGCTGTGGAACTGGGGTTTTGGTGAAGTTCAACCAAGTCTCCCAGGGTTACATTGAATGAGTCCATTTTTATAGAATTGGGACAATGGTTGATTTTCTGTCTCGTGCTTTGTGACACTACTTTTCTGGGTCCTATCTGTCAACAGTCAAGGGGCAGTGAGTCCAGGGTTATGGATCTAAGCTCTTTACAAGCCATTGGTCATTCTCAGCTTCATGGACATAGGTTATACCTCTGCCTCCAGCCATCCTACATCCCGGTCCTGCTGTTCTTTTTTTTTTTTTTTTTTTTAATGGAGGTGGAATCTCACTCTGTCACCCAGGCTGGAGTGCAATGGCGCGATCTCGGCTCACTACAACCTCCACCTCCCAGGTTCAAACAATTCTCCTGCCTCAGCCTCCCAAGTAGCTGGGATTACAGGCACCTGCCACCACATCCAGCTAATTTTTGTATTTTTAGTAGAGATGGGGTTTCACTATGGTGGCCAGCCTAATCTCGAACTCCTGGCCTCATGTGATTCTCCCACCTCAACCTCCCAAAGTGCTAGGATTACAGGTGTGACCCACCGCGCCCAGCCCTGCTGTTCTTAAGGCTGGAAAAACAACTCCAAGCTCATATTCTATCAATAATGGCTGGGGAAATTTTTCTTTGTGGCTAAAATCTGTGTGCATCAGCTTTGCATTCACTTATTCATTCATTCATTCAACCCATAAGTACTTTATGTCCCAGTCCCCAATTAGCTTACATCTGGAGAAGGAGCTATTAATAGATTAATACATGTAAAATTATGGCCTAGAGGTCCCGGCATAGTAACACCATCACAGAGGCATGCACAATGCACAGTAAAGGAGAGCGTGGCTGTTTCTGCTTGGAGCCTTGGGCAAGACTCCCCATTAAAAGTGTTATAGGCAGGCGAGGCATGGAAGGATTGGCTGTATGATGTATGCCAATAGAAGAGGTGCAGATCAGCATTCTAGATCAAAGGGAAACATGAGACAGGACAGTACAAGGGCAAATTGAAAGCTCACTGTCAGGGGAATGTAGAGATGTGAGTTGGAATGTCAAAGAGACGGGCTCTCACTCCCATCTCTGCAGGGCTTTACTATAAAGATTAGTAGCAATGGTCTTTATGCTCATGACCAAGGCGGGCCATAAGCCTGCTGTTGATGAAGTGCCCTAGTGTACATGGTGGGAAGCTTAATGCCTGGGGCAGAACCAGGCTGGTCTTTCTCTACTGCATTCCCTGGTTCTGGCACAGGGTCTCACAGAGACTCAGTGTTCAATGAATATTTATTGATTGAAACAAATGAATCCTTTGGTAGTCTGACTCCATGTATTTAGCAATTGTAACATTTATGCTAGCCAAATCAGTGTCCTGGTACCACTTGCTATTCTTGAATATGATATAAAAATTTCTGTTGAGTCCCTGGTGCATACAATAAGGTAAGTTTCCAAATTTAGAATTGCATAATCATTTTTACACAACTTAAGAGGCAGATGCGAGAAGAATCCATGTAATGTGCTGAACATCATGCAGCTGCGCAATTGCTTTGGACTTTCTGTTTTATAGAGACAACGGCTTTCCCTGAATTTCTGAAGGAATGCACATTTTCTTGCCTAAGAGCTAGCAGCGAGTGGCTGCCGTGACAGTTTTAGCAACTGAATGCATCCTGGGCTGAATCTCGAGATTTGGTGGATAATAGACTGGTGGCCTGCTGTGCACTGTTGCAATGCCGAGCATTCACCCATACAGCCCCTCACGGGAATCACTTGATGGCTGGCATTACTGGGAGCTGTCTCGCCTAACAGCAGCTTCATAGAATGTATTCCCATCACTCTTAAGAGAAATGTCTGGGGGGAAGAGGGGAGAGCTGCAGGCTAAAGCTGCGGGGCTGTTTCTAACAAAAATATGTCTAAGATATATATATATATGCACCTAGATGGATAAGTGTAGCAGACAGCCACCCACCTGCTGTGGTTCTAGAGTGACTGTCCCCAGCCCCCAGAGGACAACTGCACTTGCTTTGCTTTTGGAAATTCTCTATTGTGCTCATGCCTTTTATTCTATAAGCAGAGTTAGGGCTTAAAATGTAAATGCCATCTGACCCAGTAATTTCACTCCAAGGCAAATAACAAAGGTTGATATCAAAAGACATTCCCTGCAAGATCATTTAAAATGGAAAAATATGCAAGGTACTCAAATGCCCAGTAAGGAGAAGCAAATCATATATGTGCAGCAAACGTAAGAGGTTTCCCAAAATTTAACATGTAAAGATATTCATAATATATTCTTAAGTGACATGAAGCAAAAATAATATAAAATTGTGCTGATGGAAAGTTTACAATTATGTAATGTGTACAAACATACAGGCACATGCGTGCACACACATAAACATACACACACACATTCACATGCACAGCCTGGTTCTAAGACTACATCAAGGTTGCTGTCCAGTCCCACTACTGGGTATGTATCCAAAGACAGTGAAATCAACACGTTGAGGAGATATCTTCACTCTTATGTTCATTGCAGTGTCATTCACAATAGCTGAGATATGAAAACAAACTAAATGTATGTTGATGTACCACTAAATGTGGTATATATACGTCATGGAATACTATTCACAAATGTTGTCATTTGTGACAACATGGATGAACCGGGAGGACATTATGTTAAGTGATATAAGCCAGGCACAGAAAGACAAATACTGCATGATCTCACTTAATATGTGGAATCTGAAAAAGCCAAACTCACAGAGGTAGAGACCAGGGGCTGGGTGTGGGTGGGTATGGAGAGGCTGCTCAAAGGGCACAAAGTTTCAGCACGGGATAAGCTTTTGCGATCCATTGCATAGCACGGTGACTATAGTTAATAATGCAATGTGCATTTCAAAGTTGTTCAAAGATTTTTTTTTTTTTTTTTTGAAGACAGGGTCTCACTCTGTTACCCAGGCTGGAATGCAGTGGTGCAATCTCGGCTCACTGCACCTTCAACCTCCTGGGCTCAAGCAATCCTCCCACCTCAGCCTCCTGAGTAGTTGGGACTACAACTGCACACCACCACACCCGGCTAATTTTTGTATTCTTTTGTAGAGGTGGGGTTTCACTGTGTTGCCCAGGCTGGTCTTGAACTCCTGGGTTTAAGTGACCCTCCCTTCTTGGCCTCCTGAAGTGTTGGAATTACAGGCATGAGCCACTGTGCCCAGCCAAGAACAGATTTTAAATGTTTCACAACAACAAAATAAGTATGTGAAGTGATATGTTAATTAGCTGGATTAATTCATTCCATAATGTATATATAATCAAAACATTACATTGTACCCTATAAATATATATAATTATTATTTGTCAATTAAGAATATATTTAAAAAGAAGTAAAGAGATTGACTGTGGAGCTGGTGGCATCCCTGCCCCCTACCCCAACACCCCACTTCTCAAGTATGTGTCTCCTTTCCTGAGTAACTGGCAAGGCCTTTGAAGGGGGAACTGGGGAGGGAGGAGTGCAAGGTAAAATTTATGAGACTATTTTTCCAAAGACAGATGACAAAATTCAAAATAAATTGGGACAAGGGATGTTTTTTCCCTCTCCTGCAGAACTATAGACTTGGGCCATGATTGAGTAGGGCCTGAAGAAAGCACAGTTCTGCTTGGCCCTTGCCGGTTTGGGGCTGCTATAGGGGCTCTTTGGTGAAGGGGGGTGATGTCTTCTTGGATGGCAGTGGCCGTGGTGCTGAGGAGTGTTGCTTGTGCCCTAGAAATCACAAGATGACTGGTGTGAAAGTCACTTCTTCCCCTGTGTGAGAGCCCCTTGTGGATGCCCAAAATCAACTGGGGAGAATGGGAGAGTGAGAGTAAATGAGCGAGGAGAATTGGGGAACAAATAGTGCTGGTACCTCCTGAGAACCCATGTACAAGGAGGACCCAGCGATGTTTGAGAGGCCTGTTTAGACCAAAGGCTACAAGAAAGTGCATCAACATGTAAAGAAAGATGATCTTCTTACTTTGGGAGTATCCATCCTTTTAATTTTTTTCTTATACTTTTCATATATTTAAGTTTTTGAAAGTAAGCATGTGTATTAGTCCATTCTTGCATTGCTATAAAGAAATATCTGAGACTGATCCTGGCTAACACGGTGAAACCTCATCTCTACTAAAAATACAAAAAATTAGCCGGGCATGGTGGTGGGCGCCTGTAGTCCCAGCTACTCAGGAGGCTGAGACAGGAGAATGGCGTGAACCCAGGAGACGGAGCTTGCAGTGAGCCGAGATGGCACCACTGCACTCCAGCCTGGGGGACAGAGCAAGACTCTGTCTCACACACAAAAAAAAGAAAAAAAAATATATATATATATATATCTGAGACTGGGTAATTTATAAAGAAAAGAAGTTTAATTGGCTCATGGTTCTGCAGGCTGTACGGGAAGCATAGTGTCTTCTAGTGAGGCCTCAGGAAACTTACAATCATGGCGGAAGGCAAAGGGGAAGCAGGCACGTCTCACATAGCTAGAGCAGGAGGAAGAGGAGAGGGGAGAGGTGCCACACACATTTAAGTGACCAGATCTCTCACTTGCATTAATTACCACTTTCAGATACGTAACTTCCTAGAAGAGAAGGCAAGAGGGCAGGCAGAGGTGAGTAATGGTGGAAATAATGCTAATTTACCCGGGATGATGTCATCTGTGGTTCTGGCTAGGGCCAAGTGAGTATGACAGCATAGATGAGTAGGTGTGTGGCTGAAGCTTTGTACCAGGCTCACCTCTGTCTTGTTCTCAGGTCCCCAGTACTGTTGAGACCGCAGGGTGGAAGCTGTAGAGTGGTCAGCATTTGGATGCCACATACTGCAATCACCCCTGGTTGTAGATGGGAAAATGAGGCATGGCCTGTATGCTGACTGTCTCACAGCTGCTCAGCAACTAGCGGCTCCACATTCTCTTCCTCCTATCTCACCCTGAACAGGCTGCCTCAATTTTTCACACTGAAATCCAATCATGGCCAAAGCAATTTGGGACTAAGCAGAAAACCTTCCCCCTGCCCCCTCTGCAGAAGCTGGATTCTTAGTGACATGTACTCTCAATAAGAAGCTCAATTTTTTCTTGGCTATGAATGAAAGTGATATGATTATACTTATGAAGCCTGTGCCTACAGCTTCTATCAAAGTAGTAACGACACTTTGGAAGGGGAAAGGAAGGTGTAACATTCTAAGCATTAGTCCATATTTCAGAGAATTCATAGCTTTTGGATTTCGTGGTATTTGAATAAGAAAAGAAAAACAACTTGAGTTATTTAAAGCTATATAGATACACTTACAAATAATTAATGTAAGCATAAACACACCCTTATTCAGTTTCTCCCCTCATTTTGATATTCCATATTATTAAGCCAAACCTCCCAGAACCCCCTGCTACCACACCATCTACCTTAAAGATCATTACATTTGTAAAAAGAAAATTCAGTTACTGGGTTAAAATTCTTCTGAACTCTGGCTGGGTGTGATGGCTCACGCCTGTAATCCCAGCACTTTGAGGCCGAGGCAGGTGGATCACAAGGTCAGGAGTTTGAGACCAGCCTGACCAACATGGTGAAACCCTGTCTCTATTAAAAATGCAAAATGTAGCCAGGCATGGTGGCGCGTGCCTGTAATCCCAGCTACTCAGGAGGCTGAGGCAAGAGAATTGCTTGAACCTGGGAGGCGGAGGTTGCAGTGTGATGAGATCGTGCCATTGCACTCCAGCCTGGGCGACAGAGCAAGACTCCGTCTCAAAAAAAAAAAAAAAAAAAAGAAAGAAAAAATACTTCTGAACTCAAAACATTTGGCCTGCCTTGTTAACGACATTCATCTGTGCATTCCTTTCTGGAAGCTTGTTTCAGCAGAAGTGTGTGGGTATCTAAGCAACCTTTGAGGCTTTGGGTGGAGTGGCATTAGCTTCAGCACCAAACAGCATGGTTCTTGGTTCTGAGTGCCCATTTGAAGGACCTTGAAGCTTTTTAAAAGTACAGGTCTCCCAGCCCAGGTAAACTGATCCTGAATCTCCAGGGCTGAAGCCCTGGGCACCTGCAGCGATTGAAATTCCCCGCTGTGCTGTGCACGCTCTGGGAGGACTGAGGACTACCCAAGCAGAAGCAGTTTTTCAGCTAGATGCTGACAGTCTGGAGTCCCTTGCTCCTTGTAAAGGCAAAACGAGCTACTACTAGAGCATCTTGAGTAAAAAGAATGAAGCGCCAGAAAAATAATAAGAAAGTTAAAAGATAATTCACATTCTGCTGCCCGTGTTCCTTTTGAATTAAGTTTATTTTAGGAACAGGCTTATCAAATTTGCCTGGAAGACACTACTGTCAGTTTCCATGATATTTTATGAGCTGCCATTATTCTTCCTCTACTGAGAACGCCCTCCCTGAATGTGTCTGCCTTTGTGGAGTGAAGCAAACACAACTGTTTATGCATCATGGTCCCAGCATGAAATTCAGCTCCTCCTTTATCTCTCTCACGTCCATCCCCCTCCCACCACCCAAGCTGAGGTCAGTTAGGATGTCCATTCATGAGTGGAGAAGACTTTTCTGGAAGGGTCTTGCATGGCAGTGGTGCAGAAGCTGAATAGAGACAGCTTGGTGCTGTCAGGCGCCTGGAGAGCTCGTTCCTTGAAGTCATCTTCCCTGTCTAGTCCCAGCCCCTTGCCTGCCTCCCCTCCCTCTCCCCACTTCCCCTGGTCTTCCCTGCTCTTCCTCCTTTCTCTCCCTCACTCTCAGGTGGGGCAGCTTTCCCTCCTCTGAAGCAGGGTGCCTGCCCACGTGCAGCCCTCAGGGGACACAGCTGCCCCCACCCACCCACCTAGAGAGGATCCTGAACAAACACCAGCGTCTGTCTCAAAGGACTTTCCACCCCAGGTCTCAGGATAATAAACATTCCACCACCTCTTTGCACATACCACCCACCCTGCAAGTTCACGTCTGTCCTTCCTTCTCTTCTGCCTCGGGGCTTTGGCTCCCTCCCAGACACGCCTGGCTTCACCCATTCATTCCTCCATCATCTGTTTACTAAGCACCATGTGCTAAGCACTGGCCCTGTCCTTGTGCAAAGGGGCAAGTCGGAAACCCCTGCAGTAACCTCACGAACAGTGGGGACATCGCCGCATGCCCCAGGTCTGGTCTTCAATGAAAGCTTCCTCCAGGAGAGCCCTAGAGCACTGGGCCCTTTCCCACAGCCGGGCTGTGCCAAGGGCAACTCTGACCCCCGGGGTAGGTGGGCGACTGTGGCATGAGTGTGACTGAGGAGATGTGCTGAGTGTTCGAGGGGTGTGAACATGTGTGAGTGTGAGTGTGCCAGGGGGCCAGGGGCTGTGAGTGCACCTGAGTGAGAAGGTGGGAGGGTGTGTGTGTATGAGGATGTGTGGCTCCAAGGGGCTTGATCTTTGGAATCATCTGCACCTGGATTCCATCCTGATTTGGCCACTTTTGGGGCTGTGAGCTTGGTGTCTCAGGCTTCAGTTTCTCCTCCGAGAGGTGAGGTGGCGGAGCATCTGTATTAGTCTGTTTTCATGCTGCTGATAAAGACATACGCGAGACTGGATAATTTATAGAGAAAACGCGGTTTAATGGACCACAGTTCCACATGGCTGGGGAGGCCTCAATCACAGTGGAAGGTGAAAGACATGTCTTACATGGCAGCAGACAAGAGAGAGAATGAGAGCCAAGCAAAAGGTGTTTCCCCTTATAAAACCGTCAGATCTCATGAGACTTATTCACTACCATGAAAGCAGTATGGGGGAAACTGCCCCCATGATTCAATCACCTCCCACCGGGTCCCTCCCACAGCACATGGGGATTGTGGGAGCTAGGATTCAAGATGAGATTTGGGTAGGGACACAGCCAAACCATATCAGTATCCCTCCTGTGGGAGTGGCAGCGAGGAAACCTCTGCAGGACCCTTGCCAGCGTACCCAGGACCCCAGGCCAGCGTTCCCAGGGCCTGTTCTGAGCTCCCTTGAGGGTGAAGCACCTTCTCCCTGTAAACGCCAGCTTTGCTCCAACTGCTAGAACAGGCTTCCTGCTCCTCCAGCCAGACCCACCCCGGCCACGTCTCTGACCCCCGTCCCCCGACCCCATGGCTCTGATTCTCACCTCCTTCATCCTACCCCTAAAGTTGTCAAATCTCCCATAGAGCTGTCCATCCACAGTTCTGGCTCTTCTATTCCTCAGGCCCACTCACCCCAGGCTCCTGGGCAGGTTTGGCCAATGGTAGGCCCCAGAGGAAGATTAGGGATGAGCGGGAGGAGGGGGTGCTGGTCCGCATCACCTCTCTGCTCACTGCTGGGTCTCTGGCAGCAGCTCCCAAAGGCAGCCCACCACACTCCATCTCCAGCCCCAGCTTTCCGGCCCCAAACATCACCACTGCCCAGCCTCTCTCCAGCAAGGTGGCTGTGACTGTCAGACATGCCAGCCCCGGGTTACTCAGCTTGCCCTGCTGGCTCCTCACCTCCTCTGCCAGCTGTGCAGTAAGAGCCCCGCGTTGCATTCTCTCTATTTGAAATCCCTGCAGAGGTTTTGCTTTTGTTAATGTGGCTTTAACAGACACATCTAGTTTGGGTTTCTTTGTTTTGTTTGTTTTTTGTTTTTTGTGTTTTTTTGTTTGTTTGTTTGTTTCTTTTTATTTTGAGACAGAGTCCTACTCTGTCACCCAGGCTGGAGTGCAGTGGTGCGATCGCAACACACTGCAACCTCTGCCTCCTGGGTTCAAGCGATTCTCGTGCCTCAGCCTCCCCAGTAGCTAGGATTACAGGCACACACCACCACACCTGGCTAATTTTTGTATTTTTAGTAGACAGGGGGTTTCACCATGTTGGCCAGGATGGTCTCGAACTCCTGACCTCAGGTGATCCACCTGCCTCAGCCTCCCAAAGTGCTGGGATTACAGGCGTGAGCCACCGCACCTGGCTGGCACATCTAGTCTTTAAAAGGAACCCTCAAATCTGTCCTTTGGCGCTGCCTCACCCTCTGTCTGCACTCTGTCTCACCCTTTCCCTCACAACACCTCTTGAGAGCATCACCACCACTCCCTTGTCCATCAGGGTTCTCTTCCAAAGTGGAGGGGATGCTGTGCCCAGCTCTGCTCTTCCTCTCTTCCGCAGATCACCTCACTGGCTCTCGGAATGGCTGAGGCATTTTACGCATGACCCCCAGGAGGAGAGAAGCAGCACTATCAGAACGTGACAGACTTTCCAGAATTTTATGAAATTCTTCTAGTCGCTGGTATAGTTTGACTTTTTCTAGCGTTGAAACCTAACCCCCAGGTGATGGTATTAGGAGGTGGGGCCTCTGGGAGGTGATTATGTCATGGGACTGGAGCCCTCACAAATGGGATTAGTGCCCTTCTCAAAGAGGCCCCTAAGAGATCCCTCAGCACTTCCACCCCATGAGGACACAGTGAGAAGGTGCTGTCTCAGAACCAGAAAATGGGCCCTTGCCAGACATGGAACCTGCTGGTGCCCTAATCTTGGTCTTCCCAGCCTCCAGAGCTATCCAAAATATATTTCTGTTGTTTATCGGCTACCCAGTTTATGATATTTTTCTATAGCAGTCCAAAAGAACTAAGACACCATGTATGGTAATGATAATAAAAATCACTGTCATCGTGTAACACATTTTCTGCACATAGTGTATATTAGACATCACTCCACTACATGTGTGACAGTTAACATTTATCCTATGATATGTATGTATCCTATGATACAGGAACCAGTCTTTTATCCTCATCCCTTTAAATGAGGAAACCAGGGCCAAAAGGATTCAAAAGTCAGAGAACCCACTGTATGCCTATCCTGACTTCAGTTTTCCTCCTCAGCTTAACTCCTCAACAAAGTCACGCTTACCTGGTGTCCCATGACATATTTGCTAACCTACAGGTGGGAACTGAGGCATAGTGAGTGAGTGGGTGCCAGAGAATGCCTTGAATAGTCAATTAGCATAGGGCTTGGGGCCTGGGAGTGCACCAGGTGGGGCATTTCTTACCCAGGCTTATGGCATGTGGAGTTGGTGAGAATTACTTTTAATCACCTAAAACAATACAAATTGTGTACCAAGGTAAATGCTGCAACCAGGTCATCAAGCCAAGGGGGAATCTTCTGGGGTAGATGGCATAGCTGGACACTGAAGGAGCAGACAGCTTTGGGAGCAGCCGGCGACTGGGTCCAGAGGGCCTGTGGTCATTCTCAGCTGCTGTATGGGTGTCCTCTGTGCTCTGTCCCATGGTGGCCTGCCCAGACATTCCATGTATTGTGCACTCTGCTACCCAGGCCTGAGCAGGCAGGGCCAGTGCCACAGATGATGGGAATGGGCTTGAAGTTTCAAAGTCTTGGGGAGCTGGTCGGGAGTGTGGTGCTGGGCTTGGGTGCTTGGGTATGGGGGCTGGGGCTCCCAGACAGTTGCCTGCCTTACCTGTGCCTGGGCCTTCTGGAATGCACCATACCCTTCCGTGAGCCTCATGATCCAGGCCACAGCCATGCCTCTGATCTGCTCTCCCACCACCTCCCCTCACTCACTTTGCTGCAGTCTCACTGGCCTATGATTTGTTCCTATTTCAGGTGTGCTTCTCTTTGCATTTGCTGTTCCTCTTCCTGGAGCCTTTGTGGCTCACTCCCTCACTTCCTCCAGGTTTCTGCTGAACTGCCCTATTATCCGAGGGGACTTATCTGAATAGGCTAGAACGCCCACCCCCATCCCATGGCTCCTATCCCCTTTACCCAGCTTTACTTTTCCTCAGAGCCCCTACCACATTCCAACAGATTCTCTGTAATGTCCTTCTTCCCCCAACCCCAAAAGAATGAGGACTTCTTAAGGGCAGGTGTCTTAGTCCATCTGGGCTGCTATGACAAAATACCACACTCTAGGTGTTTATAAACAACAGAAAATTAGTCCTCACGGTTCTGGAGGATGGAGGTTCTGGCAGATTCTGTATCTGGTGAGAACCTGCTTCCTGGTTTACAGATGATGCCTTCTGGCTGTGTTCTCATATGGCAGACAGGGTGAGGTGGCTCCCTAGGGTCTCTTTTATAAAGATGCTAATTCCAGTCATGAGGGATCCACCTTTATGACCTCCTCACCTCCCAAAGGCCCCACTTTCTAATACCATCATTTTATCATATACATTTAGGAGTGGGGGTAGACAAATATTTCGATCATAGCAGCAGGGATTTATGTCTTCCCGCCGGTATATTATTAAGGCCTGGAATGTAGTAAGTGCCCTAAAAATGAGTGGTGCTAGCAGAAATACAAAAAGACAAATGATCAAGACTATTTATTGCAACCCTATTTATAATAATGGAAGATTACAAATGACAAATTTTCATGGATGGATGACTGGTTGAATAACAGTGGTGCTTCCATGTAATGGAGCATTAGGGTGTAAAAGGAAGGAAGAGGATCAGAGGCCACAGTGCAGTCATATTAGGCAATGAGAACAAAGAGAACAATATGTTTACATACAATATGCTTCCATATATCTCAGAAAGGTAATAGGAATGATATGGCTTGGCTGTGTCCCCACCCAAATCTCATCATGAACTGTAGTTCCCATAATCTCCATGTGTCATAGGAGGGACCTAGTAGGAGTTAATTGAATCATGGGGGCAGTTACCACCATACCGTTCTTGTGATAGTGAGTTATTACAGGATCTGATGGTTTTATAAGGGGCTTTTCCTCTGCTTCATGCTGCACTTCTCTCTTGCCTGCCTCCAGGTAAGACATGGCTTTACTCCTCCTTTGCCTTCTGCCATGATTGTGATGCCTCCCTAGCCATGTGGAACTGTGAGTCCATTAAACCTCTTTTCCTTTACACATTATAAATTATCCAGTCTTGGGTATTTCTTCATAGCAGTATGAAAATGGACTGATGCAGTAAATTGGTACTGGTAGAGTGAAGTACTGCTATTAAGATTTCTGAAAATGTGGAAGCGACTTTGGAACTGGGTAACAAGCAGAGGTTGCAACAGTTTGGAGGGTTCAGAAGAAGACAGGAAGATGTGGGAAAGTTTGGAATTTCCTAGAGACTTGTTGAATGGCTTTGACCAAAATGCTGATAGTGATATGGACAATAAAACCCAGGCTGAAGTGATCTCAGATGGAGATGAGGAACTTGTTGGGAACTAGAGCAAAGGTCACTGTTGCTATGCAAGGAGACTGATGGCATTTTGCCCTGCCCTAGAGATCTGTGGAACTTTGAACCTAAGGGAGATAATTTAGGGTATCTGGTGGAAGAAATTTCTAAGCAGCAAAGCATTCAAGAGGAAGCAGAGCATAAGAGTTTGAAAAATTTGCAGCCTGATGATGCACTAGGAGAGAAAAACTCATTTTCTGGGGAGAAATTCAAGCTGGCAGCAGAAGTTTGCATAAGTGGTGAGGAGCCAAATGCTAATCACCAAGACAATGGGGAAAATGTCTCCAGGGCATGTCAGATACCTTTGCAGCAGCCCCTTCCATCACAGGCCTGGAGGCCTAGGAGGAAAAAATGGTTTCCTGGGCTGTGTCCAGGGCCTCCCTGCTGTGTGAAGCCTCAGGACTTGATGTCCTGCATCCTAGCCACTCCAGCTGTGGCTTCAGAGGGTACAAGCCCCAAATCTTGGGAGCTTCTATGTGGTGTTGAGTCTTTAGGGTCACAGAGGTCAAGAACAGAGGTTTGGGAACCTCCACTTAGATTTCAGAGGGTGTTTGGAAACACCTAGCTGTCCAGGCAGAAGTTTCCTGCAAAGGCAAGGCCCTCATGGAGAACCTCTGCTGGGGCAGTGCAGAAGGGAAATGTGGGGTTGGAGCCCCCACAAAGAGTTCCCACTGGGGTACTGCCTAGTGGAGCTGTGAGAAGAGGGCCACTGTCCTCCACACCCCAGAATGGTAGATCCACTGACAGATTGCACCATGCGCCTGGAAAAGCCACAGACATTCAATGCTTGCCGGTGAAAGCAGCCAGGAGAGGGGCTGTACCCTGTAAAGGCACAGGGGCAGAGCTGCCAAAGGCTATGGGAGCCTACCTCTTGCATCAGTGTGCCCTGGATGTGAGACATGGAGTCAAAGGAGATCATTTTGGAACTGTAAGGTTTAATGACTGCACTATTGGATTTTGGACTTGCATAGGGCTTGCAGACTCTTTGTTTTGGCCAATTTTTCCCATTTGGAATGGGTGTATTTACCCAATGCCTGTACCCCCATTGTATCTAGGAAGTAACTAAATTGCTTTTGATTTTACAGGTTCATAGGTTGAAGGGACTTGCTTTGTCTCAGATGAGACTTTCGACTTGGACTTTTGAGTTAATGCTGGAGTGAGTTAAGACTTTGGAGGACTATTGGAAGGGCATGATTATGTTTTGAATTGTAAGAACATAAGATCTGGGAGGGGCCAGGGGCAGAATGATATTGTTTGGCTGTGTTTCCACTCAAATCTCATCTTGTTGTGGAAGGGACCTGGTGGGAGGTAATTGAATCATGGGAGTTGTTACCTCCAAACTGTTCTTGTGGTAGTGAGTGAGTTCTCACAAGATCTCATGGTTTTATAAGGGGCCTTCCCCCATTTCATGCTGCACTTCTCTCTTGACGGCCGTCATGTAACACGTGTCTTTGCTTCTTCTTCACCTTCCGCCATGATTGTGAGGCTTCCCCAGCCAGGTGGAACTGAGTCTGTTAAACCTGTTTTCCTTTATAAATGACCCAGTCTTTGGTATTTCTTTATAGCAGTAGGAAAATGAGCTAATACAAGGAATATGTGTATGTGTGTGTGCACATGTGCATGTGTAAAAACAGTGCTGGTATAAATCTTAAAAAAACGCTATCTCAGAGGAAAGGGATAGCAGGTAGAGAAGCTAAATTCTTTGAATATATCTCGTTTTGGAATTTGACTAGAGGAAAGGGATAGCAGGTAGAGAAGCTAAAATTCTTTGAATATGTCTTGTTTTTGGAATTTGACTTGGGACATGTACATATTTTTACATAGTTGCAAAACAAAACCACCATTAAAACCATTCATAAAAATAGAAGGCAAAATAGAACAAATTTCATGATGTATGCATTTGATGTCGTACCACACAAAGAGAAACTATTTCAAGTGGTTTCCAAATATGGTAATTACAGTATACATTCCAAGTGGGATATAATGTCAGGACCAAAAAAAAAAACAACAACCAAACAAACAAACAAAAAAAAGCCAAACCAACCTCCCAAACCCCCAAGCCCTTCCCACCAAAAACCTGCTAAAGATCTTAAACAGTTTTCAGCAATTACCTTTTTGGTGATAGTGTTGGCATTCTTATTTGGAGGCTATTTGTGTGTGAGTAGAAAGCAAATCAGTAATGATGCTGGTGTCATTGAGAACCAGAATTTTCTGTGTGGGAGAAAAAAGAATAGAAGTAAGATTAATCAATTTTAGTAAAAAGCCTATATCCAGAATCTGGATCGGAAGCTAGCAGTATGAATTAGGAAGTGTTTTATCTTAATTTTTAGAAATTCCCTAGCCCTTTTTTTTTCTTTTGAGACAGAGTCTCGCTCTGTTGCCCAGGCTGAAGGGCAGTAGTGTGATCTCAGCTCACTGCAATCTCTGCCTCCCAGGTTCAAGTGATTATCCTGCCTCAGCCTCCCAAGTAGCTGGGATTATAGGCATGCACCACCACGTCCAGCTAATTTTTTGTATTTTTAGTAGAGACAGGGTTTCACCACGTTGGCAAGTCTGGTCTCAAACTCCTGACCTCAGGTGATCTGCCTGTCTCAGCCTCCCAAAGTGCTGGGATTACAGGCGTGAGCCAACACGCCCAGTCAGAAATTTCCTAGCTTTATAAAAGGCCTAGTAACAATGAATCACTATTAATTAGCACCCTTTGAACCCAGATTGTGGTCTCTACATATCATTTCCCACAAAAAGGAACCAGGGCTCTTGAGAAGAGTTAATACAGATTCTGCAGTCAAGGAAAATGCAGGATGTGTCTAGAATTTGTCATAATATCAAAGAAACCTGTTGGAGATTATTATAGGCACATTCAAAGAACCGAGGAGGAGAACAGGCAAAGCTAAGCTATCGCAAGAGAAAGTAAACTCATAATTGCTTGGGGCCCAGATTTGGAGAAGGGTAAGTGATTGCAAAAGGATATAAGACAAAAGCCTACTGTTTTTCTTCTTGGGTGAACCTGAACCTGAAATTAAGGTTGATGTGTTTTGGAGAGCTTTGTGATAAGGTCGGCAGGTGACCACCAGAGACTTCCTGGAAAGGTCAGCTGGGGCAGATCCCAGGCACAGGAAGCCAAGATGGAAACTGCCCTTTCTAGCTGTTGCCTCTACTCTGCCCTCCTCCCAGATGATCTGTGGTTGTTTTCATTTTTCTGAGCTTCTGACTCATATTGTGAATGGCCCACTTGACCTCTGCATTGGATGTCTCATAGGCATTCAGTGTTTCCAAATCTCAAGCTGATTTCTTGACCTCTCACCTGCAGCCTACGCATTAACATTACTTTAGGCTTTTCCATCTCTGGGAAACTACCACCTTCTGCTCAGTGGCTCAAGTCAGAACATGGAATCTCCTTGACTTTTCCCTCCTCTACTGCTCCCAACCCCCAACCCATCAGCAAGATCTGTCTGCTGTAACTTTGAAGGAGGTCTTAAATTGCCCTCTTGCCTCCTGGTTCACCAGGACTGCTCTGTGCAAACTGCTGCATATCTCCTTCACATTGTCAATGAAAAGAGTCAAACTCTGTAAAATATTTGAAGAGATTTATTCTGAGCCAAATATGAGTGACCATGGTCTCTGACACAGCCCTCAGGAGGTCCTGAGAACATGTGCCCAAGGTGGTCAGGGCACAGCTTGGTTTTATACATTTTAGGGAGGCATGAGACATCAATCAAATACATTAAAGAAATACGTTGGTTTGATCCAGAAAGGCAGAACAACTCAAAGCAGGGGCTTCCAGACTATAGGTGAATTTAAACATTTTCTGGTTGACAATTGGTTGAGTTTATCTAAAGACCTGGGATCACAGAAAGGAAATGTTCGGGTTAAGATAAAAGATTGTGAAGACCAAGGTTCTTTTGAAGTCTTATGGTGGCTGCCCTTTAGAGATAACAGATGACAAATGTTTCCTATTCAGATCTTTAGAAGGTGCTAGACTTTTAGTTAATCTCTTTAGGATTGGGAGGGTCTTGAAGAAAAAGAACTAGCTAGGTTAATAGAGATTCTTTATAGATGCAAATTTTCCCCCACAAAGGACAGCTTTGCAGGGCCATTTCAAGATATGGCAAAGAAACATGTTTTGGGGTAAAATATTTTGATTTTCTTCCTTGTCTCATAATGTTATGCCAGAGTCAGGTTGGAAAGTAAGTCATCCTATATAGGGTTAAATTAAACCCATCTGATGAGAATTTATGATTTGTAGAACATGACTCCCCAGACCCTTGAGATAGAAATTCGGACAAGATAAAAAAAAATCAGATGATAGTCCTCAGGATCACCACAATGTCTTTCAGACTCACTCCTCTGAGATCCACCTTCCATACAGCAGCCAGAGGGACGTTATTCAACCAACCAGATCTTATCACTCCAGACAGTGGCTTCCCCTTGCACTTCCTGATTAAAATCCTGAATGTGGCCGGGTGCAATGGCTCATGCCTGTAATCCCAGCGCTTTTATGAGGCCAAGGTGTGTGGATCATAAGGTCAGGAGTTCAAGACCAGCCTGGCCAAGATGGTGAAACCCCATCTCTACTAAAAATACAAAAATTGGGCCGGGCATGGTGGCTTATGTCTGTAATCCTAGCACTTTGGGAGGCCGAGGTGGGCAGATCACAAGTTCAGGAGATCGAGACCATCCTGGTTAACACGGTGAAACCCCATCTGTACTAAAAATACAAAAAATTAGCCGGGTGTGGTGGCACATGCCTGCAGTCCCAGCTATTCGGGAGGCTGAGGCAGGAGAATCACTTGAACCTGGGAGGTGGAGGTTGCAGTGAGTCAAGATCTCACCACTGCACTCCACCCTGGGTGACAGAGTGAGACTCCGTCTCAAATAAATAAATAAATAAATAAATAAAAATAAAATCCTGAATGTGCCTTGCCAGGCCCTGCAGATGTCCCATCCCCCTGGAGTTATCTTATGCCACTCTCTTCTCTTTTGTTTTCTTGAAAATGCCTACCTCTTCATTTGCCAAAAGGCCTTTGTTCCTAGTCCTGCACTTGGAATGCTTCCAATCTCTGCTGCAGCCCTGGCCCCAGCATAGCCCTGCTTTCCAACTCCATTGACCCCCCAGGACCCAGTGTGGATGCCAGGTCCTCAGCAATGCCTTCTCTCCTCTCTCCAACCCCCAGTATTAGTCAGGGCTCCCTGCTTCCTTGGACATCACCCTAAGCACCCTTCTTACCTAGTTCTCTCTTCTGCCTGTAATTATATTAGGTTGACACAAAAGTAATTGCATTAAAAGTAATGGAGAAACTACAATTACTTTTGCATCAACCTAATACATTTACTTACAGGTTTATTTGTTAATGCTTGTCACCCCATGAAACTGTGGGTCCATGGGGGCAGGAGCCTATTGGTTTTGTTACCTACCACTCCATCCCTCACTGAGGAGCTAGGTAAATATTTGTTAAGTGAATGAATCGATTCATTCACACTGCTGATATCACATCAGCCCTTTTGTTAGAAGCCTTTAAAAACCTCCAGTCTCCTATAAGGCTCTATCTTCCTTATTCCAAATTGCTTCATACTTTGCTTTATTTTTTTTGGAGACCGAGTCTTGCTCTGTCACCCAGGCTGGAGTGCAGTGGTATGATCTAGGCTGATTGCAACCTCTGCCTCCTGGGTTCAAGCGAACCTCCTGCCTCAACCTCCCAAGTACCTGGGACTACTGGTGTGTGCCACCATTCCTGGCTAATTTTTGTGTTTTTAGTAGAGACAGGGCTTTGCCATGTGGGCCAGGCTGGTCTCAAACTTCTGGCCTCAAGTGATCCTCCCACGTGGGTCTCCCAACATGCTGGGATTACAGGCGTGAGCCGCTGTGCCTGGCCCATACTTGCTTTCAGTTTATTTTTTGTATCGTATACTTTCACTCCACACCCTATTGCCAGTTTCACCTCAGTGTAGCCACATTTCTCTTGGCCTCTGGAGCTCTATTTTCCATACTAAAACCTTTATCATCCTTTAAAGTTCAGCTCCAACTTCACTTTTTTGGTGCGGTCTTTCCTTCTAGAAGTCTGTAACATTTGCTTGTAACACTCGAGCTCATGTTTCTTTCTGCCTCATAGTAAATCAGGTGCTTTAATACCTCCCTTTACCACTAAATTGAAAGAATAAAAATCTCTTAGTTGTTATGATATTCGTCTAAGTTTGTAGCTCATAGGAGTTGCCAGGGAAAGATATGTTTGTCAAATTAATAAAAGCTTTCTTTAGTTAAAATACCATCCTCTGCAGTTACAAGGTTCCATCTCCTGGATCTTTTAAAGCATTTGTATTTGTCAGTATAAAGCATTCACAAAAGGATTCACTTTAAACCTTGCTGTGGACTGATCCCGCTGGGGATTTTCTATTAATCATTTAGTATTGGGTATCTGGTGACGACGGTCGTAGGGAAAAGCAATGGGAGCAGAGAAGCAAAATCCCGCCCCAGGCACATGATGGTCTTTGCACAGCCTGGTCTTTGAGTTATCGTCTTTGTAAATGGATATGGTGGCACAATTTCAGTGCCAAGAAGATAGACTGTTTTCATTTATTTTACATTATACGTTAGGACCTAAATATAAATATTCCAGCTATTCATCTCAGCATGATTTGGTTGTGGAAACATAATCGGAATTGTCTAAGAGACGCAGGCGGTGTCTATTTTGGTCCTGGCACAGGAAACTCAGCCTTTGTCCATTTTTACAGTTTGATTTATGGGAGGTTAAAAATTCATAATGCAGCAGCTAACCTCCAGCAAATATTGTTTTTTGCATGAGCCAATTCAAACGCTCCCTCATCTCAGGTTTCCTGTTCAAACGGTCTAGAAATGTGGAGTTTAGCTGCTACACACCAGCTTAAACTACTGAAAATCAGCCAGCCTTTGCCCTGTGGGGATCGGGAGGGGCTCAGCCCAGAAGACAAAGAGAGGGGCTAGGGAGCCATCCATCCACCTCTCAGGCACACTTTCTGTGTCAGCTGCCTGATGCTTGTTATTTTACTTAATCTTCCAGTAATCTCATGACATAGACCCCATTAGCTTTACTTCTCAGAAGCAGGAACTGAGACAGGTTAAGCAACCTGCCTGAGCTTGCAGCACTGGTGAATGGCCAAATGGCTTGGCCTGACTGTCAGGCTGTATGTGGGGCTTCCTGCTGCAGACAGCAAGCTGCAGCATGGTGGGATGTCTGCAGCTTACTGCTGGCTGTCCTGCTGCCTAGAGGCAGCGATGCAGAGAATTCATATAGTGGAAGTTGCGGGGGGGGGTTCATTTTCTTCTGGGCAACAACACAGAGCTGCCCTGTGCTTTGTGAAGTGTGGACACATAAGAGCATCCTATAGTCAAAGCGTGAGCTACACATCTAACTGTGCCAGGGGACAGGTAAACCCCCCTTTCCCTGCAGACACTGCTATGGATGCCTCACTCTCCCTTCTACCTCCCCAGGCTCTCAAAGGCCCTATGGACGGCTCTGGCCCACAGAAGCTTCTGATTGTTTGAAAGGAGCATCAGGGCCTAAAGGCTGCTCCGTGGGTGCTACTGCAGGGTGCGGCTGTTCCAGGACTCAGGGCTTGTCAGGATCCCGCGTGTGTGAGTGCAGGCCCCAGAGACTCCACACTAATTGCACCTGCTCAAAACTCTCTCCTAACTAACTGGACCACAGAGGCCGTGAGATAAAGAGACCCTGCCCTGGGCCAAGAGAAACACTGATGTAAACAGACAGGGAGACCAGGATGGAGGAAGCACGAAGGTGGCAGAAGGACACCCATGAGGTCTGCTTGGCAGTGCTGGGCTAAGTCAGGAGATGCAAGTGTTGCGCTGGCAATGCCATGGCCTGGGGATTTGAGGAAGCCTCTCCAGGCTCCTTATCAGGACGTAGATTTCATGGCTGACCTAGAGCTACCTGAGCAGGCCGGATTCATACTCCATCACTTTCCATTAAAATATCCCAAAAACAGGCCGGGCATGGTGGCTCATGCCTGTATTCCCAGCACTTTAAGAGGCTGAGGTGGGAGGATCACCTGAGGTCAGGAATTCGAGACCAGCCTGGCCAATATGGTGAAACCCATCTCTTCCGAAAAATACAAAAATTAGCTGGGGATGGTGGTGGCCACCTGTAATCCCACCTGTAATACTTGGGAGGCTGAGGCAGGAGAATCGCTTGAACACAGGAGGCAGAGGCTGTAGTGAGCAGGAGCTGAAATCATGCCATTGCACTCCAGCCTGGGCGACAAGAGTGAAACTCCGTCTCAAAAAAAAAAAAAAAAAAAAAATCCGGAAAATAAAAACATCTAACAGCTTGGAAAATTAGGACCTAGAGTTTCTAGGCCAATGTTGGACCTAGAGTTTAGGATGACTATTTGTATATTTTAGCAGAGCTTGGGTTTAATTGAGGAACACAGGGAATTCCCCCAAGTCCGCTGCATGAGATCAGCATAGCAGGTCCCAGAGAAGGTAGGAAAAGACTTTGACCCCCTGGGTGATCTTTGTTTGAGTCCACATTAATCAGAAAACAGAGCGGACACCCTCTCACTGCACAAGGTCACTGCACAAGGACTATCTCTGAAGCTATCAGCGGTGTTCCTACTTTCATCTACCTTTATTCCTCCTCTATATCTTTGAGCTCTAGTTCTCGACATGGTGGTGGGTGGGGGAAGGTCACTTGGCCACCTGCACGTGGACAGGGTAGTTCAAGGGAGGTTGTAATTCATGAAAACTTCTCTGGGTAGAACAAACATTTAATCCACAGGGGGAAGAACACTCACCATATACTAGGCAAGACCAACACACTACATGGGATTTTTTTAAAGGAAAAAGATAAAAATTCACATATATTTAGACAAAAGAGAAAAGAGGGCAGATTATTTAAAAACAAACAAAAATTAATCTGACATCAGACATTTCTGCAAAAGCCAGGGGATGATGTCCCCAAATTCACACACTTCTAAGAGGTAAAAATTGAGTCAAAGTTAGGTACAAAGACTATCATACCCAGCCACACTTTTACAACACAGGGTCATCCTTGGTTACATTGGGGATTAGAAAATGACCATTCACATTCTCTTTTATAATTAGTTAAGAGATATTCTAGCCAACATAAAAGCAATCAATATAAAGAATTAATTACCAAAAAAAGAGCACCTTACTTAGTCACCCCTTTAGTTAATAAACATTTATTGAATGGTTGCAAGGTGCCAAGGCATTGTGCTAGTAAGCAAAATTTTGAACAAAACCAGAAAGGTCCATGCCCTTGTGAAGCCCACAGTCCAAGGGACAAGAGGGAAATAAACAGGCAAACACCTACCAGGAGACAGGTAACATAGTGGCATGGTGCATGGTGGGATGGTGACAGGGTGAGATGGTGGTGTGGTAACTTGATAACATAGTTCAGTATGACAGGGTGCATCATGACACAGTGGTACAGTAAGTAACATCTCACCATATCATGGTGAGATGGTGGCATGGTGATGTGGCATGGTGATATGGTGATGTGACATGATGGCATTGTGGCAAGATGTGATATGGTGGCATGGTGATATGGTGTCATGGTGATGTTGTGACATGGTGACATGGTGGTATCGTGGCATGGTGGCATAATGATGTGGTGATATGGTGGCATGATGGTGTGTGACGTGATATGGCATGATGATGTGGTGGCATGGTAACATGGTGGCATGATGATGTGGTGGCATGGTGGTGTGGTGAGGTGGTGACATGGGGACATTGCAGCATGGTGGCATGATGTCATGGTGGTATGGTGGCATGGTGGTGAGTTGATGTGTGGCATAGTGACATGGTGGAATGATGGCACGATGGTGTGGTAGCATGGTGACATGATGGCATGGGTGGCATGGTGGCGTGGTGACATGGTGGTGTGGTAATGGGGTAGCATGGTGGTATAGGGGCATAGTGGCATGGTGGCTTTAGGGCATGGTGGCTTGGTAACATGGTAGGTACGGTGATTCTAAAGAACCAAGCCCAGTTCAGGGTGGCCTGAACACAGGGTAGGTGAGAACTGAAATGGATCGAACACAGAGACCACACAGCACCACAGCCCATGAGGCCTAGGCAGAGGCTGTGTGGTCTTGATCACTAAGGCTCTGCCACTTCTTAGCTCAGCATCTGGCTCATAGTATAGGTCCTCAATAAATATTTATTGGATGAATAAATGAGTTACATTAAAATGGCCTAAAAAGAGAAAAAAAATCTCAAATAATTTTTACTTTATTAAAAATAGCAATGATAATATACGTCGATCTAGGTCTATAATGTGAAAGTAAATTAACAAAGACTAGGAAATAATCAAGTGCATAGGAAGAGATAAAGTGTAATAAATTTTAAGTCTTATGTAAAAAGGAGTCAAAATAATTGCTTTATTCTGGACTTAGATAATTAGAGAACACATTTAAATAGATATTTTAAAAATTAAAAGTATTCATTGGTATAATTTTTAAAAATACCATCGTACAAATAACATGAATATAAAAGAAAGCTACAGTAAAGTATACAATGGAAAGCCTAACAAAGCAAGATGAGAGGCATAAGGGTCAAGCATTTTCGTTATGATGATAAATGTTGGCAGTTTAAATTCCGCTATATCAAAGCAAAGTCTTATAATAGGAAGCAAAAATAGGATATGATACAAGAAATAAATATTAAGGAGAGCTCTTTTACAATTTAAAATAAAAGACTGGGGAAAGATAGACAGGAAAGTTCACATGACAGAGGAAACGATTATTTCAATATGAAGAAAATGTAGGCATCAACTCAAGGAGCCTTAAAGTGGCAATAAAAGTCATGTTGTGTTATGAAAGGTATTAGCAGTAAAAATGGTCCTTAGCCTTCATATGCTGAGAAACACAGTACTGGCACTGTATATTCACATTTTAAAAGTCAAGAAGAAATGATCAAAATACAACTATTAGGGAGAGTTTATCAGTACCACTACTCTATGGTAGATCAGGAAACAATGAAAAGAGAATTAGTTGCGTGTGGCTGCCATAACAAATTGCCACAAATGTGATGGTTTAAAATGACACATATTGACTGTCTCACAATTGTGCAGGTCAGAAGGCTGTAATCAGTTTCACTGGGCTGAAATGGAGATGTCAGTAGGGCCTCACCGTCTCCAGAGGCTCTGGGGAGGACCTGTTTTCCTGCCCTTTCTTGTCTTTTCTAGCTTGGAGCTGCATTCCTTACATTCCCTGGCTCCTGGCCCCTCCCTCCACCTTCAAAGCCAGCAGCATAGCATCCAGCTTCAGTGGTCACAAGGCCTTCTTCTTCTCTATCAAATCTCTCTCTGCCTCCCTCTTGTAAGAATACTTGTGATTTGCATTTAGGGCATACCTGGATAATCCAGGTGAGAAAAGAAAAATAGCTGAGAGCAGTCTGAACGATGTGGGCAGAACTTACCAGGCTCAGAGATACTTGAGCACAGGGCTTCAGTCTCACCCTGCCCTTCCACACCTATGCTGGGGGCAATTGTTTAAAAGCATTTCAGACCAGATGTCTCACCCTTATATCCTGTTCCTGGAATTAGTGATACAAAAGACAATGTATAGCCATTCAATAGACTATGTTATTTTAATGTAAATTGTTGGTGAACAGCTTAGGAACTGCCTCTCCTTCTTTTCTTTAAAATCCGACTTGTAACTGCTGTTAATTAGAATGTAGATTCAGGGCAATTAGGATCTATGCTCCTGGGTTGCAGTCCTCAAATTTGGCCCAAATAAACTCTCTACTTTTATTAATTTTGCCTCAGTTTTTTTTTCCTTTAAGTTGATTCAGGATAATCTTCCCATCTCAATACTGTTAATCACATCTGCAAAGTCTTGTCTTATAAAGTAATATCCAAAGGTTTGAGGGATTAGGACCTGTATATCTTAAGGGGCCACTGTTCAGCCTATCACAATGATAATGTAAGACTTAGAAAAGATAAAGATAAAGCTCGTACTAATAGGACTACTAATTTTTGAATGTCCATGGAACATTTACAAAAGTTGCATATATTTGCCTCTATAAAATCCTCAGAGCAAAACTTGTTATTCGTGAACATAATTTTCTAAAATTCAAGATTTATAATAAACATTTAGAAAGAATAACCCAATTAGTTAAGATATAACAAATAAAATAAAAGCCCTCTCAGATAACTAATAGGATATCAAATATTATTTCAGTATATTTAGAAAATTATTAAAAAGGAAGACACTATGTAACTAAGGCTTTCCAAGGTATTGGGAGAGGCCAATTATTAACCCTAAATGCTTTCATTTCCAAATGAAGAAGAAAAAAAATATATGTTATCCTTCAACGTAGGGAATTAGAAAGAACATAATATAGATGAAATCAGAAATTAATGACTTTTAAGATGATGGGATTAATAAGTGAAACAAAAAATGATTTATTTGCAAAGACAATAAATACCTCTGCCCAGTGTAGTCAAGGAATAGGGAAACTGTAGAAAAATAAACTTAGTGAAGGTCTTCGTTTCTCATTCCTATCAACACATTACAATGTTACTTTGGAGGCTCTGGACAGAAGACAAAAACAAGTAATATACATTTGATATGAAGAAGATAGAAGTATTACTATTTGCAGCCAGTATGATTGTATATAAACACCCCAGATTGTCAATCAAAATAACATATGGATTGTGGATAGAATTCAGTGGCTGATTCTGAAAGTAATATATAAAAAATCAGGTCTTTATAATGTCTATAACCACTTGGAAAACATACAAATAATTATAGATACTATTATTACACACCAAAAAATAAGTAATACCAATATTTACATAACATGTCTTGGATGATAAGACTATTTTGTATGATTAAATTTCCCAACTTACATAATTAAAATAATTCCAAACAAAGTCTCTATACTATTTTTGGGAAAACTTGTTAAAATAAATCCAAAGTTCATGTGGAAGAAAAAAGTGTTGAGAATAAATTTTAAATGTTTTGAAAGAAAGTATTATGAGGGGAAATGACTTTTCCAAATATTAAAAATGCCATAAAGCTGTGTTGATTTTTAGTTCATATAGCCCTATTATTAGAGAAGGAGTTTGAATATGTGATGAAGTTGGCAAAGGCAAATAGTATGAGAAGTCATGGATTATTTAATGGAAAATGCAGACACTGCTAGTTAGAGGGAAATGTGTTGGCTAATGAAACGTGTGGTGAAGCAACTTCCTAGAATATGTTAACTGGGTATGCAGGGGGGTTATTAAAGTCCTGATAAGTCACAAGTTCACAAAGAATATATACTCCTTGATCCATAGAAGAGGTGGCCTGTAGATGTTCCAAGAGAAACCACTGTAGCCTATTTTCTAAAATAATTGAACACACCCACCATACCATAGAGACTCAGCCACAGAGAGAACCAACACCACATACCCATCCTGTTTTCTCAATCCCAAACAGAAGACCAAGAATCACCAGGCAGAGGAGGAGACCTAAACTCTGTGCAAGAAAAATAAAATCTTAAGACCCCAAAGTCACTATGCCAGAGGCAAAAATTCAGCCTGTGAACTGATTCACAAAAAACAAAACAAAACAAAATACATATAACAGAAACAAACAAACAAACAAAACCTGCCTTTCTTTGTTCCCAGAGAGCTGTAATTTCACATGCTAACTTTATCTTATGTAAAATGTAGATTTACTGAGCTCGAGAGGAATGCATTATTGACTTTTCCCCCTACTCCTCTCTTTTTATGTAAAATGTCGATGCAGTGAGCACTAATCAGAGCCTCACAAGAATGTAACTGCTTGCCTCATTGCCTGCCCTCCTTTTTTTTTTTTCTTTCCTCCTTTCACTCCTGTCTGCTCTTTTGCCTTTAAATATTGATGTTCATGAAACTCTCTTCGGATAAAGAACAGGCCACAGATCCTACTGTAACTTCTGTTTTTTTTTCCTGGGTGCATCCTCAACTTTGGCAAAATAAACTTCTAAATTGATTGACATTTGTCTCAGATACCTTTTGATTTCTAGCTCAAACAAGAAAGACCTGAACAAAGAAACAGAAAAAAATATAAACAGAAAAAATATGGTAATTTAGGATACAGAAAATATCTAAGAATAATATTCCAATTAATAGAGAGATGTAAAATTTTTAGTACATAAACCAAGAACAAAATATTCTGAAAAAGAAAGAAATGGAAAAGAACAACTATTTGAGATTTAAAAATAAAGGTGGAGTCAGGAAAATTTTTCCCAAACATAAAAAGATGAAAAAAATGAGAGATATGATGAGACATAAGTGTGACAGAAAAAGAAAACAGAGAAAACAGTGGAATCATCAGATAAAAAACAGAAATGATTGAAATTGATGAAGATAAAACTTCACACAAAAAGAACCTGCTCCCCAATGAATTATAAATGACCCATCCCTAAGTGAATCTTACAGCCTCTGTGATCATGTTTCCCTTTGAATTGAATTCTAGAAAGTATAGAAGTTGTTTCAACCTTATGTCTAGAAAGGTGCTCAGGGACTGAACATTTTCATACTGCGCTTAATTATCTATTTTCAGCTTGTTACCACCACCACTGCACCTCCACCACCATCACATCACTGCTACCGGTACCATCATCACCATAACCACCACCATCACATCACTGCTACCGGTACCATCATCACCATAACCACCACCATCACCACCATAACCACCACCATCACCATCACCATCACATCACTACCATTACCACCACCATTCACCTTCACCACCAGCATAATCACCACTACCACCATCACCACCAAAACCACCACTGTCACTACCACCATCACCACCCACCACCACCACCACCATAACCACCATTATCACCCACCACCACCACCACCATCACCACCAACAGCATCACCACCATCACCACCATAACCACCACTGTCACTACCACTGTCACCATCATCACCATCATTACCACCACTGTTACCACCATCATCACCGCTACTACCCATCACCATCACACCATCACCCTCACCTTTACCACCATCACTATAGGCATCTAAGGCTGGGAACTACATTTCCCAGAATCCCATTCCTTGTGCAGATTTGCTTTAGAGTTTCTACTTACATAAGATGAGGAAAGTGGAATTGACAGTTGCCAGGTCTGAGCCTAGGCCTTAGGAAGCATCATGCATTTCCATTTGCCAGCCTGTGGTCTGCCTTCACTATGAAAAGAACATGCCCCAACTGGCCTCTCTGGTCCCAGGAGGGCAAGAGACTCGTGGAGCAGAGCCAGCAGGGTCTGCAGTGAGAGAGGCCCCCAGCTGACTCACAGGCTTATGAGTGCAAAGGGAATGCTGCAGTTGTCAGCCACGGAGATTTTGTCATTGTCCATTATGCAGCACTTTTGCAGTACTAGTTGAATAATACAGGTGCACTGACCTCATCTTACTTTTCCTATCCTCGTTTTCCATTGTTCCCACGGTTTTCTTCTCTTACTTTTAAAAATTCTACTTTAATACATATATAGTAGTGAGAAGCCTCAAACACTTTTCAGAATAGGTGAAGCACAAATAAGAATGCCCATAAAATATTTTGGAGAATGCTACTTTATCCCTTTTGAATTCCATGCATGTTTCCTATGATTTGTAAATGGTATCATGTGATGGTTCTTAATATTAGTTTGGAATGTAGCTGTTAAGGAGAAATCTAGGATAAAGAAGTCACATGAGAATAATGTCCAATCACTTCTGCCATGGAGGGAGGAAGAATTTTGAAGCCAAATGGAATATTATGAGCAGGTGATGTATATTAAAATAATGCAAATGAGCTAACGGCTGAGTTGAGAGTAATCATTGGCACATAGATTTGTCTCATTCTTCTTTTTTCTTTGAAGAATCCTGTGCTTGTATCTTTTTTACATCAAGGATTTTCTTCTGCCTTATTCTTCTCCAACTCCTTTATTGTTTTAAGATTCATTGCAGTTATAAATTCTGAAAGAAGAAATCTCAAAGTCACAACATAATTAAATCTTAAGCAGAATTATGTGATAAATTATTACAATTATCTTCATTTTATAGGCCAAAGTGCTAGTATGCTTCAGAATGCTTTTTATGTATTGTCCCTCATTCTCCAAATTTAACTTTTTATAGCTTTCTAAAAATGGGATTGTAACATCTCTAATGTTCAGTGATCTGAGAACACAGCGTCAATTGATAACGATAAAAGAAGAAAATCAATCACCACCAATACAAAATCCTAAGGGAATCAACCAAAGTGGAAAACTATATATTTTGAGCAGAGGCTTAAAAGAAGGGAAAATTATGGCTTTGTTAGCTCTTCTCTCCATTCTGCAAGCATAAAGCAGGTCTGCGTAATTTATTTTTGAGGCTACTCTGTAAGCCTATGCTGAGACGCGGTGAGTGCTTGCTGTGAAATGGTTCATTAATTCTCCTCCTGTTTTGCTGCATTGAAGCAGATGATGATGATTAACCTAGCAACATGGGGAAATAGACAAATCACTCTGAACCCCTGGGATGGGGAAACATTGCTCATTGTGTGTGGACAATCAGATTTTTCTTCCTATGTCATAAACGTAGTGTTGTTCTTTCTCTTCATTTATCTAAGTTCTGTGCTGCAGTGGTGCAGTTCAACATGAGGATGTTTGTGTCCTACTCTGAGCTCCTTTGTGATAATATTTTTTAACACAGAGGGTCCCAACTTACCATGGTTTGACTTGTGATTTTTCAACTTTGCAATGCTACCCATACAACCATTCTGTTTTTGACTTTTAGTACAGAAGTCAATAAATTACATGAGATATTCAACACTTTATTATAAGATAGGCTTTGTGTGAGATGATTTTGCCCAACTGTTGGCTAAGGCATGTTTAAACTAGGCTAGGCTAAGCTATAATGTTGGGTAGGCGAGGCGTATTGAGTGCATTTTCAACTTATGATATTCTCAACTTACAATGGGTTTATTAGGACATAACCCCGTTGTAAAAGGAGGAGGATCTGTACATGCACCCGGGAGGGTTTTTTACCCTGTCTTGAGGGCAGGCTGGTTTTGAGGACTGATTGAGGGAGGGGCAGATTCCATATTCGGAGGGTGAGGGGTGCACTAATGTGGAGAGTTAGATGATGGTCTCTGAGACAATGTTGAGTGGAGAGTAGAAGGTGCTAGCAACCTGCCCACTAAATCTTCTGTGCAAGCCTTGGGAGAAGCAATGGCTTTATGCACAGGTGTCAACCTACTCAGCTCAGTTACTGGAGACAGCGCTAAGCCCAGGCTGTACAGAGCAGGATCTGGGGTCTTTCAGCTTCAATTCTGCCAATGAATGTGGGACACATCTGGCTGGTCTGATATTCAGGATTGTGTCCAAAGGGCGAGGGTGCCTGCACTGAGGGACAGATGTGAGAGGGGACAGTCCCTGCTTCAGTCACATGGAGATATTCAACCAATTTTCTGTAATGGTATAGAAGAGAGGAAAGGAAAGTCGCTGGTGGCCGGTGACCCTGGGGTTGAGAAATTGTGCAGCAGGTCAATGACCACAGCAATGCAGCCAAGGCCTGGGCTGGCCAGAGGACAGAACGACTTTCCTGGTTTTCTGTCGGCCCTGTGAACTTGGCTGGGGCATGGGTGAGTCATGGTGAGTGAGCTCTGGAATTCTTTGATCCATCAGGGAAAGGAAGTGGGATTCTTGCAAAAGCAAGAAAAATGATCTTGCGGGATACGAAAAAAGCTTAAACCATGTGATGATTTAAAATGAGGAATAAAGGAGATTTGACCTCATGTTTAAGCCAGGCTGAGGGAATGAGTTGTGTCTGCTACAGAGACCATATTTTTATGAAGTGCAGCAAAGCCTTCCAGCTCCTTGTGCTTTTCTAATACATAGGAGTTCTAGGAATGTACTATAAAACACTCAAGTAACAGAAAGGTTGTGTCAGAAGAACAGTATTTGTTTAACATCCTCATACGTGCAGAACAGGAGTCACGTTCAAAGGAAGACTGAAGGCAAAGAAAGTCAGAGTATGAAACAGCATGTTCACCGGAAACAGAATTTTATTTCTGAGAGGGAGCTTGGCTGGGGTTTGCCGGCAGGCAGAGTGACGGCAGTGAGAGACTGAGTTAGTTGGCGATGGCTGCCTAACAAGTGATCACAAACTCAGCAGCTGAAAACAACAAAACAGCCCATCCTCATCATTTACAGATTCCGTATTTGTGAATTCTCCCACTGCTGAAATCGATTAGTAACCCCAAAATTGATACCCGAGGTGCTTTCATGCTCACTGGTGGATGTGCACAGAGCTTTGAAACATTTGAGTCACCCAAGGCACACATCCCACTGAGTTGAGCAAAGCAACGCTCTGCCTTCTTGCTCCAGCTCGCACGTTGTAAACAATTGTCCTTTTCACAGTCTATTTAGTGCCATGGTTTGTCACCAATTTGTGTTTTTGATAGTGATTTCACTGTTTAAGATGGTCCCAAGCACAGCACAGAAGAGCCGTCTGGTGTTCCCAAGCATGAGAAGGCTGTGATGTGCTTCCTGGAGGAAATCCGTGTGTTAGAGAAGCTTCACACAGGCATGAGTTGTGGCGTTGTTGGCCACGAGTTGTTCAATGTAACGAATCAACAATATATATTAAATCAGGTGCCTGTCAATAGAAACACACATAAAACAAGGTTACGTGTTGATTGGGTGACCAAAAAATGTTGTGACCAGAGACTCATAGGAACCTAACCCTGCATTCCCCATAGCAGCAATGGTATTTGCTAATTCGGTGTTCATGGTGACTTCACAGAACATAACTATGGTGTATAATGAGAATCAACTGTGCATTTATCCTCTTGCGACTTCTGTGGGTCAGCAGACTGGGCATGGCTTAGTTGGGACCTCAGGTTCTTACAAGGTTGTGGTCAGATATCAGCCAAGCTGCATGCCTCTTCCAAGCTCGTGTGGTTGTTGGCAGAATTCAGTCCCTTGTGGCTCTACACTGAGTCCTCTTTTCTAGCTGGCTGTAGCTGCAGCTGTTCTCAGCACCTAAAGGCTGTCTGCAGTTCCTTGCCATGTGGTGTTCTTGCAGGATGGCAGCTTATGTCTTCAAGTAATCTCACTCCAGTCAGCTGTGAGAGCATCTCCTACAGCAGCAACCAGGGACTGATTTCATGGAAGACAATATTTCCATGGACCAGGGGTGGGGTGGGGGGCAGTCTCAGGATTATTCAAGCACATTACATTAATTGTGCATGTTCTATTATTATTACATTGTAATATATAATGAAATAATTCTGCAACTCACCATAATGCAGAATCAGTGGGAGCCTTAAGCTTGTTTTCCTACAACTAGATAGTCCCATCTAGGGGTGATGGGAGACAGTGACAGATCATCAGGCATTAGATTCTCATAAGGAGCACACAACCTAGATCCCTCACATGCGCAGTTCCCAATGGGTTTTGTGCTCCTGTGAGAATCTAATGCTGCTGCTAATCTGACAGGTGGTGGAGCTCAGGTGGTAAGTGAGCAATGAGGAGCGGCTGTAAATACAGATGAAGCTTCGCTGGCTCACCCACCACTCACCTGCTGCTGTGCAACCTGGTTCCTAACGGGTACTGGTCCATGGCCCCATGGTTGGAATACCACCTTGCATGTAACATTACCTTTAGTGAGGGGCATCCCATCACCTCTGACATACTCCATTGGCTAGAATCAAGTCGCAGGTTCCACTCAAGGGGAAGGGTCACACAAGGCTTGACTCATGGGGGGATCACATTAAGATGCAGCTGCTGTAGAGACTGACCCCAAATCTTCCAGAAGACTCCATGCAAACCCAGGAAAGATGAGATGTCACTGATTACTCAGGAAAGAGCTAATAATTTGGAAATTCATGTCAACAGAGGATGAGTCATCAAGGCTGTGTCTTGGTGTAGAAAGGATGCTGTGTGGGAGGTCTCCTGGGTCCTTGTGCCAGCTCTATCAGTACCTGCAAGAATATCACAGGGCCTCAATTTTGTCAGCTCTGCTTAATGGGCTGTGTGGTTAGAAACCCATGGATACGTGCACTGCAGGCATTTCTAAATGAATAAAGTGATGAGCTCAATGCATCACAGTGGGTCTACACATCACTCAAACTGTGGGGCAAGTGCCCAGGGAGGCCCTGCTTCTTCCTATTTTCCTTTTGTTGAGAATTCTTCAGACGGCCCCCATTTCATGATGCAAGTTTTAAGGGAATGAAAATCAAAACACCCAGAATTTTAGAAATAATTATATTCGCTGTTACCCAGGTCTAAAATTTGCCAGGAATCCCCATTATCCACACTAAGCACACCCACAATGTGCACATCCCTGCCTGACAGGCCCATGGCCAGGGTTCTCAGCAACATCTGTTCTGCTGTGGGTCCTGTGGTTCAATAAGAATTGGGGTGAAGGGTGTGTGCAGGGTACCCGGAAGTGGTTCCATTATGGGCATACATGTTATCAGAGGTAACTCCATAATTATTTACACAATATCTCTGACAATCCATATAGTGCTACTGAGGCAGCTGTAAGCTACCCATGCTCCTCCTGGATCTAGGAATACAGAAAGGATTGGGTTTTCTGGTGTCTGCAAAGTGCATGAACATGCGTGGCCTAATTAAGTTCCATTTGGGAGGAATACACATCAACGGGGCCTTTCTCTTTAAGAATTGTTTCAAGACTACAGTCCTTTTGTTTAAGAATGGCTTTGTTTGCCTTTTATTTGGAGTTCAAAAGCTATTAGCCATTTGAGTTCCTGCCTCTTCCCTGGGCACTCAGATGCAGACTGCAGATGGCCAAACAAAGACCGGTTCTTGTGCCCCTGTGCCCCAGGCCGGATTTTCCCGGGCCCTTCCTCTAATATAGCATCTTACACTAACATTTGCTTTTTCAAAGCCATCTTTTCCGAACAAAGGCTTCTTTCTATAGATGACTCCTAATAAGACTCCCCTGCCCCCAAAGTTATTTGCTTCTAGCCTTTTACAGAAACATATCCCAAAGTTCTCAATTCAGCAAGAGGCAGGCAGCCTGGACCAGAGATTTTCCACCATTCTCAGCCCTGACTGGTCGAATCAGGTTCTTTGTTTCAGATTCAAAGTTATTTCTGTGTAAAACAAAGAGGCTGAGTTAGATGATCCCCAAGTTCCTTTTTTCCGCTCTAAAATGCTAACGTGAGGTATGGGAATGCAGAATAACTGCTATGCCTAGCTCCCAGCATTCCCAGGGAGGAGCAGAAGTGCCTACTCAACATTCAGATTCCTAGGCCCCTGCCCAGACCAACTGGATTAGAATCTTGGGAGGTACAGTCTGGGAATTTATATTTATAGCAAGCTCCCCTAGGTGTTTCAGACATACAGATTTAGAAGCAACTGGATGGCATTTGTTTAGAGCAGCATGTTTCTGCTTGCAAGAATAAGCAGTCCATTTAGAACAGCAAGAGAACACCTGCTTATGCTGCTGGTTAAACAGGCTCTGTCTTTTCTTTAGGAGACAGGTGTGTGGTGTTTGGCTCAGGAAGAAAACATAGCAAACAGCTATGGAAACAATGATCTCTTACTCAAGCAAATGTTTGCCTTCCCTTCCCCCCCACTTTTATCCCAACTTCAACCTCGGTGGTGAGCAAATACAAGTTTAGACGGTGCAAAGGCACTAAAATGATGGCAATAGAAAAAGCAGTGGCCCCTCTTTGTTTTGACAACTCCATCCTTTTTGCCAATCTCCCTGAAGGAGATTGAACTTCTCTGTTATTTAGTCTTATTTTATTTGGGGACTGGAAGATGGTCTTCCTAGTCATTTACCTAGCTTTTTACCCATGAGTACACACATCAAAACTTTATCAGGAAAGTAATAGGTGTCATTTGTCCCTGTTTTGAGGACTGATAGAGGCTGGGTGATCATCCTACCATAAGATATTGAAGGAAGACAATCTCTGCTTCATTTTCCTGAAACCATTTCCAGCTGCAGTCCTGCTGGCTTTTACCTGCTTAGATTAATGAATGCAATCTCAGGTTGCTGGCACTCTTTTTTGTAGAGGAAATATAAATAATGTGAGGGTTCGCCTACAACCTGGCCCTGTGATGAAACAATAAGTGGTCAGTGCTGGGAGGCTGTGCAAAGAAAGCATTGTACTGCTTTCTTCTTTAAAATTGTCCCAACATCCACTAACTCATTCAGGAGGACTCTGGTGTTCACAGTAGATCACCCTGAGACCTCAGGGTGGGTCATATTCTATCCTATAACTCAGGTGTTATTCTGAGGTCATTGTTTTGAGACAGGAATAATATAGGTTGGTCACAAGAGAATAAAACATTTCAGGCAGGAGTTTCACATGACTACAGCCCATGGGCTGATAAGACCCTGAAAAACCAGGGTGTGGACCAAGCTGGATGAGAATGACTGGAACCAACATGGCACTGGATTTGACCTAGGTTTCTCCTAGGACCTCATTATGTGCTCATTAACATACTAACCACACACCCACCAGCACCATGATGGTTCTGAGAACACCCATATTTGATGTAAAAAATGGATGGCACCACAGTTCCAAGAAATCTTCACCTTTTTCCAAGAACTCTTCACCTTTTTCCAAGAACTTTCATGAATATTCCACCCCTTGATTAAAGAAATCCATAAAGGTAGCAGCCCCAAACTCCATCTACTTAACTCTGAAGTACACCCACACCTCCCTTTTTAGAGTTTGTACTTTTCCCTTTGTGATAAATCTCCATACTTGCACTATTTTCTGACTCATACTTGAATTCCTTCTCGTGAGGATGTCAAGAGCCTGGGCACCGGCTGGGGTCAAGGTCTCACCGGTGTTCAGGGATCTCCCCCAGCCCACTGGTATCTGTATCTCCCAGGGAACAACTGAGCAATGATTCTCAGTGTATCTTCCCTGATGTGTGGGGGCATGAATGCTGCCTTGTGTGGTGTGACTGTTTGACTGGCTTCCTAGCCATGTTTAGCTGTTGGTTTTGCTTTGTTTTGTTTTATTTTATGTTTGTCCTCATGAGGAATGCTAAGAATGATGAGTGAACAGAAAGCAATTTAGTATCTAGATTAGAAGAGCTCAATGACATGAAAAGCTCCTATAAAGCTTCTCAAAAGGAGTCTTACGGTTTTTTTTTTTTTTTTTTTTTTTTGAATGTGAGCTTGGAATATATTTTGGCTTTGTCTTTTTGTCTTAATGAAATCCTCTCTTCCATATTGCTTTTTATGACAAAATCTTAGAGCTTCCAAAAGGCGATGCCTGGTACAGCTTTAGAGCAGTCTTCCCAGGACAGCTCTCCCCTCCTCCTGCTTAGAGAGTTGACAGTGAGATGGGCTCAGCATTTTTCCACTCTGGGCTTGGACAGAGCATTGTCCTCTGAGATAAGGGATCTAGATTGGTATTTGTGGGGACAGAGATGAGATTATGAGATAATATTGGGCCAGTGGACCCAGAAAGACCCAAACTTCAACCTTACTTTGTCTTTCCTCCCCTTAAGGTCTCCAAGAGAGGTACATGCCCAGAGAACAATTTCAGGGGAACATCACTGTTGAAGCTCCAGCCCCATGCACTAAGTTCCAGTGTAGTCTCTGCAGCTCAGAAGGGTTGGAGCACATGATGAACCAATTTTGATCCTAAAGATGAAGTCATAGAGGCAATTTCACCCTGAGGCCAACACAAAGTTGGTCCTGGGTGTCTGTCTCAGGACACTCAAAGGCCAGGAAAGTTCTCATATGAACCTCTAACCTCAGCTACATGAGGAGAAGACAGAGGGAGCTTAGAACAGCCCAGTAGAGAGAGAGTCTGGGAATCCAGCCAATCTACTCAAAGGAAAGCCTCTTAAGGAGAGAGACTCCATACTCTCTGCTTGACCTTTAACTTACTGACCTTGGGGCTATGATCTGGCAGATGGGTTTGTTCATTTCACCTACCTCTCCATGTGCCAACTGTGTAGTGGGGGTAGGGTGCTGACAGAGAGAAGAGGGGAGAGAGAGGCTCAAGCCAACCATCCCTTCCTCCTGGTTCTTTCTCTCTGAGAGGCCAGTGGACTTCATACCTGGGGGCTGGATCAAGCAGGACGGTTGCTTTCCCTGCAGTGCTTATGTGCAGAGCTGAATAATGTTTCAGGAGAGATCTATCCACTCCTTCATGGGGCAGTGTCTCCAGTCCTTACCAACACACCTCACATCCATAAGGGATCAGTGAATGCCTCTTGATGGTTCTGAAGAAAGCTTTCAAGCTGGCCATGCCTGCCAGTATGACTGCCTGATGAACATCTATGCAGGAGGAGGAAAAGAGTCCCCTCTGTTCCAGTACCCTCACAGTATCTCACAGACCTTCCAGGGAGAGTCACACAGGGTAACCCTCAGCACATGGCAGCACAAGTTATGTGGTACAATTCTGCTCAGTAAAAAGGATGCAGACTTGCTACTATTCTATAAAACCTATCCCATTATCCCCCGTAAAAAGTCATCAAATAGTTGTAAATGCATTTCACTCTGTAACCTCCGTGTTTCTTATGACATCACTGGAACTGGCATATTTCCTTGAGAGCCTCAAAAGCTAAGTTATTTCAATACCAAATCTTTCCCACATCTCACTTCCCTGAAGATCCAAAGATCCAGAATACACAAGAAAATCACAGCACTGGCTCCAAGTCCACAAAGTTCAACCCCAAGTCACAACATTTCCATTTTATTACTTATTAGAATGCATCTAAACAGCATAAATCCTGGGACAGGAGGATGGCTGTTTCCTTATGAGCTGGTTCCAGACCTGGGGACCACTGTTGAGCTCTCTCCTAAAATGTCTTACCCTTTAGCACACGGTCAGCAAACTTTTCCTCCGAAGGGTCAGATAGTAAACGTTTAGGCTCTGCTGGCCATAGGGTTTCTGTCATGGCTACTCAACTCTGCCATTGTAGGAAGGCAGCTGGGTGTGGCTGTGTGCCAATAAAATTTCATTTACAAAAACAAGCAGTCAACCAGATTCAGCTGTGGTTTTCCAGTCTCTGCTTTAGCACATAAAGGTCAGGCCTAAGGGCTGAGACCCTCTTGTGTGGTCAGCCCAGACCCCATACCCTTCCCTAGGGGTGGCTCTCCCCTTGTGAATAAGGCGTTTGTGCTTGGCCTTGATTGTCTGGGCCAGGGATGTCCTGTCCCAAGCCTGGCCACGTGAGTTTTTTTCTCCAGGAATGTTTTGAAATGCACATGGAAAAGAGCCCATTGCTCTTCGGTGGTGGAAGCCAGGACGTATGAGTCCCAGGGCCTGCTGAGGACACTCACCTTGCGGAGAGGGAAGGGAGCTGATACTCAGAGCACAATGGAGATTGGAGGGGAAGCAGAGCTCCTATGGTCAGGCTCTTGCCTAGTTACAGGTGTTCCTGATGCCCATCTTTATCTCATTATATGAGAAAACTCAATTTCCTTTTCATGAGCACCCCCTTTTGCTCCAACTAGTATGACCTGAAATTTCTGTTTGTTGTAACCAAAGGGATCTTCATGGATCCTCCAGGTCATATCCTATAGGACCCAAATATAATATTTCCAATAATTAAAACCAGTGATTCTCTGAGGCTCCTAGTTACATGTCTGGTGATCAGTCTTGCTTCTTTATAAATACCTAGTTCCTAAAAAAATCAGCTGGGTGCGCACTGCATTGATGACAAGAACACAATTCTCATTTCAGAGATGGTAGAGCATCCGTCGACACCAATTTCAAATGGTGAATGCAGCAGCCATTGTTTTTTTCTGCTCCAAACCAAAACCCTACCTAGTGACAATCTCTCAGGTTCAAGGGTTTCAGAGCTCAAAGACCCAACTGGGGTTAGGGGAGCCCATCGCCCACTTCACTTTCCTCGCTGCAGTCCTGACTGCTGACTTTCAGGGCACTGGGCCATGCACATCAGATGGGCAGGCTGGGCTTAGGCAGGGCAGGAGTGAAAGGCTGTTCAGTTTCCCAAAGTCTTCAGCCCTCAAGTTTTTTGATAAGAATGATGTCACCAGTCTTCCACAGAGCTTCACTGTTTGTGCTGGGAGGCAGAGGTAGAGCCTGATAGGCAGTGAGCCCATACCGGGCACCAGGCCTCTGCATCTTTCTCATGTGGGTTTGGTTATCAGTGCTCTGCAAGGGGCAGGGAGGAAACTGATGCTTCAGGATTTGCACTTAACCTTCAAGATACCATCAGAAGCACCAGCCTCTGCCAAGTTTTCACCTGAGGTTTCTCAGGTCCCCAGACAAGGGACATAGAGGGAAGGACATGCAACCTGAAAGGCCAAGCTGATGTGAGCTCGTGGAGTTAGGGCAGAGACAATACAGGGGTGTGGATTCTGAATGCAGGCTTCATCATGTCAAACCCATGCTTTCAACATCTTAGTGGTGGAATCTCCTTTTAAAGAGAATCTTATAAGAAAATTCAGGATGTAGCAGTCTGTGGCAGAGAGTCTGGAGCTGAGCTGGGGGTGACTGGGCCCTGCCTGCCGGGGACTCCTCTCCCAGTGGCGGGTCTGTTGGGGGCTTGGCAGGGTCAAGTCTGACCATAAAATATATGATGTTAATAAACAACAAGTAATTGTTACCCACTTTGCATAATGCACACTAGAAGCAAGACTTGTTTAACCTTCAAGAAGTGGCTGAAGGTGACCTGAAGGAGGCCTTAACTTGAAAGGCTCCTAATTGGAAAGCACACTGAGTTGGATAGGATTCCCACTGCCTCCCCCAACCCCCGCACTCCCCACATCTGCTTGCCATTCTTCAGAGCTAGGATCCCATGGCAACCTTCCCCCCTCACCTTTGCAAAATTAGTCCTAATCCATCTGCTCACTACCGGGGAGGTCCTGCTGCTTATCCTGCCTTCATCTCAGAGCTGAGTGCTGGCTTTGCAGCTTGCGACAAAGAGCGAGGGAATCAGTTCCCTGCAAAGACCAAACACAAGATGTCAAAAAGGGAGACCCCAGGGGGACGCAGCTGAGCCCAGCCTGGCAGCAGCCCACTCCATGTAGCAAAGAGGTGACCACGCCATTGCAGTGACACCTACTGAAGCCTTCCTGTGACTGAGCACCGTGGATTAGGAAGGCTTTCATATAGATTCATGTACTTATTCTTCCGAGAGATTCCCCTCTGGGCTTCTGGTTTGCTAAGCCCAGGGGTAGCCGTGTGTCTCATTTAAGCAGCATCATGTAAAGCCTAGGTCTGGCAATGGTAAAACAAGGTCACGTTTCTGTTCATGCTTCTATGTTGAGGATTACATATTGCAGTGAGTTGTCTTAATGGCAGAGCAGGGTACATTGAGATATTGACAGTCATGTGAGGACTCATGTTTTGTATAAGAAATATGTAGAATTTTGTTTTCTATAATGTATTTATATCTGTTTAATAATAAAAATGATGTCTATGTAAAGCATGAGCAAAAAATCGATGCTCTAGGGAAGGGTGGCACCTCCTATGTGAGTGTGGAGCCTGGACCCTTTCTACTGCCTGACTTAAAAAGCAAGGCAATATTTTACCTGGAATCCTTCTAGGCCCTAAGGAGCTGGAGTCTGAGTTGAGGGTGTTTTGCTGCTTGTTGGAACCACACTTTCAGCGACCGAGGGAAAGTCCCTGGATTCCACTTAAGGCAATCGTGTGCATTCAATACATAGTGGGGAGGGTGATTAAGAAAAAGATGAGTAAGACAAAAGCAATTTCCTTCAAGGATTTTATCATCTTACAAGGGAGTTAAGACATAGCCCAACTCATGGCAAAGAAGAGGTATTTTTTACTTTGCAAAATAGCACAGATTCAAAGGGAAGTATAATGGTGAAGTTCCAACATAGGTGCTGGGGACTTTTCAGAAGGGCCTGATATGAGGCTTACCCTTAGGTCCCCATAGGAAAGGGCAGCTTGACTACAGGTGCCAGAAAGAGGTAGGGTCCCATATGGAATGCACTGGAGGCCCAGTGGTGCCCATAGAGACACACACATTCATCTTCTTGGAAGCATATACACCCAAGAGGTTGAGGGTCCTGCTGTCTCCCGGAATCAGGCCAGCACCTCCTATAGTCAATTTGGAGTCACTGCCCCCTGTTGGTTGTTCTGCCTGGCAGATTCCTGATGTTAGCTCCTGTTTTCCTGGTTTGCCTCTTGGTGGCTTCCATTGGGATATTGCCTCTGCGCCTCTTGGACTGGGTCCAAGGTGTGCTCCCAGGTTTTCTGGTACACCATGTCCCCCAGTTTGGGTCTTGCTAGTCCATGCTCAGCAGTATCCCTGGAATGGCTATAATTTTTATGTAGGGAGAGGGTGGAAGCTGTGGTTGCTCTTCCTGGGTATGAATTGGCGCCCCACTTTTAGGGACAGAGGAAGCTCTTGGGAGGTCCACCAGTAGTGACACAGCACTGGCTGTTTAGGTTCATGGAAGATAATGGGGGCTATGTGGGAACGAATGAGGGGGAAGACAGTGAATAGATTAATTCATAGCCTTCCTATGTTTTTCTTGCTGCAGAGCCGGTTAACCTTTCTACAATCTCATGGGCCAACTTTGGCTTAAGTATCGAAGCAAGGCAGCCCCTGTTCTCACAGCCTCAGCTTACAGAAGCAGAGAAGGAAAAATAAAATCTAATAGGAAAAATAACATTGATCTGGTAGTAATTTGAATTGTAATTTACCATCATCGCATTTCCCCTTACTTTGAAGTGATTTTCCATGAATTTTTGTGTGTAGATGGAATTCTGTGTTCATTGTGTTCAATTTCCTTCCTTATTACAAAGTCTGTGGCTACTTGTGGAAAACTCAGGAAGAGTAATTTTGGCTTGAAGTTCTCTCCTTTTGCAAACATTTTCTAAAATGATGTGTTTTGCATACATATGATCTGGATGATTTTGGTAGCTTCTCTGCCCCTCCAAAAACCAGTTCAGTTTTGCTCATACTCCAGATTGCACGGTCTGAAGTTCACTTCCTGCCCAATGATATCTGTAAATTCTTAATCTTGCTTTCCCTTTCTTCCCATCACCCTGGGCCAAATACTAGATTTTTCTACTAGGCAGAAGCCCATTCCCCAGCAGCATGTTTGGAACTTGAATTTCTTTGGTGGAGGGACCTTGCATCGGAATTTCTTCATTTCCTTGCTTGACATGAAAGGTTTTTTGTTTTTTGTTTCCGTTTTCGTTTTTTTTTTTTTTTTTTTTTTTTGAGATGGCGTCTCGCTCTGTCAGCCAGGCTGGAGTACAGTGGTGTGATCTCGGTTCACTGCAACCTCCGCCTCCTGAATTCAAGCGATTCTCCTGCCTCAGCCTCCTGAGCAGCTGGGATTACAGGCGCACGCCACCATGACTGGCTAATTTTTGTATTTTTAGTAGAAACAAGGGTTCACCTCATTGGTCAGGCTGGTCTTGAACTCCTGACCTCGTGATCCGCCTGCCTCAGACTCCCAAAGTGCTGGGATTACAGGCGTGAACCACCGCGCCCAGCCGAAAGGCTCTTGTTAGCTGTGTATTCTGCTAAGGGGAAAGTTTCAACTTGTAACCCCGTGTGAAGATGGCGAATCCTTTTCTTTTTCAGAAGTCACTCCAATACCTGGTAGTCCAATGTCAGTAGGCATTTTTTCTGCCAGTGTTCAAGTATAAATGCTGGATAACGGAGAGATATTTAAAGATCTCCTAAAGATAAAACTAGCACCTGAGTCCTAGAAAGGAATTTGGAGTCAGCATTTCTATTGGTTCTTACAATACAGGTTTGAATTGAATCGTCTAAGGAAGTTTCCAAATTACATGTTTTAGGCCTCAACTCAAAAGCCGGTTTGGAGTAGGGCCTTGATAACTCAATTTTTCAAAACCTTTGTAGGTGACTTTTTTGCATGCTCTTAGTTCTGAATCACTGAAAGGTTAAACATTTCTCACTCTGCAGATGAAGAAATTGGATAGCTAAGAAATTAAATGACTTCGCTGATGTTTTTTTAATGGATATGGTGAATTGCTGATTGCTGGAGGCCCTATCAGGTGGTAAATACCATGAGGCAGGAACAGCCTATCCAGCTTCCAATCCTACTTCTAGCAATGTGTACCTCACTGCAGGTGTGCGGTAACCCAGAGTAGAGTGGAGGTCACACTGCCGGCCTGTGGCTGAACCTAGCTCAGAATCTTGGGAAGGGTGTGATCAAATGGAAAAGCATCTGTGTTCAGGGTTCCTCGCTTGAGGACCCAGGTGTGCCATTTCCCAGCTGTGTGAGCTTGAACAAGAAGCTTAAGTGTTTAGCCTCATATTCGTTGTTTGCAGCAACAGAGTTCTTGAGAGGATGAAATCACACAATCACCTTAAAATGAGTGGGGAAGTGCTAGATGCGTTATATAGACTTAATGAAAGCTATTTTCCTTTTTGTTATAATCCAGTGCTTTGTTAGCTAATATGTTTTGCCTATAAAATTTTTACATTCCCTTGCAATAAACATTTGAAGACTCTATTGAGATGTCATCAGGGCAAGGTGAATACTCTAGCCGACGTCTGGAATTTCTTATTACTTAGGATACAGACGATGCCTTTCAATTCATGAGCCAATTTCTCATCCTATCTAATTCTAGTTCCCTTCATTACTTCAAAAAATTTCCCCCTGAATTGCCAAAATGAGAACTTGACCCATTTATTTTTCCATTTGCTGTCTGAAGAGCACATTGCACTTCAATTTTCTCCAGCTTTATGGTTATGACATTTTTTCCTACCATCTTAATCACTATCAGCCTCTGCCGACATACAGTGAAACACTGGACAATTATAAATACCTGTGTATACAGATTGGAAAATGCTGATTTCAGCAACATCGGGGCTCATTTGCAAGATTTCTGATGACTTTTACCTCTCTCAGCAATTAAAATACAGCATTGCAAAATGGTACTATTGGATTCTGTCTAAGGTTTGTTGATCAAGGGACAACAATGGAAATGGTTTTGCTCCCTGGTGAAGCGGAGTATTCTCCTTTGGCCAAGACTTCTTTAGAATCCTGAGCTAAAGTAAAGAGGTGAGACCTGCTCAGCCTGCAGGATCACCAGTGGTTTTATTGACCCCACGGTGTCTTCCACAGCAGGAAAGTGGACTGTCCCACACCAAATACGACTTGGAGAAGGAGACCTATGCTCAGGATTTCATAAGTAAGCCATTGCCCATTTATCAAAATAACTTCTCCTATCTTCTCCTATTTCTGACCCCTTCTGTTCAGATAACAACCTAAATCCTATTATGAATAGACTAAAAGGAAGATTTGTTTATTGGTGTCTTCTTCCGGACAACCCATGATACAATTGGATATGAGATCCTAATGTGCCTAGGTTTTTCCTCCCGAATTTCAGTAGTATACATTGTCAGAACACCAAGAATTCTAAAAACAAGCTTTTTAGATTCTCCTTTTTGGGGGTTGGGGAGAATGGGCTACCATGAGAATAAATGTTGCTCATTCATTACCGTGGGACCCGTTTCTGAGATCCCGGGTACACATGGCAAGTGCACATTCATTCCACTGTCGCTTGGCTTCCTAATAAAGTGGGTGTGACGTGTTCAGGGCCCTATGACAGCTTTCCCTCATCTGTCACTCTGACACCAGCCTTCCATGGCTAGAATTCCTAAAATCAAGAACTAAATCTCTATACAACAATTAAATAATAACAGGATAAAATAAATGGTAAAGAGATAATTAAAGCAATGGAGGGAATGATGGGAAGCTACAATGAAAACAGACAAAACTTTAGGAAAAACAGAGGTGAATAGAAAAACGAAACCAAATGCAAAAGTAAAACAAATTCATGTTAAAGATGAGAAGGCTACAATCAAAGTGTCAAAACAGTAAGATAAACATCGTGAACTAATTGAGAAAACAAACCACTTCAAACAGATAGATAGAAACAAAATAAAATGCTAAGACCAGAAGCTTAAAGAGCAGACTGGGTAAAAATAAACAAACTGAAGTAAAACTTTATAAAATAAAAAGACAAAGAAAGAAATCAAAAGATAAAGAAATAGGCCAGACATGGTGGCTCACGCCTGAAATTCCAGCACTTTGGGAGGCCAAGGCAGAAAGATTGCTCAGGAGTTTGAGACCAGCCTGGCAACGTAGTGAGACCTTGTCTCTCCAAAAAATAATAATTAAAAAATTAGCCCACTACAGGTGGCAGTGCACACCTGTAGTCCCAGTTATTTGGGAAACTGAGGCAGGAGGAACACTTGAGCCCAGGAGATGGAGGCTGTAGTGAGCCATTTTTGTGCCACAGTGCTCCAGCCTAGGCAACAAAGTGAGACCCTGTCTTTCAAACAAAATAAAGAAAGAAAAAGAAGGAAAGGGAGAGAGAAAGAAAGAAAGGAAGGAAGAAAGAGAAAGGAAGAAGGAGAAAGGAAGGAAAGGAAGGGAGGGAAGGAAAAGAGGGAAGGAGGAAGGGAGGGATAGAGAAAGAAAGAGAAAGAGAGAGAAAGAAAAAAGAAAGAGAAAGAAAGAGGAAGGAAGGAAGGAGAGAAAAGAAGAAAAGAAAAGAAAAGAGGGAGGGAAACAAATCTCCAGCTTCCCATGGCCTTTGAATGCCTCCCTAGGCAGGCTGATGCTCAGCTCTGCGAAGAGCTTGGGGTTTTCCTTTGTGTTTGGGCATCAGCAAGATCAGCCACCCCAAAACAGAGGATAGACAGGGTTTGATTTTTTAAAAACCATATAGTTAAAAAGGAGTCAAATTTTGACTTAGTACTCAAACAGACAACCCCTTAAACCCTGAGAGTTAAAATTAAAAGTCCACGCTTAGTGGATAATATCAGAGATGTGCAAAGATATGCCCAGACCCATGGTATTAGCCAGTCTAGAGCCAAATCTGTCCATGAGAAAAAAGGGCATCCTGTGGGTGCTTAGGAAAATCAATCTGAGCAGTGTCACTCAGATGGGGACAAGTCCACTTACTGTGGTGGAAACATGGAGCAATTGTCCTTTTTCCTGTCATCACAACCATGCTTTCTCTCAGAAGCCTGCTAGCTGGAGAGCTTCCCAGCTGCAGCTCATCTTTCATCCAAAGCACTACCTACAGTGCTGTTTCCAGGACCAGAATCTTCTCTGACTCGGAATCCTCCAGCAGCCAAGTCCTGACACTGCTCATGGAGCTCCTTCCGCTGACTGTGGTGGGAAGAGCTGTGAACCCCTAATGATGTGGTCTTGGCCTGAGGGCTGTGTGGGTTGATCTTGGGTGGGGTTTGGTGTTGACCCTGCCCTGACTTCATGGAGAAGCACCCCTGCTTCTGCCCCTGTGCTCAGGGTGTGTCATGGTAGCCCCAGGCTCCAAGCCCTTCCCCAAAATGGGCTCCTCAGGACTTGGCTGAGTAGCTTTCTGTGGAACCCAGGACCCCTGCCCTTTTTTCACACCCCAGGCTTCCCCAGGAGATGCTATGAGAGTTCATGTGGGTCCACTTGGTGTTCTTTGAGAGACATGGATGTACAAAGGCCTTCAAACTCTTCTTGAGGCACATTCATTATCGGGAGAAATTCACCCCCAATATTTCACGTAGGTTCTTCTCTATTTTCCCTAAGTGCCAGCCAGTCTGAGAAATAAAGGGAAAGAGTACAAAAGAGAGAAATTTTAAAGCTGGGCATCCGGGGGAGACATCACATGTTGGCAGGTTCCGTGATGCCCCCTGAGCTGTAAAACCAGCAAGTTTTTACTAGTGATTTTCAAAAGGGAAAGGAGTGTATGAATATGGTGTGGGTCACAGAGATCACATGCTTCACAAAGTAATAAAATGTTACAAGGCAAATGGATGCAGGGCGAGATCACAGGACCACAGGACTGGGGCGAAATTAAAATTGCTAATGAAGTTTCAGGCATGCATTTTCAGTGATAATATCTTATCAGGAGACAAGGTTTGAGAGCAGACAACTGGTCTGACCAAAATTTATTAGGCGGGAATTTCCTTGTCCTAATAGGCCTGGGAATGCTACGGGAGACCAGGGCTTATTTCATCCCTACAGCTACGACTGTAAAAGACAGCCATCCCCAAAGCAGCCATTTTAGAGGCCTCCCCTTAGGGACGCATTCTCTTTCTCAGGGATGTTCCTTGCTGAGAAAAAGAATTCAGAGATATTTCTCCTATTTGCTTTTGAAAGAAGATAAATAAGGCTCTGTTCTGCCCAGCCCACAGGCAGCCAGACTTTAAGGTTATCTCCGTTGTTCCCTGAAAATTGCTGTTATCCTGTTCTTAAGGTGCCCAGATTTTGATATTGTTCAAACACACACGCTCTACAAACAATTTGTGCAGTTAACACAATCATCACAGGGTCCTGAGGTGACATACATCCTCCTCAGCTTATGAAGATGATGGGATTAAGAGATTAAAGTAAAGACAGGCATAGGAAATCACAAGAGTATTGATTGGGGAAGTGATAAATGTCCATGAAATCTTCACAATTTATGTTCAGAGATTGCAGTAAAGACAGGCATAAGAAATTATAAAATTTGGAGAACTAATAAATGTCCATGAAATCCTCACAATTTATGTTCTTCTGCCATGGCTTCAGCGGGTCCCTCCATTCGGGGTCCCTGACTTCCTGCAACAATTCATTAGAAACCGTCCACACCCTAATGGCATGGAAGTTTTTCATTTTCAGGAATCTTCAAAGGAGAGGCTGGCTTCGTTGTCTGTATTTATGCAGGTCATCAAACTTTGGGATCAAATGCCCAGACCTCTCTGCCCTCGTCATAGCTCCTCTCTGGTGGCTCTGAGGTGGTTTCATGAGCAAATGGCCAGGAGAAAAATTCCTGTCTCCCGACCTCAGGTACCACAGAGTTGACACAGAATTCTCCTGCCCTTCACCAGAGGAACTAGAGAGATGGTGATGGCTATGGATTCGTGAAGCCTTCCCTCATTGAAAGGTCTCCTTGCTCTCCATCTCTACTCTTTTTTAGACAGAAGTAGGAGATGGGTGGGAGGCAGTGGGTAGGAGGGAACAGGGAACTGCAGCACTGGTTCTGCTGAAATGACAGCAGCTTGGTAATGGCGGCTGCCATAGCATTTATTCTTGGGGATGGAAGGCAAGGTCACCCTGGGAAACAGGAGAGGCTTCTCTTGGCCCTTAGACCTCCAAGGCATAGAAGCAAATGTTGGCTGTGTCTCTTGAACTGTCCAGAAGAGGAGTTCTCTGACCCACTGAAGTGACCTGCAGATATCTGTAGCTGATGAATCCCTATAGAAGAGAAAATTGTATCAACTGTCATAGCTCAACAATATTAAGCTCTTAGTCCAGGGACTGGTAAACTACAGCTCATGGGTTAAATTCTATTTGCTGCTTATTTTTATAAATAAAGTTTTACTGAAACACAGCCATGTCATTCATTTATGTGGTGTAGAATGCTACTTATATGCTACAATGTCTTAGTTAAATAGTTGCAACAGAGATTGGCCTACAAAGCCTAAAATATTTACTGTCTGACTCTTTATAGGAAAGCTTATTGTCCCTTGCTCTAGATCATCCAATCTTGGAGTCTTTGTTAAGAGTCAAGGAAGTTTATTTGGGGAATTATTCCAGGAAGCAAAGGTGAGGAAGTGGAAAAATGAAACAGGAAGGAAGGAAAACCAGTAGAGAGTGGATGACTGTGTGGGCAGCTGGGAGTCAGTCCTTCTGGGGAGCTTTCAAGAGACCATATGGAAGTTGGGGCATAATGGCCCTACTATATGGAGAGGCTGGGGCATTTATCCCCCAACCTCTTCCCCACTGGTTGAGGCCACCTCTTCCCCTCGCCAACACTACACTCCTGGGTTGTGCCTGTGAAGAGGGGCTCAAGCTCCACAGGCAGAGAAGGGGGTGAGGGGCAGCCCCTAACTGTACAAATCATCCAGGTCAGAAGGTTGGCCTTCTTCTGGTAACTCTGGTGCCCCCACATGTGTGTCTCAAGTTCCACATGGTCCAATGTCTCCATGCTTTGCATGTTGAAGACCATAGATACGCAAGTCTTATGTGCACTCCTTTCCAGGGCCCCTCTGAACTTGCTATCTCACTCCCAGGTTCTCACACAAGCTGAGCCCCTTCTCAGGCAGGGACATTTGTGCATGCAGTTCCTCCTTACTCACAGTTTCCTTTTCTTTTTTCCCAGTCCTTCAATGGCCAAATTCTTCTTGCCAGTCTGTCCCTCTTCCAGGAGCATCCCCTCGGAGTATCTTACCTGAGGCAGCATCACCTTCCTGCTTCAGGGTCTCTGTCCCACCCCTGGGCAATTTCCTTTGTAGAGCTCAGTAGGAATAATCTCTTGCTCATTTGTTGAATAGATTGTAACTTGCCTTCTCTGGCTACAATGGAAGCTCCACAAAGCAGGGACCTAAAGATTCACATTCATTAAAACATTGCCTTGCATTTGGTAGCTGCCTGGAGGGTATTTGCTAAGTGAAGAAATGGTTATGAACTCTTAGAGGAGGGCTCAAAAACAGATGAGACAATGGTTTTCTGGCAGGGAGGTATGGATAAGAAGAGGATCTTTGTGAGGGAAGTTCATGTGTATGAGCGGATAGGAGGGAAGAAGGCTCTTCCCAGCCATCTGCTCCTTGAGCCCCTCTGTCTTTGCCAGGAGTCTGAGCTCACAGCTGCTGCTGCTTAGGCATGGGTAGAGAATGAACGTATGTACTCTGCTCCAGGCTCAAGTCTGTTGGACACATTTTTATGAAAAGGTGTAATTGGCAATGGTAGAGTGATGCTGTTACGGATTTGGAAATATTTGCAATCTACTTTTAGGATAAAGAGGAATTACAACGGAATATGTTGATATAAGAGATTTAAAAAAAATCCATGGTATATTCTGGGATTAGTATGTCTTTATTTAACTTTCCTTCATTCTCATGGACCAAGATGTATGATGAAAAATGTATATTTAGCATGTCAACCACAACCTCAAATCCACAAATCACTGTAAGAACTTTTCCACAACTAATAAAAGGTTGATGGTGAGCTATGCTGAGAAAAAAGGCAGGAAAAATATTTTTAAATCAACATGAACCAAAACAAAATGTCTTATCATTAACTCTCAGTTGATCAGAAATACATTTTAATCTCATAAATTTAATTTCCAAGTTTTCCCACTAACCCAAATTTTAGTATATGAGATATAGGTCTCCAAATCTTAAAAATTCCAGTTTTTTTTTTTTTTTTTTTTTGAGACAGAGTCTCGCTCTGTCGCCCAGGCTGGAGTGCAGTGGCGCAATCTCAGCTCACTGCAAGCTCCGCCTCCTGGGTTCACACCATTCTCCTGCCTCAGCCTCCTGAGTAGCTGGGACTACAGGCGCGTGCCACCACGCCCGGCTAATTTTTTTGTATTTTTCAGTAGAGACGGGGTTTCACCATGTTAGCCAGGAAAAAATTCCAGTTTTTAAATTCAGTAATACAGGACATTTTTACAAACAGCATTTTTCTAAGGACTTGCTGTTTTTCATCAGAGCTAGGATCTGGCATCACAGCTCAAAGTTTAAGACTGCTCAGGGATTGTAAATACCTTGGAACCAGTTTTTGCCATTTAATTAACACCACTTGACTCCCAGGTGAGGGCTGTGCTGGGCTCAGTTTCTGAAGCCACTAGCCAGCCAGTCTCTTTCCCACACCTTCCTTTTGTTAGTGCTTCCTTTCGTTAGCTTTCCTTTTTTTTTTTTTTTTTTTTTTTTGAGTTGTAGTCACTCTGTTGCCCTGGCTTGAGTACAGTGGCACAATCTCTGCTCACTGCAACCTCTGCCTCCCAGATTCCAGTGATTTTTCTGCCTCAGCATCTCAAGTAGCTGGGAATACAGGCATGTACCACTATGCCTGGCTAATTTTTGTATTTTTAGTAGAGACGGGGTTTCACCATGTTGACCAGGCTGGTCTCAAACTCCTGACCTCAAGTGATCTGCCTGCCTCAGCCTTCCAAACTGCTGGGATTACAGGCATGAGCCACCACACCCAGCCTTTTAATCTTCCTTTTGCTAGTGCTTAAACAGTTTTTGAAAGTCAAATATGTACAAATTGACACATTTCTGTGCCTCAAATTCTCACTCTGTGACTTGGCTTCAGTGGCCAGGATATCCAAATGCTTCCCAAAATCCTATCCTTAGGGCCCTTGGTCTTAAACTAACAGGCAAGTGCGGGATGGAGACTTAGTTTTGAAGATGATATTCTGAGATTTCTGTGGCAGTGAGCACCCCCTGAGAGGCCATCTGTTCAGGTTGAACTCCTGTACTCTTTTTCTTCTAGACAAGGTGAACTTGCAAATGCAAATAATAGCTCTTGAGATATCTTTGAGTGGACATCTGACCTCCTGGGCTTCTGTTTCCATAGCTATTCTGGGCCATCTCCACATTTCATCCTTGAAAGGGGTGGGTAAACAAAATGGGAAAAAATGAAGTTTGCTTTTTTTTTTTTAAACAAACACGTCTGCTGGTGAATATCTGAAAAATAAAATAACTCATAATCATATCAACCAGAGATAGTTCTCACATATTCTGATGTTCTGTTATTAGGTGCATATATTTTTAGGCCTATGTCTTCTTGGAGAACTTGCACCTTTTCATTATGTAATGCCCTTCTCTGATAATTTTTCCAGTTCTGAAGCTTTATCTGAAATTAACATAGCAACTCCAACTTTCTTTTGATTAGTGTTAACATAGTATATCTTTCTCTATCCCTTTACTTTCAACCTGAGTTTTTATATTTAAAGTGGGTTTCTTGTAGACAACACATAGTTGGATCCTGCTTTTATGATCCATTCTGACAATCTGTCTTTTAATTGGATATTTAGGGCATACACATTTAAAGTGATTATTGATTGAGTTGGATTAATATCTACCTTGTTTGTAACTGTTTTCCATTGATTGAACATATAAACCTGCACTGCTCCAACCAATTTATATATACAATCTGTTTTATTTTTCTCCACAATCTCATGATGCCCCCGTTTGACAAATGAGAAAGCACACTTCTTAGCATGTGTGACTTACCCAGTCATGAGGCCAGCAAGGGACTGATATGGTTTGGCTCTGTGTCCCTACCCAAATTTCATGTCAAATTGTAATCCCCACTTGTTGAAGGAGGAGCCTGGTGGGAGGCGATTGAATCATGGAAGTGGACGTCCCCCTCGCCGTTCTTTTGATAAAGTTCTCATGAAATCTGGTTGTTTAAAGGTGTAAGCACTTCCCTCTTCTCTCTCTCTTTCTCCTGTGCCAGCCATGTGAAGACTATGCCTGCTTCTACTTCATTTTCCGCCGTGATTATGTTTCCTGAGGCCTCCACAGCCATGTGGAACTGTGAGTCAATTAAACCTCTTTTCTTTATAAATTACCCAGTCTCAGGTAGTTCTTTATAGCAGTGTGAGAACAGACTCATACAGGGACAGAACTTAGAAAGAGTTATAAAGCATTCTTTAATGCTTCTTTAGTGGATAATATGAATGGGCAGACGGATAAAGAATTGGATATATAGTGGTATAAACATGCCTCAATAGAAGAGAGACCTTATTCAGTTCTATGAACAGGTTTACAAATTAATATAGTATTTTAACAAATACTTAAAATATGATATTATTACAGTTACATAATTGTAACAATTATTACAATAAATTATTATAAAAGTTTGGTTAAAGATATTACTTAAGTCATTAAAATCATAATTCTAATACAGATAGCAAGCACATGGGAGAGTTGTTATTAACTCATGGGTAAGAAAACAGTGGAAAAACAGAGATGATTCAGAGAGAATATGAAACATAGTGAGGAAAAAATGCTGAAAAATACTTGATTTAGATACAAAACTGATTAATATTTCCTGCTGCATTTCCATAGGGTAATTAAACCATAACCCTCAGGGTAATCTTGTCTAATGGATCAGTCACTATACCTCATCAGTTTTCTTCAGATTTACACAGCCCTAATCAATTATTAATCAAGCCAGTATATTCTCTGAGAGTGAGAGGACCTTCAAACAGGCTCGTTAGAAAATCATTTAGCTTAATACTAAAAGGTAAATAGATTTTTTTTTTGCCTGTTTTCTGAGTTTTGAAAACTTTTCCTAAGTACCTGTGAATATGACTTTGATGGCTTTTCTAAGGGTGCATGATAGGAAAGTTGCCACAACAGAACCTTCTGGAAAACTGCCTGCACAATGAGTGGTCTTGGGGTCAATCTCAGGCCCCCCAGAACCCAGCTTACTTCCTCTTCTTGCTGTACAGAGCAGAGGTCAGGGACCCCTCTGTTCAAATTCTAAGAGGCTCAGGTTAGGAGACTGTGTGGGGCAGACTATGCTTTCTTGTTGGAACCCCAAGGGGAAAGGAATAAATGTAGAAAGGCTGCCTTATTCACGTGGGCTGCAGATTCCCCAGGCCTTGCTTCTTGACCTGCGGCCAGCAGCTCCCGAGTGTCAGGGGCACAGGAAAGTCTGAGTTCACCACTTCAAGCTGTTGTTGATTCCTGTAGGGCAGGGGTGTCCAATGTTTTGGCTTTCCTGGGCCACACTGGGAGAAGAGGAATTGTCTTGGGCCACACATAAAATACGCTAACAGTAACGATAGCTGATGAGCTAAATATATTTATATATATATCACAAAAGCAATCTCATAATGTTTTAAGAAAGTTCACAAATTTGTGTTGTGCTGCATTCAAAGCCTTCCTGGGCCGCCTGTGGCCCATGAGCTGCGGGTTGGACAAGCTTGATGTCGTTTTCTCTCTCATGTTCTTTCTTCTGCTCATAAATAAGAAACTCCCCCAGCATCACTGGCTCTAAAAAGATCTAGAGTGGAATCTTTATTCTTCCCTCATCCCTCAGAGGTAGGTGTGCAAATCTGATTGGTCCATTTTACACTGGGTTGTGTCTAAAAGGAACACCAGCTCCTGTTCTCCAGCTTTCCGTTCTTAAAGGTCTGGCTGGGACCAGACCTGGGGGAGCCAGTATTGCATTTCCCCCCATAATGCTGTGAGCAGACAGAAAAGGCCTGCCTCAGACTGATCCCTGCTCTCTTCCTGTGGTCAGGGTTCTTCATCTGCAACCTGGGAAGATCAGGAGGACCAGGCTCAGGAGGTTCTGCTTCCTTTAGTTCAAGCACAAAGAGGTAGGCTGCTCCATCCTGGACTCGAGCTGTAACCCTGAGGGGTTCTTCCTGCCCACTGCATAAAGAAAGACCATGGCATTGTAGTAGAGAGTTTAGTAGACACAAGGCCGGCCATGCCACATGGGAGATGGAGTTCATACTCAAATCACCTTGTCCAAAGCTACTAGGTTAGAAGTTTTTCATAGGCAGTTTGTGGGAAGGGATGGGGGTGGCCAGGTAACAGGTGCTTGCTGTTGATTGGTTGGGGTGGAGATGAAATCCTAGGGGGTCAAAGCTGTCCTCCTGTGAGCTAAACCAATTCTGGGTGGGGCCACAGAATCAGGGTTGGTGGGTCCAGGTGGAGCCATGGGTGTCAGACATGCAAAAAACCTGAAAAGATATTTCAAAAGGCCAATCTTAGGTTCTACCATAGTGATGTTATTTGCAGGAGTAGTTGGGAAAGCTGCATATCTTATGACCTCCGGAATAATGGCTGACAATCATTCATGTCTGTGCCTTAGCAATACTGACGTTATTTGCAGCAGTAAGTGGGGAAGCTAAATATCTCGTGACCTCCGGAATAATGGCTGACAATTGTTCATGTCTGCGCCTTAGCAATAGTGATGTTATTTGCAGGAGTAATTGAGGAAGCTGCATATCTCATGACCTCCAGAACAATGGTTGACAATCATTCATTCTGAACCTTAGAAGGACTCAGGCCCCTCTCTCCCCCCAGCCTGATGGCCTCCCAAAAGCTTTACAAAAGTGGCTGAGTTTTAGGGGAGGCCTACTATCATTTAAACTATAGCCTAAATGTCTTTGAAAATTAGCTTGGCCCAATAGCCCAGGAAAAATTAAGGGAAAGGCAAGATGGGATCCCTTTTGCTATCATCATTTTCTCACTAACATAACTTTTGCAAAGGCAGTTTCACGGCCAAAGGAAGTTTCCAACATAGTGTACAAGAGGGATTGCATGTGGCTGCGACTGGGCTCTGATCAGCAGATTTAGGTCTATGCCTGGATCCCAGCTGGTTCCTGGTGTCCATTCTCAGTTGCTAAAATCTGGAGTAGGAGGATGGTAAAGAAATAGCACCCAAAAACCTCCTGATGGTTTCCATTATTTCTCCAGAGTCAAGACCCCAAAGAGCAAGCCTGCCTGAAGTGAAGCAAGATGGTGATTCTTGAGTCACCTGCACAGCAAATCATCAATCACGTTATTCTCTGGATCCAATCATGACAGATTGGCAAGGATATTCTGTGTCTGCCTGTTCATGAAACTGGTGATGTCTTATGTTTGGCGGGAGCATGGGACTTTTGCCCCACAAACATCTGGATTCACATGAAATGAACTCAAACATTTTTATTTCTGGAGTCTGATTCAGAAAAGCCAATTGGGGCTTGAGGAGACATTTAAGGTACGATAGCGCCTGGTGCATCTCTGCACCCCTGCTGCAAACCTCCACAGCAGACACTGTCCCAGTCAAGGGCCTCTCCTACAAGACACAGACCTGGCTGTGTCTTGTTCATAATCAAGATCATCCCTGATGGCTAAGCAATCGGCTAATTTAACAGGAGGTTATGAACAATACACAGCCGGGCTCTCTCTCCCAGTGCAGGGATTGATTTCACTGACACTTTTGCTTATACTTCTGGTATGACTAGAGAATTAACAAGAGTGAACAGTCTATCTCCAGGACAGGAACTGGTGTTATCTTTCTCTCTCTTATGAAAATTTTTCTCTATAAAATTTCTTTTGTCTCAGCTTTCTTAAAAGATTTTGTGTTGTAAAATAGACAGAGCCTTGTAGCTCTTGGGAGTGAGAAGTTCAAAGGGTTAGTCTTGCTAGAATTTGGATGTGACTGTAGATGAATTTTCCCTCCAAGGTACAGGCAGATTCTGTGAACTCGTTCTCCCTTAAAAAGTCGAGTTGGTGCTCCCTGGAAGGTTCAGGCATGTGGCAAGCCAATGTTTAGAAAGAGCCACAGGTTCTATCTGGTCTTTCAGAAACAGGAGACAAATGGTTTTCAGAGAATCAGTGCTTTGGCTCCTCTCTAAGCCTTTCCCTCAAAGAACAGGTCTATTCTGGACAGTTGTATAGAGCAACTTTGAAATGGATTGTCCACACTTGGGAAGAGCTGGAAGATAAGAAAATTCCTATGTGTTAGTTCAAGCAAACTCATCATTATAAAACCAAGTTCCCTGTAAACAATAAATCTCACTTTTGGAAGGAATTTAAGAAAGTTTTTCTCTAGAAAAATCACACAAATAGTATCCAAAAGACACCATCAGCCCCTCTCTCAGCCTTTTTTTTTTTTTTTGAGACAAGGTCTCACTTTGTCACCCAGGCTGAAATGCAGTGGCACAATCTCAGCTCACTGCAGCCTCAACCTCCCAGATTCCAGCGATCCTCCTGCCTCAGTCCCCAAGTAGCTGGGACTACAGGCATGTGCCACCACGGCCGGCTAATTTTTGTATTTTTTGTAGAGACGGGGTTTCACCATGTTGCCCAGGCTGGTCTTGAGCTCCTGAGCTCAAACGACCCGCCTGCCTCGGCCTCCCAAAGTGCTGGGATTACAGATGTGCCCCACCGCACGTGGCCCTCCCTCAGCCTTTTTCTCCTCTGTGCTGGCCCTTCCTCAGTGGGCTCTCCTTGCATGGGGGGTGGGGCATGGCAGCTCTGGCCTCTCAATCTCTCTTAGGTTCACACATCGCAACTAAGAGAAGGGTTTCATTGGCCCAGCTGGGCTCACATGCCCTTTCTTGGCCAGTCATGGTGGTCAGGAAATGGGGTGCTCTGATTGCTCACGCCTGGGCTTTGTCGCATCCATGATCGAGAAGAATGGGAGCCACATCAGATCCATAAGGCGTGGGCTCCCACAGGAGGGCTTTTTTATCAGGAGAATGGGGAGGAGTGCTGACTACCATGTCCAGAAAGAGGCCTCTCCAAATATAAAGGCTAATAACTACACAGAGATACGGCTTATCGGGTTCTCGTGAGCACAGGTTTTGTATAATCCCTTGCTCCTAACCCACTGACCCCATTGGAAATTGACTACATAGAAACTGGTACATAAGTATAACCCAGCTCAGGTCAGCTTCAGACCCTCTGACACTTTTATGGTTCTTATATCACATTGGGTGTTCTTTATCCTATGCTATAGAATCCAAGGTCTGGAGGGGGGTGTAGGGGTATATGGGGAATTGGCTGGGCATAGTGGCTCACACCTATAATCTCTGCACTTTGGGAGGCCAAGGCAGGTGGATCACCTGAGGTCAGGAGTTCCAGACCAGCCTGGCCAACATGGTGAAACCCCTTCCCTACCAAAAATACAAAAATTAGCCAGGCATGGTGGTGGATGCCTGTAATCCCAGCTACTCGGGAGGTTAAGGCAGAAAAATCACTTGAACCCAGGAGGCAGAGGTTGCAGTGAACTGAGATTGTGCCACTGCACTCCAGCCTGGGTGACAGAGTGAGACTCCATCTCAAAAAAACAAAACAAAACAAAAACTTGAAGGAATCGGGGCACACTGAGGGCCCAGGTCATATGGCTCCTTGGTGGCTATGTGGACCTTGATTGGAGGGCTGCTGATGTTCATTTTAGGACCATGTCCTTCTCCTTTTTTAGGACAAGGGTATCACTGCTAGTTTCCCTGGCTTGACAGACATTGCAGTGACGAAATGTGGTTAAATCTGCTGTAAAGACAGCTTAAAATTCATTAAGAGACTCTGAGGTTGGATTAGAAATGCTAATTTCAAGACATCCAAGTAATTCATTCTCATTGGCATTTTTCATGTTGTTTTAGAGGCTGCTGAGAAATGAAGGAACTGAACACTGAACAGTAAAGGACAAGAATCTTGAGAAGGACAACCTAAGCCTGTCCTTCCCAGCGCCTCCTTTACACTGGGAAGAAACTCCCCTGAAATTGGAGGTCCCATGGGTGCTTTTAGGGTTAAATTAAAATTTTAAAACTCCATTCTTGGCCAGATGTGTTGGCTCACACCTGTAATCCCAGCACTTTGGGAGGGTGAGACAGGCAGATCACGAGGTCAAGAGATCGAGGCCATCCTGGCCAACATGGTGAAACCCTGTCTCTACTAAAAATACAAAAATTAGCCTAGCGTGGTAGTGCATGCCTATAGTCCCCAGCTACTTGGGAGACTGAGGCAGGAGAACCGCTTGAACCTGGGAGGCGGAGGTTGCAGTGAGCCGAGATCACACCATTGCACTCCAGGCAAGACTGTCTCAAAAACAAAACAAAACAAAAAACAAAAAACAAAACTCCATTCTTGCCAAATGTCCCCTCCTGGCAGGATGGAACGGATACACTTTTTCCTATTCCCCCTGCTGAGTACGACTCAAAGCCTGGACATTGCCTATAAAACAAACATAAGGAGACTCTGAAAGGTAGAGAGGACACAGATCAGACGGGGACCCAGGAATGACAGGGTGGTCAGTTTTCTAGGTTCTGTTTTGGCCTCGAATATATCAGATTTGGAGCTGAAGAAGCCTATAACACAGAAAGGTACAGACAAAAAAAAAGGGTCTCAACAAAAGCCTGGTCTCTCTGCCAAAAGGCCAGGAAAGGGCAGCCTATGAAGACAGCAAACTTAGATGATAACTGACCACCCCTGCCAAACACTGCAGGAGAAAACTGAAACCCCATCACCTACCTCCTCAGTAAAGGCTGTGTGGGGAGCCTAGACTTCTGCTGCCTGTAACTGGGTGCCCCAACACCTGCCAGAGTGGTCCCGGACAAAGCCGAGTCAAAAGCCTGGACTTTCTCCCCCACCCAACAGTAATGAGGCACCCCACCCCCCACTGCCCACTGAGCTGGGTAGGGTAGCTGTGTCAGGGTGGGTTTATTGGAAAGTGAAGATTTTCAACACTACCCAGCAGTAATGAGGCCACCCTCCCCTTGGTGTCAGGGGAGACTACATGAAGAGCAATAACGAGGTCATACTATCTGTCCCAGCCCGGGGGGGTGGGTCAGGGGAGGTCTGTGGGATGCTGGAGCTCCCACCCTTGACCCCTCCCCGCTAAGGCATCAATGGCAGAGGGGCATCACTGCTTCCATGGCTAGTTCAATGTCAGAGGAAGCCAGCTAAACAGAAGGCTTAAAAAGTTCCAGTGTCTCAAAATATAATTCCCCAAATTCCAGATTTCAATAACAAAGTCACTCATCCTATCGAGAACCAGGAAGATATAAAATGGAATACAAATTAGACAATCACTGGGCGCAGTGGCTCATGCCTGTAATCCCAGCGCTTTGGGAGGCCAAGGCGGGCGGATCACCTGAGGTCAGGAGTTCAAGACCAGCCTGACTAACGTAGTGAAACCCCATCTCTACTAAAAATACAAAAATCAGCTGGGCATAGTAGCGGGCGCCTGTAATCCCAGCTACTCGGGAGACTGAGGCAGGAGAATTGCTTGAACCTGGGAGGCGGAGGTTGCAGTGAGCTGAGGTCACACCACTGCACTCCAGCCTGGGCGACAGAGCGAGACTCCGCCTCAAAAAAAAAAAAAAAAAAAAAAGAAAAAAAAAATTAGACACTCAATAGATGTCCAAAATAAAGATGGCAAACATATTAGAATTATCTGTCAAAAGAATAGTGGCAGCATCAAATGCTAGTGGGGATGTAGAGAAACTGCATCACTCACACATTGCTGGTGGGAATGTAAAGCGATACAGCCACTCGAGGAAACAGTCTGACAGTTTCTTAATAAAACTAAACACACAATTACCATGCATCCCAGTGACTGCACGCGTGGGCATTTATCCAAGAGAAATGAAATCTATGTTCACACAAGAAACTGCACACAAATGCTCACAGCAACTTGACTTGGAATAGTCGCAAACTGAAAACCACTCAGTTGTCCTTTAAGAGGCAAATGATTTGACAAACTGTGTTCTGTCCATGCCATGAAAGATACCACTCAGCAATAACGATTTTAAAAACACAAAGAAGAAACAATTTATACCCACAACAATCGGGATGAATTATGCTAAGCGAAAAAGCCGGTCCCCAAAAGTTACATACTTAAGATTCCATTTATATAACATTATTTTTTCTCTTTTTTATTTTTTTAATTTTAATTTTTTTTTGAGACAGGGTCTTGCTTTGTTGCCCAGGCTGGAGTGCAGTGGCATGATCTCAGCTCACTCCAATCTGCCTTCCAGGCTCGAGCAATTCTCCTGCCTCAGCCTTTTGAGTAGCTGGGATTAAAGGTGCTCACCACCACCGGCTAATTTTTTATTTTTTGTGGAGACAAGGTTTGACTATGTTACCTAGACTGGTCTTGAACTCCTGTGCTCAAGCAATCTTCCTGCCTCAGCCTCCCAAAGTGCTGGGATTACAGGCGTGAGCCACCATGCCCAGCCTGATTTAACATCCTTAAAATGAGAAAATAATTGTGAGGACTAAACTCTGACCTTGTTTTCTTCTCTTGCCCAAATTCCTATCTAAGGGGCCTGGGGAATGACACCTTACAAACCATAAAGTTTCATCAGAGAGGCTTTATCTAACCCCATATAATGTGGCCTGCTTCCCAACCTGACTCTGCTATACATCACATGATAGATAAGGAAATCAAAATATTTTAACCCCAAATATATTTCCTTGCCATATCTTGAAATTGCCCTGCAAAGTCAACTCTTGCAGGGACAAATCTGCCTTCTGTAGAGAATCCCCTTTCCCTTTCCCAGGCTTTCCTCCTGATCCAAGAGAGAATCAACTAAGAGTCTGGCACCTTTTTAAGTCTGATAAGAAACATTTACCATCTATTCCCTCTGAAGCCTGCTACCTGGAGGCTTCATATAATAAGAAGAACCTTGGTCTCCACAATCCCTTATCTTAACCCAGACATTAATTACCTTTCTGTTGATTCCAGGTCTTTAAACTCTTTCAACCAATTGCTAATCAGAAAATTTTTAAATCTACTTATAACCTGGAAGCCCCCATTCAACCCCCCCGAGTTATCCCACCTTTCTGGACTGAACCAATGTACACCTTAAAAGTATTTGATTGATGTCTCACGTCTCCCAAAAAAATGTATAAAACCAAGATGCACCCTGACCACCTTGGGCACGTGCTCTCAGTATCTCCTGAGGGCTGTGTCATGGGCCATGGTCATTCACATTTGGCTCAGAATCAATCTCTTCACATATTTTACAGAGACTCTTTTTGTCTACAGTTGAAATGGAGAACAGCTTGAGAAATGCTCAGGGTTAGCAGGCAGTGGAAGTAGGGAGGCAGTGGGAGTAAGGCAGCAGTGGGAGTAGGGAGGCAGTGGGAGTAGGCAGCAGTGGGAGTAGGGAGGCAGTGGGAGTAGGGAGGCAGTGGGAGTAGGGAGGCAGTGGGAGTAGGCAGCAGTGGAAGTAGGGAGGTAGTGGGAGTAGGGAGGCAGTGGGAGTAGGCAGCAGTGGGAGTAGGGAGGCAGTGGGAGTAGGGAGGCAGTGGGAGTAGGCAGCAGTGGGAGTAGGGAGGCAGTGGGAGTAGGGAGGCAGTGGGAGTAGGCAGCAGTGGGAGTAGGCAGCAGTGGAAGTAGGCAGCAGCGGGAGTAGGCAGCAGTGGGAGTAGGGAGGCAGTGGGAGTAGGCAGCAGTGGGAGTAGGGAGGCAGTGGGAGTAGGGAGGCAGTGGGAGTAGGGAGGCAGTGGGAGTAGGGAGGCAGTGGGAGTAGGGAGGCAGTGGGAGTAGGCAGCAGTGGGAGTAGGGAGGCAGTGGGAGTAGGGAGGCAGTGGGAGTAGGCAGCAGTGGGAGTAGGGAGGCAGTGGGAGTAGGGAGGCAGTGGGAGTAGGCAGCAGTGGGAGTAGGGAGGCAGTGGGAGTAGGGAGGCAGTGGGAGTAAGGCAGCAGTGGGAGTAGGGAGACAGTGGGAGTAGGGAGGCAGTGGGAGTAGGGAGGTAGTGGGAGTAGGGAGGCAGTGGGAGTAGGGAGGCAGTGGGAGTAGGGAGGCAGTGGGAGTAGGGAGGCAGTGGGAGTAGGGAGGTAGTGGGAGTAGGGAGGCAGTGGGAGTAGGGAGGCAGTGGGAGTAGGCAGACAGTGGGAGTAGGCAGCAGTGGGAGTAGGGAGGCAGTGGGAGTAGGCAGCAGTGGAAGTAGGGAGGTAGTGGGAGTAGGGAGGCAGTGGGAGTAGGCAGCAGTGGGAGTAGGGAGGCAGTGGGAGTAGGGAGGCAGTGGGAGTAGGCAGCAGTGGGAGTAGGGAGGCAGTGGGAGTAGGGAGGCAGTGGGAGTAGGCAGCAGTGGGAGTAGGGAGGCAGTGGGAGTAGGGAGGCAGTGGGAGTAGGCAGCAGTGGGAGTAGGGAGGCAGTGGGAGTAGGCAGCAGTGGGAGTAGGCAGCAGCGGGAGTAGGCAGCAGCGGGAGTAGGCAGCAGTGGGAGTAGGGAGGCACGGGGAGTAAGGCAGCAGTGGGAGTAGGGAGGCAGTGGGAGTAGGGAGGCACGGGGAGTAAGGCAGCAGTGGGAGTAGGGAGGCAGTGGAAGTAGGGAGGCAGTGGGAGTAAGGCAGCAGTGGGAGTAGGGAGGCAGTGGGAGTAGGCAGCAGTGGGAGTAGGGAGGCAGTGGGAGTAGGGAGGCAGTGGGAGTAGGCAGCAGTGGGAGTAGGGAGGCAGTGGGAGTAGGGAGGCAGTGGGAGTAGGGAGGCAGTGGGAGTAGGCAGCAGTGGAAGTAGGGAGGTAGTGGGAGTAGGGAGGCAGTGGGAGTAGGCAGCAGTGGGAGTAGGGAGGCAGTGGGAGTAGGGAGGCAGTGGGAGTAGGCAGCAGTGGGAGTAGGGAGGCAGTGGGAGTAGGGAGGCAGTGGGAGTAGGCAGCAGTGGGAGTAGGCAGCAGTGGAAGTAGGCAGCAGCGGGAGTAGGCAGCAGTGGGAGTAGGGAGGCAGTGGGAGTAGGCAGCAGTGGGAGTAGGGAGGCAGTGGGAGTAGGGAGGCAGTGGGAGTAGGGAGGCAGTGGGAGTAGGCAGCAATGGGAGTAGGGAGGCAGTGGGAGTAGGGAGGCAGTGGGAGTAGGCAGCAGTGGGAGTAGGGAGGCAGTGGGAGTAGGGAGGCAGTGGGAGTAGGCAGCAGTGGGAGTAGGGAGGCAGTGGGAGTAGGGAGGCAGTGGGAGTAGGCAGCAGTGGGAGTAGGGAGGCAGTGGGAGTAGGGAGGCAGTGGGAGTAGGCAGCAGTGGGAGTAGGGAGGCAGTGGGAGTAGGCAGCAGTGGGAGTAGGCAGCAGCGGGAGTAGGCAGCAGCGGGAGTAGGCAGCAGTGGGAGTAGGGAGGCAGTGGGAGTAGGGAGGCACGGGGAGTAAGGCAGCAGTGGGAGTAGGGAGGCAGTGGAAGTAGGGAGGCAGTGGGAGTAAGGCAGCAGTGGGAGTAGGGAGGCAGTGGGAGTAGGCAGCAGTGGGAGTAGGGAGGCAGTGGGAGTAGGGAGGCAGTGGGAGTAGGCAGCAGTGGGAGTAGGGAGGCAGTGGGAGTAGGGAGGCAGTGGGAGTAGGCAGCAGTGGGAGTAGGGAGGCAGTGGGAGTAGGGAGGCAGTGGGAGTAGGCAGCAGTGGGAGTAGGGAGGCAGTGGGAGTAGGCAGCAGTGGGAGTAGGCAGCAGCGGGAGTAGGCAGCAGCGGGAGTAGGCAGCAGTGGGAGTAGGGAGGCAGTGGGAGTAGGGAGGCACGGGGAGTAAGGCAGCAGTGGGAGTAGGGAGGCAGTGGAAGTAGGGAGGCAGTGGGAGTAAGGCAGCAGTGGGAGTAGGGAGGCAGTGGGAGTAGGCAGCAGTGGGAGTAGGGAGGCAGTGGGAGTAGGGAGGCAGTGGGAGTAGGCAGCAGTGGGAGTAGGGAGGCAGTGGGAGTAGGGAGGCAGTGGGAGTAGGCAGCAGTGGGAGTAGGGAGGCAGTGGGAGTAGGGAGGCAGTGGGAGTAGGCAGCAGTGGGAGTAGGGAGGCAGTGGGAGTAGGGAGGCAGTGGGAGTAAGGCAGCAGTGGGAGTAGGGAGACAGTGGGAGTAGGGAGGCAGTGGGAGTAGGGAGGTAGTGGGAGTAGGGAGGCAGTGGGAGTAGGGAGGCAGTGGGAGTAGGGAGGCAGTGGGAGTAGGGAGGCAGTGGGAGTAGGGAGGCAGTGGGAGTAGGGAGGCAGTGGGAGTAGGGAGGCAGTGGGAGTAGGGAGGTAGTGGGAGTAGGGAGGCAGTGGGAGTAGGGAGGCAGTGGGAGTAGGCAGACAGTGGGAGTAGGCAGCAGTGGGAGTAGGGAGGTAGTGGGAGTAGGCAGCAGTGGAAGTAGGGAGGTAGTGGGAGTAGGGAGGCAGTGGGAGTAGGCAGCAGTGGGAGTAGGGAGGCAGTGGGAGTAGGGAGGCAGTGGGAGTAGGCAGCAGTGGGAGTAGGGAGGCAGTGGGAGTAGGGAGGCAGTGGGAGTAGGCAGCAGTGGGAGTAGGGAGGCAGTGGGAGTAGGGAGGCAGTGGGAGTAGGCAGCAGTGGGAGTAGGGAGGCAGTGGGAGTAGGCAGCAGTGGGAGTAGGCAGCAGCGGGAGTAGGCAGCAGCGGGAGTAGGCAGCAGTGGGAGTAGGGAGGCAGTGGGAGTAGGGAGGCACGGGGAGTAAGGCAGCAGTGGGAGTAGGGAGGCAGTGGAAGTAGGGAGGCAGTGGGAGTAAGGCAGCAGTGGGAGTAGGGAGGCAGTGGGAGTAGGCAGCAGTGGGAGTAGGGAGGCAGTGGGAGTAGGGAGGCAGTGGGAGTAGGCAGCAGTGGGAGTAGGGAGGCAGTGGGAGTAGGGAGGCAGTGGGAGTAGGCAGCAGTGGGAGTAGGGAGGCAGTGGGAGTAGGGAGGCAGTGGGAGTAGGCAGCAGTGGGAGTAGGGAGGCAGTGGGAGTAGGCAGCAGTGGGAGTAGGCAGCAGCGGGAGTAGGCAGCAGCGGGAGTAGGCAGCAGTGGGAGTAGGGAGGCACGTGGGAGTAAGGCAGCAGTGGGAGTAGGGAGGCAGTGGGAGTAGGGAGGCAGTCGGGGAGTAAGGCAGCAGTGGGAGTAGGGAGGCAGTGGGAGTAGGGAGGCAGTGGGAGTAAGGCAGCAGTGGGAGTAGGGAGGCAGTGGGAGTAGGGAGGTAGTGGGAGTAGGGAGGCAGTGGGAGTAGGCAGCAGTGGGAGTAGGGAGGCAGTGGGAGTAGGCAGCAATGGGAGTAGGGAGGCAGTGGGAGTAGGGAGGCAGTGGGAGTAGGCAGCAGTGGGAGTAGGGAGGCAGTGGGAGTAGACAGCAGTGGGAGTAGGGAGGCAGTGGGAGTAGGCAGCAGTGGGAGTAGGGAGGCAGTGGGAGTAGGCAGCAGTGGGAGTAGGGAGGCAGTGGGAGTAGGGAGGTAGTGGGAGTAGGGAGACAGTGGGAGTAGGCAGCAGTGGGAGTAGGGAGGCAGTGGGAGTAGGGAGGCAGTGGGAGTAGGGAGGTAGTGGGAGTAGGGAGGCAGTGGGAGTAGGCAGCAGTGGGAGTAGGGAGGCAGTGGGAGTAGGCAGCAGTGGGAGTAGGGAGGCTGTGGGAGTAGGGAGGTAGTGGGAGTAGGGAAGCAGTGACTACAGAAGGACATGGTGAGGGGTCCCAGTTGAGATGGAAATATCCTACATCTTGACTGTATCTGTGTCAATATCCTGGTGCTGATGTTGTATTATAGTTTTGTAATAGGTTGCTATTGGGGGTAACTGTGTAAGGGGTACACAAAATCCCTCTGTATCATTTCTTAGAAGTGCATGAAGCTACAATTATCTCAAAGCAAAAAATTTAAAGACAAAAAAATGAACCTCATTCTTCTGCTTCCAGCTAGAGTGGCTAGCCAGGTTAAATAGTTTTGATATTTCTAGAACCTAGCATGGGACTCCTTTCATACACTGAAGTGAAATATCTAGTGAAAAATTGATCACAAGTTAGAACAGCCTGAAGGGCTCTGTCCATGGAAATGTCTCCTGTCCACTGTCCCCTTCATCTCAGCCTCTGTGGGGACACAGCAGAGTGAGGCTATATTATAAGATAAAGCCTTTTGTTATTTGTGATTTCTTGGGCAAGTTCTTCAACTGCTTGTTTCTGTTAGTAAAATATACACAATAGTACCTGTTTTCTGAAGTTTTTATAAAGAGTAAATATGGAAAAGTGGGAAACAATGGGTGTTCATAGCTATGATTCAGATTAAACAATAGGTAGTAGATTATTGTAATGGAATAAAGAAGGCAAAATTAGTAGAAATATAAAATTTACTGAAAATTATACAAAGGAGAAAATTGTTCTTTGTTCTGTTTTTCTCTTTATGCCTTCTTTGGATTAATCAATTATTTTTATCAATCCCTTGTTATCTCCTTCTATTGGCTTTTCTTTGTTATACATTTCTCTATTATTCTTTTAGTGGTTACTATATATTATCATACACATCCTTCACTTATTAGATATACCAGTAATTTTTTTTATCATTTCCAGGAGAATGTAAAGAGCTTACAACAAGTTAAAGCTGTTTATCTTACCTGCCTTTATACATATATATATATTTTGAGACTAAGTCTCGCTCTGTCACCAAGGCTAGAGTGTAGTGGCATGATCTCAGCTCATTGCAACCTTTGCCTCCCAGGTTCAGGTGATTCTCCTGCCTCAGCTTCCTGAGTAGCTGGGATTACAGGCATGTGCCACCACACCTGGCTAATTTTTGTATTTTTGGCAGAGACAGGGTTTCACCATGTTGGCCAGTTTGGTCTCGAACTCTTGACCTCAAGTGATCTGCCTGCCTCAGCCTCCCAAAGAGCTGGGATTACAGGCATAAGCCACCATGCCCTGCCTATCCTACCTGACTTTTGTGATAACATTTTGCATTCTGATTTTATATTTTAAGTCTCAATGCTACATTATCATTTGATACAGTTGATGATATGTTAAAATTTACACACACATTTGCCTCTTTTAATGCTCATTATTTCTTCCTGTTTTACTGTGCATTTACCTGGAATCAAAAAAATCCTTTCAGTATTCCTTTCTCTTTTTTTGGTAGAGTCAGGGTCTTTCTATGTTGCCCAAGCTGGACTCAAACTCCTGGGCTCAAGTGATCCTCCTCCCTCAAATTTCTGAGTAGCTGGGACTGCAGGTGCACACCACAGTGCCTCGATTAGTATTTCCTTTTTTAATATTAAATGACCATGAATTCTGTCAGGATTTTCTAAATCTAAAGATGTTTTTATTTCTGATTCACTGTTGGAGAATATTTTTGCTACATACAAAATTCTACATTAGTAGCTGTTTTCTTTCAAAACATTAGGTATACCAATTCCATTGCTTTTTGGTTCCCACCGTATTGGTTGAGAAATCAGCTGTCAGTCTTATTACTGTAGCTTTAAAAGTAAAGTCATAGCAAAAATATTTCCTAGTATAAAATAATTCCTATAATTCTATTTTACACACACACACACACACACACACACATATACATATAAACTAAAGTTCTTTTACATGTTCTAAGTCCATGGATACGTTTGTTAAGGTTCCAAATTAAAATGAAGAATGTAAGCTAATTCATCAATCTAGAGTACAAAAGATAGAAACAGGGTGATCACACTAATAGACCACATTCTTTTACATATTACAAACATACTAAGTTATCCATTATGCACAGATTTGGTTTTAATTTTTAAACCATTTTGCATTTAATTCTAACACTTTCTGGAGTTAAAAGATTTCTATTTGCTAAAAAAGACAGTTAAAATCTTATTTTACTGAGGTTACATAATTCTAAAATATTTGGGAGTTGATATATATAAGATTATGGAAACTCAATACATTAAAGTTAACTGAGATATCTTAGGGCCAAAGATTTTAATTGTGTAAGAGATCTTCTTATATACTAATTGAGCCAAAAGAGCTCCTTTTTAGAAATACTGGATCATGAGCCTCAAACTTGTAACAAAGTTGGTCTCAAAGCTTATGTAGCCCTTTATACCAGGAGTCACGATATTTTCATTAATTTTTAATTCAAATGTCAGATGTCAACAACTCCTACCCAGGATGATTACTTGTTTGGATTTTCTACTTCCTTTTTATTTTAAAGATATTTAAACACATTCTTAGTCAAGCTATATGGACTTTGTACTTTATGAGATTTTTAAACTTTTTTTAGAATTATGCAATTCTTAGGAATTTTTAATATTTTTATTTAATATTTATTTATTTATTTATTATTTGAGCTGGAGTCTCCCTCTGTCACCCTGGCTGGAGTGCAGTGGTGCGATCTTGACTCACTGCAACCTCTGCCTCCCGGGTTCAAGCAATTCTCCTGCCTCAGCCTCCCCCAGTAGCTGGGACTAAAGGTGCACGCCACCACGCCCAGCCAATTTTTTTTTTTTTTTTTTTTTTTTGTATTTTTAGTAGAGACGAGGCTTCACCACGCTGGCCAGGCTGGTCTCAAACTCTTGACCTCAGGTGATCCGCCCTCCTCAGCCTCCCAAAGTGCTGAGATTACAGGCATGAGCCACTGTGCCTGGCCAATTCTTATGAATGTTTTTAAAAGCTATCTGGCTAATTTCAGACATCCCACATGACTTTGCTGGAGTTGTGGGTCATAGTATTTTAGGTTATTATGACACTCCATTCTCCACATCACCCTCCTCCCTCCCTTGGACCTTGGGTGGCTTCTGCTTATAAACTTCCTGTGACAATGGAAGTATAGAGAAGAGGAGAGTGATCAGGAGCAGGATCTGAAAATTGCCCTTAACTTCCAGGAAAGGAGCAATTGGACATTGGGACATTGGGATTTTTTTCTTGTTTTTATTTATTTATTTTTTAGACAGAATCTTGCTCTGTCACCCAGGCTGGAGTGCAGTAGCATAATCTTGGCTCATTGCAACCTCCACCTCCCAGATTCAAATGACCCTCATGCCTCAGCCTCCCAAGTAGCTGGGATTGCAGGCACATGCAACTGCGTCCAGCTAATTTTTGTATTTTCAGTAGAGAAGGGGTTTCACCATGTTGTCCGGGCTGGTCTCGAATTCCTGACCTCAGGTGATCCACCTGCCTTGGCCTCCCAAAGTGCTGGAATTACAGGCGTGAGCCACTGTGCCTGGCCAACACTGGGATTTCTTACAGGTTGCTCCACAAAGTTCTCTAGTTGTAAAAAAGGAGTCAGGATTCAGGCAAGAACCCTGTCTCCAGAAACAAAGGCAGTGAATTTGGGGTGAATCACTCGAAGTTGGGGACAGAGTGCAAAAGGGTGAGGAACACCTTCAGTTATGCCATTTTAATGTTCTGCTATGCTGATGCTCTTGTTCCATCCCCTTTATGTGGCTTGGCTGTTGAAGAGATGAGTGTTTAAAAGGAGAGTGTCATGTTGTGGAAAGAACATTGAACTCAGAGCTAAAAGATCTGGGCTGGAGTGAGCATTGCTTCCATCACCTAACAACTCTGTTTCCTTGGGCAGGTCACCTAACTTCTGAACCTGCTCTTTAAAAGTTAAGTTAGAAATCTCATAGGGTGGTTACAAAACACAAATGGAATAGAAACATGAAGAATATCACCCCCCAAATGCTGAGTTCATCCTTAGACTCTTACAGTCCATATTCATTGAATTAATGGATTTAAATAGGCAGCCATTGACTTGCAGATGACCCTCATTCCCTGCTGCGCTGAAAATTGACTTTCCCTGAGATTGCTCTGGCAGCCCCTGCTATGAGCCCTTGACATCAGCAGGGAAAGCTTAATGGAGTCTGGCCTATTATGTTTTCCACGTGTAATGCTTACCCTCAAGTTAGGAATGAGTGGAGAATGTTGTTCATTCTTCAGTGGCATCCCAAAACTATTAACATTTCTCCTTAGAGACTATTCTCTACCAAAGATACCTTCTCTGCTTGGTCTTATCATTCTTGTTTTGCTATATTTGTACACATATCTTGGTCTTTTCCATGTCCCAGTACCTGTTGTCCTTGATGTTGTAAGCCTTTTTCTCTCCTCTTATTCTCTGTTCAATGTCTTGTGAGAATGGTCGAGTTTATGTACAATAACTTTTCCAGTGCTCACCTACCTTGGCCTTTGCCTCTACCACTTAGCTAAAATGACTCATTCAGGCTCTCTAGTGATGTCTTGCTTGCCAAACCCAGTGATCTTTTCTTAGTTAATATCTTACTTGGGCTCCCTGAAGCTATGGAGACAGCTAACCAGACTTTCTTGAAACCCTCTCTTTTCTTTGTATGCCTGGTTTTGTGTGATTGTGGCTCTCCAGACACTACTGGTATAGTTCCATTCCTGTCTAATGTACACATTCCCCAAGGATTGGCCAATGTCTTTTGTTTTTTTCTTCGTTTGTGCTTTCTCAGAAAATCAAATCTGCTGGGCTCAGTGGCTCACACCTGTAATCCCAGCACTTTGGGAGGCCAAGGTGGATGGATAGCTTGAGCTCAGGAGTTTGAGACCAGCCTGGGCAACATATAAGACCCCATCTCTACCAAAAATACAAAAAATAAGCTGGGTGTGGTGGCGTGCACCTGTGGTCCCAGCTACTTGGGAGGCTGAGGAGGGAGAATTGCTTGAGCTCAGGAGGTCAAGGCTGCAGTAAGCTGAGATCACAACACTGCATTCCAGCCTGGGTGACAGAGCCAGACCCTGTCAAAAACAAAAAAATCAAATATTCCATAACTTCAACCATTACCTCTGTTCCAATGACTTAAAGGCTACATCCCCACTATCTTATTTGCTAGATTCATTTAACACATCTTGTATAGGGCTGCAGAAGATAAAAGAATTGAGACTTAGGTCATGGGAGAAAGGCAGGAAACAAAGGAGTGGTAAGGAGAGTATTAAAAAGAACATCATGCCAGAACATCTGGGCATGGTGGTTTATACCTGTAATTCCAGCACTTTGAGAGGCCATGGCGGGCAGATCACTTGAGGTCAGGAGTTTGAGACCAGCTGGGCCAACATGGTGAAACCCCGTCTCTACTAAAAATGCAAAAATTAGCCAGGCATGGTGGTGGGCACCTGTAATCCTAGCTACTCAGGAGGCCGAGGCACAAGAATTGCTTGAACCCAGGAGGCAGAGGCTGTAGTGAGCCAAGATCGCACCACTGCACTCCAGCCTGGGCAACAGAGCGAGACTCAGTCTCAAAAAAGAAACAAAAACAAAGAACATAATGCCAAAATAAATTGAACTTAAATATGTTCAACACCTATTTAAAAAATTCTTAAATTGACTGAAAAACAAATTCCATTTATATATGTTTATAAGAGGCCCATGGAAAACAAAAGTGGCATATCTGAAATGCCTAGTGTAAAATTAAATAACTAAAACTAACTCAAAAAATAAAAAGAACAAACAGATGTGTAAAAATTGAATACAAAGAAAGCAGGAATAAAGTACATGTAAGTAAAATTCAAGAAAAAATTTATGGGACCAAAGGACCGTTTTCAATTGCTAAAGGATATAATTTACAGTGATATACAATTGCTATGAATCTTTCTCTGAATAATATTACATCAAACTTAAAGGTCAAATCATTAGAAAATCAAGAAGCAGCAGCAAGAAGTTAGGCAGCAGTGGGTAGATTTTCACATAGCCATGAGGTAGAATTTCAGCCATGCGGTAGAATGTTCTATGCCCATATGTTGAAACTAATGTGCACACAAAAAAGCTTACATTATTAGCTTTTCATTTATAGGAGGAAGAGATCAAGATATATCAGGCATTAAGAAGGCTTTTCTTTCCCCAGCACAACCTTGGATAAGTCACTCAGATTCTGCTTGAGTGTTTCAACCTATGCTACACAGAGGAAATATATGGCCTGGAACAGTAATGGATGAATGACATTGAAGGCTGTTTTGAAGTTGAAGAACAACCTAATTCAATGGCCATGGAGCTTCAGCAGTATTGAGCTATTAGTTGTTAGAGTACATTTAGAAATTTTAAATCTAGATGCTTGGGAAATGGAATATCATATTTACCTGAGCAATAACATTGATATGGAATGTCACAAGACAATTTGAGAAATCTCCAGGAAAACACTAATTTGACAATAATAGTTTGCACTTTTCTCACATTGAGTCCATGGCTTTTATAATGCCAAACTATAATCATGCCCTTGGGAAGACTAATGGGAATTAGGAGAGTTAATTATTAGTGGAGGCAAGAATAAGATTCAGAATGTTGTGTAAAACTGTCGACTCTCAAGGTTAGCCGTGACCTTCAGTTTCATCCAGTCCAACCCCTTGCTTAACTCTTGAATCCCTCTAGAGGATTCCTGCTGGGGGGTTGTGCCATTGGCAGCAAAGTCATTACAATTTGATGCAGTCTATTCTAACCTTTGTAGTGCTGACCTTTCAAAAGCCTTTATTTTGATTCTGTACTTTCTACTTACAGGTTCCAGCTGTATAATAAATAATCAATTGGAAAAAGTCTAACCTCTTTTCCACATGTATATTAGTTAGAGACAGAAACCACACCATTCATTGGAACAGGGAAAATATAATTTAATGTATTGCTAATTACAGAAAGTGGTTAATTACCTAAAAAATAAAAAAGGACTGTAAGAGGTCAAGAAGCAGGTACAAAGGAGCAGCTACTTATTGCAGGACAAAGAAAGTGGATAACAGAGGAACAAAAGACCAAGAGAGCCCCACCCCACACCAAGGCTGAGATTCAGACCTCACTGAAGAGAGCATGGCTACAGCAGGAACACACAGCCTGACATATGCAAGAAACTTGGCAGAGGATGGCCGGGCACAGTGGCTCACGCCTGTAATCCCAGCACTATGGGAGGCTGAGGCAGGTGGATCACGAGGTCAGGAGATTGAGACCATCCTGGCTAACATGGTGAAACCCCGTCTCTACTAAAAATACAAAAAAATAGCCGGGTGTGGTGGCGTGTGCCTGTAGTCCCAGCTACTCAGAAGGCTGAGGCAGGAGAATGGTGTGAACCTGGGAGGCGGAGCTTGCAGTGAGTTGAGACTGTGCCACTGCACTCCAGCCGGGTGACAGAGTGAGACTCCGTCTCAAAAAAAAAAAAAAAAAAAAAAAAAAAAACTTGGCAGAGGACACAGGCTGGTGCTGGTCTTTAGAAGCAGCTGCCATTGACAGAGGTTGTGGGCAGGTGGGAGTGGCTCAGAAGTGGCCACTGGTGGAGAGTATGGCTAGAGAGAGTTCCTCTGCAAAGGTGCTGGGCTCCTGTGTTAGTCTGTTTTCATGCTGCTAATAAAGACATACCCAAAACTGGGTAATTTATAAAGAGGTTTAATTGACTCACAGTTCCACAGGGCTGGGGAGGCCTCATAATCATGGTGGAAGGCAAAGGAGGAGCAAAGTCACATCTTACATGATGGTAGGCAAGAGAGCTTGTGCAGGGGATCACCTATTTATAAAACTATCAGATCTTGTGAGACTTGACTTATTCACTACCACAAGAACAGTATAGGGGAAACTGCCCCCATTATTCAATTATCTCCACTTGGCCCTGCCCTTGGCATGTGGGGATTATTACAATTCAAGGTGAGATTTGGGTAGGGACACAGCAAACCATATCATTCTGCCCCTGGCCCTTCCCAAATCTCATGCTCTTACATTTCAAAACCAATCATGCCTTCCCAATAGACCCCCAAAGTCTTAACTCATTTCTGCATTAACTCAAAAGTCCACAGTCCAAAGTCTCACCTGAGACAAGGCAAATCAAAAGCAAGGTAGTTACTTCCTAGATACAAGGGGGTACAGGCATTGGGTAAATACACCCATTCCAAATGGGAGAAATTGGCCAAAACAAAGAGGATACAGGCCCCATGAAAGTCCGAAATCTATAGTGCAGTCATTAAACTTTAAAGTTCCAAAATGATCTCCTTTGACTCCATGTCTCACATTCAGGTCATGCTGATGTAAGAGGTGGGCTCCTGCAGCCTTGGGCAGCTCTGCCTCTGTGGCTTTGCAGGGTAGAGCACCCTTCCTGGCTGCTTTCATGGGCTGGTGTTGAGTATCTGTGGCTTTTCAAGGTGCATGGTGCAAGCTGTCAGTGGATCTACCATTCTGGGGTCTGGAGGATGGTGGCCCTCTTCTCATAGCTCCATTAGGAAGTGCCCGAGTAGGTACTCTGTGTGAGGGCTCCTATCCCATATTTCCCTTCCACACTGCCCTAGCAGAGGTTCTCTATGAGGGCCCCACCCCTGGAGCAAATGTCTGCCAGGACACCCAGGTATTTCCATACAGCCTCTGAAATCTAAGTGGAGGTTCCCAAACCTCAGTTCTTGACTTCTGTGCACCCAGAGGCCCAACACCATGTGTAAGCCACCAAGGCTGGGGGCTTGCACCCTCTGAAGCAATGGCCTGAGCTGTAGGTTGGCCACTTTTAGCCACAGCTGGAACTGAAACAGCTGGAATGCAGGGTACCAGGTTCAGAGGCTGCATAGAAAAGGGGGTCCCTGGGCCTGGCCCAGGAAACCATTTTTCCTTCCTAGGGCTCCAGGCCTGTGAGGGGAGGGACTGCTGCAAAGGTGTCTGGCATGCCCTGAAGAAATTTTCCCCGTTGTCTTGGTGATTAGCATTTGGCTCCTGGTTACTTATGCAAATTTCTGCTGCCACCTTCAATTTCTCCCCCAATATGGGTTTTTCTTTTCTACTGCATTGTCAGGCTGCAGATTTTCTAAACTTTTATGATCTGTCACCTCTTGAATGCTTTGCCACTTAGAAATTTCTTTCACCAGATACCCTAAATCATCTCTCTTAAGTTCAAAGTTCCATAAATCTTTAGGGCAGGGGCAAAGTGCCACCAGTCTCCTTGCATAGCAAGAGTGACCTTTACTCCAGTTCCCAACAAGTTCCTCATCTTCATCTGAGACCACCTCAGCCTGGATTTTATTGTCCACATCACTATCGGCATTTTGGTCAAAGCCATTCAACAAGTCTCTAGGAAGTTCCAAACTTTCCCACATTTTTCTCTCTTCTTCTGAGCCCTCAAAACTGTTCCAACTTCTGCCTATTACTCAGTTCCAAAGTTACTTCCACATTTTTGGGTATCTTTACAGCAGCACCCCACTCTACCAGTACCAATTTACCGTATTAGTTTGTTCTCACACTGCTAATAAAGACATACCCAAGACTGAGTAATTTATAAAGAAGTTTCAGTGACTCACAGTTCCACATAGCTGGGGAGGCCCACAATCATGGTGGAAGGTGAATGAGGAGCAAAGTCGCATCTTAACATGGCAGCAGGGAAGAGAGGTTGTGCAGGGGATCACCTATTTATAAAACCATCAGATCTTGTGAGACTTATTCACTACAACAAGAACAGTATGGGGGAAACTGCTCCCGTGATTCAATTATCTCCACCTGGCCCTGCCCCTGACACATGGGGATTATTACAATTTAAGGTGATATTTGGGTGGGGACACAGCCAAACCATATCAGGTCCCATGCTGAATAGACTGCAAAGTGGAAGAGTTTCTGCTGCTGTGGCCTGATAGGGTCACTCCAGCACCCTCTGTTGATGAAGCCTAACATTCCAGCAGCTGGAGAAGGAGAAATGTTTACAAGGTCCAGCTATAGTCCCACAAATCAGGGCAAAGAAAGTTGGTGGATTTGGACCTGGGAGATGCTATGGCATCCAATACAACAGCATTCCTTTTATAATATAAAGAGACTCAATATGTTTTTCTAAGTCCTCCATTTGTTCTTTCACTCCACACCCTCTTCAAAAATCACCTCTAAATACATGATCTCAAATCCAAACCTAATATTTGGACCTGGGAGATGCTATGGCATCCAATATAACAGCATTCCTTTTATAATATAAAGAGAATCAATATGTTTTTCTAAGTTCTCCATTTGTTCTTTCTCGCCACACCCTCTTCAAAAATCACCTCTAAATACAAGATCTCAAATCCAAACCTAATATTTTCCCAAACTGTAACTCTGTATTTCCAGTAATTTGCTGGTTATCTACACTGGAGTCTCTCATAAATACTTAAACGCATTACATGTGGAGTTACTTTAGTTTTCACCCAACTCTTTTCAGTAAAAATATTTTTCCTGTCTTCATCTTATCCCAACATGGCAGATAATCTCCCTCATAGCCTATCAATATGTTGTTCATCTCACTTTGTCTTGTAAAGAATTTTTTCTCCTTTCTGACTCAAACTACCTTAATTCTGATTTCTTCCTGTTAGCTGCCAATCTGATCTTCCTGTTTCTAAGTTTCCCCTCAGAATCACTATATACATTACTATCCCCATTACTCAGATCATTAATTTCTTCTGCTCCAAAACCTTCAATGACTTTCCATTGCCTACAGTTAGCATTTCCAAGATGTATTTCACCTGTTCCAGTACTGCTTTTTGTTAAAAGCTCTTTTAACTTTAATTTTCAGTATCCACTGTACATCAGGAACTTCCAAGAGCAACCATTAGAATGTAGTAGCAATCAGCTGGGCATGGTGGCTCATGCCTGTAATCCCAGCACTTTGGGAGGCCGAGGTGGGCGGATCACCTGAGGTCAGGAGTTCAAGACTAGCCAGGCCAACATGGCAAAACCCCATCTCTACTAAAAATACAAAAATCAGCTGAGTGTGGTGGTGGGCACCTGTAATCCCAACTATTTGGGAGGGTGAGGCTGAAGAATCACTTGAACCCAGGAAGTGGAGGTTGCAGTGAGCTGAGATTGCACGACTGTACTCCGGCCTGGGCGACAGAGCTAGACTCTGTCGGGGAAAAAAAAAAAAAAGAATGTAGTAGCAATCGAGGGGAAATGAGGGCAGAATCCCTACTCCTGGATTTACCTGTTGGGGACAGGTATGCCTCACAGGCATCAGTCTCTCCATCAGGAGTCAGAATGGTGATATCAAAAAGAAGGCAATGTCTCGTCTCCTTTAATGGAAAAATATTTGTGCGTCACCAGAAGCTGCCTCCTGGGGAAATATTTATACAGAGATTTTATTAATGACGAGAGAGGTAAATAGTTCTGGATGTTTAAGACAAGGCAAACAGGTTTTCTTTGTTTTGATTCACCTTGTTTGCATGTTTCTATCCTCAGGGTAAAATGTTTTTATTGGTTCAGATTCTGTTTAACTTGGAATTAGATGTGTTTGTCTGCACGAGGAGCTCGGGTTTAAGGGTTCAATTTCTAACACTCCCCTATATAACTTGAGTCCCACCTCAGCACCCTGTATCCATGAGGGACGTCAGCGAACTGGACATAAAAGTCCATTCTGTGGCTGGGCCAGTACTTGGTTCAGTGGCTTAATTCGGGCCTTTTTGATTAGACTGGAATGGAGAACTCAGCCTGGGACTGTAGGCCCAAGTGGAATTTTCCACTTCCCCAGGAGTCTGAATTTGGGGGCAAGTACTCTATGCTATAAGAAGAGAAAGAAACAAAGACAGGGCTTTCCTCTACAAAGAAGCCCTGAATCCAGTTACCCTGGAAGGGAGGCTTTTTATGTGAAGTGAGTAGATGGGGTAAAAGAACACATACTGTGCTAACTCACAAGAGACAGATGTATAACACCAGAGTGCTTCTTTCTGAATTTATCATGGGAAAGGTGGATGGAACATGACTGATGGTACACAACCCCCTGCCTGTTCTCTCCTCTCCCAATCCTATTCTTTGTCCTGTTGAGAGCTGGCACCAGCAGCAGTGGCAATGGGACAGAGCACAGGAATTCGGGAAGACTGACTTGGCTGGTGGGAGAGAAGATCTGGCCACATAGACAGTGACATGTTCAGGAAGAGGCTGGATCAGAGTTTCAAGCAGCTGCAGAGCGTAAACAGCTCACACAGACACACAGGCAGACTTGGTGCAAGAAGCCTAGGGAGACTCAAAGAAAATAAACACATCTGCAAAATGTTCAACTGTGGTCAAGTCTATATACTGGAATGCTTTAGAACTGGCAGAAAAAAGATAAGCCATTAACTACATGCGTATGGGTGATTAGGAAGACAGTGTAAACTATGACTCTTCTTACAGCTTTAACGGTACAGGATTAGAAACTATTACAATATTGGGGGAAAAAAAAACATGAAACCCACAAATTAACCAAGTAAATGACTTTTATGATGACTGGCAAAAGTATGGACACACCAGTGTTTGAAAGTATTCCACACGTGTATGTGGTTATCCCCCCCTATACACACAGACTTGGGGTTAACTTCTCTTCATTTGTAGATCCACGGATCCTGGATCATTTCCCAGAAACCCGAAGACAAAGCTTATTTGTGATCTTACTGATCTTACTGGAATGTTTTTAGCAAGGCTGGGATTTTTCTCCCCAGGTGCCGGCTACACACTTAAACAAGACATTTTAAGATTCAACCTTCCGCTTGGTCTCTCCTGGTTTCTTACCAGCATTCACTCGCTTGCAACAGAGGATGCCTTACGCAGCGCCTCTTCCTGCCATCAGCATGGGGACCAGGCTGCTTTCCTGGGCCTAGAAGTCATTACACAAAACCCTTCTTTCGTTCAAAACAGATCCTCACTGTGGAGAACCTTTGGTTCTCAGGTGAAACCGGCGCCTCTGTAAATAGCTGCTGGGGAAAACTGCTTTCGTGGGTGGAAGCGAGGCTGGTGTGTGAGTTTTAGCATCAACAACCATCTGCTCTTGGCTGTGGCAGAGGTTTCCATGCCGTATACCCTGCAATGGAGGAATTCCCTTTTCAGTCCTGCTGTGAGCAAGAAGAGAGATCCCAGCAGGTAGGCTCCGATCCCCTCCCACTTTCTCGTGGAGCGCCTCCATTTACACTTCTGCAAACACCTCTTTTGTTTAAAAACATTTTGTTAACCTGGGCTTTGAATGACCAATGGTGAAAAAGAAGACTGATCCATTGCTAAGGCACTGATCATCCAGTTGGTTCAGATTCTTGCCCCTTCTGCCTGTTAGCCTTTGACACCAGAAGGTGAAGAAATGGGACTCAAACTTGTCCGTTTTCATGCTCATCTATTAGAAACTACTAGAAACTGAGCATCCTACCCAGAAACTGTTGTGCCTGTAGAAGTTCAGTGTGCAGGAGTCAAGACCTGCTCTCAGACCATGGATTTATCTCTGACATTGTAGCCCTTGTGCTGTAATTGTCTGGATGCATAAGAATGGAGACCAGTGATGTGCTAGCAAATGTTTAACATCTGGATTTGGGGGAGGAAGCCTTGGTTTGTAGCATTTGCTGCTTGCTGTCGTGTAAATACTTCCATGCTGGGTGTGGTGGCGTGCATCTGTAGTCTCAGCTATGTGGGAGACTGAGGTGGGAGGATTGCTTGAGCCTGGGAGGTGGAGGCTGCAGTGAGCAGTGATCGTACCACTGCACTCCAGCCTGGGTGACAGAGTGAGACCCTGTCTCAAAAACAAAAACAAACAACAGCAACAAAAACCATATGCTTCAGGGCTCTGCTCCTTGGGTTCTGGCAACCAGTAAATACATTTTAGTATGAGGTGAATTTAAGTTAACCCGTTATTGTTATCACTTCTTAAGAAAGTTGTAACCAAAACTATCTCAAATTGTGAAATAATTTTCATTCTAGGTACAACAATTATGATAATAAATAAATTATAAAAACTCTACCAGGCATTACTAGCTCTAAATTTAGAAGGTAGGGCAGGTGCTTGGGAGACTTGTGTTTTTCCCTGAGAGAGCACTGGGGAAACAACTGCCCGCAGATGAAACTGACCCCTCGCGGGGTTCCAGGTCCCGACCCTCATCAATTTCTCACCAGTGACTCAGAAAGGCAGTCAGAACAGAGGTTCTTCTCCCCAGTTAAGGAATGAGGAGTCTGGGAACCTTTCATAAAAGTCCCAGAGCTGGAAGTGACTTCGGCTTCCCAGCACGGGGACTTTTCCTGCCCCTGACACACGGAGCCGGCTGGCTGGTTCCTGGAATTTAAAACCAGCAAGGGGAATGAAAGCAGAGCCTGGAAATGTCACAGTTATTATGATTTGTTCTTGCTTATTACTTCACCTCCAACCGATTGTTTTCCTCCTCTTTGTGAGATTTGTTAGTAAACTTGCTTCTGAGACTGAGGAAGAACAGCATTTCAAGCTGCCGGGAGAGACAGGCTGGATGCTGAGCCAGATGTGCTATTGCTTTTTCTTAACATGCTGAGAGGTCAGGGGAGTGGCCAGCTCAGAACTGGATCTCTAGCCTGAGGTGTTTCACATTCCATTGTTTATTCATAAGCTGTTTTTTTAATATTTATTTTTTTATTTTTTCATTTTAACTACAAAGTACATCTATTTCCTTAGGGAGGCTACATTATAGAAACTTACTAAGCAGAGCATTATGAGTCTCTTAAATTCTTAGACAATTGGAAAGTAACCATTCTAGATAAGACAGTACCGACTGTGGGGTAACTTTGACTTCATTGTCCATGTAAACAATCACAGGTGTGCTTGGTTTATTGTTATCCACACTCCTGCAAATGTCCTGTAAATTTCTTCAAGTTTGCACTACGGCAGTCACGAAAAATTATTCTGTTAAGCCCGCTTTTCCCTCATCATGCGATTTCACTTTAAGATGTTTGGGTTGACTTTCAAATTCTACATCCTCATCTTATCCTCTGCACCTCTAGAAACCTGGCAGTTAGGCAGCTCTGAATTATACATGAATTATACATTTGTATTATACATGAATACAAATAATAATTCAAAACCAAAAATACCTCCTTTAATAATGAAGGTTGAACTGTGCCTTTGGACAATAACAATGTGCTCCAGAGTAAAAAAAATCTGCATTGGTTTTTGTGTGCCTGTTTCTCAACTACTGAAACATGCACACACACCTAACAGAACTGAAGAATGTTTTGAAAAAGACATCAGGCAAGAGGACTCCAGAGTTAACACAAACTAAGATAAGTCATTCAAGGGAAAATTTATGGTGAATGCTTATAAATATAGGCATAGTTCAGATGACCATGATTTTAATTAACAAAAGGAATTTATATCTCTTTGGCCTGCCTTTGAAAATGTTGTTCATCTTTAACAATCTGCACCATAACTTCTTCCCTTAGAAGACAGCTTTAATAGAATTTATGTAATAGAATTGAAATCCAGGCTCATTTTATGCAGAAACATTGTTTACAACAGGCCTCGTGTGTTTAATTTTGTTTTGACATTGATCTATTATGTGTGGGCCCCCAACAGTAAGTCTGAAATTGTCAGCAGAGAGAGAATTGAGTCATAAAATCTTAGAACTGGAAAGCATCTCAAGGCTCAATCATGACAGCCTCCTCTAGCAGCATCTACAGCGGGCCTCTGCCTCAGTACTGTGACAAGACATTATTTTGTGAATCTCAGATGTCTTTAGGTGATAGAAAGCCTCCCTCGGAAAAAGCATTCTGCAAGAGCATAGGATGAGGATTTTTAGTGGCTGCTGTTTGATTCAGTGTCATGATTCTGAGCACTTTGAGCTAGCTATGTGTTTGGTTGCATTTACTATATATGTGTATTATTTCATTTATTCTTTATAGCATATTTTCTTCCTTTCACAACAGTAAAAGTGAAAAAACAGGATAGCTCCCTGGTCCCCCTTGCAGAATGTGCCACAGGGGTGTGGCTCACCTGTTCAGTCGCTACCAATGCTCAAACCCCTGACAGGAGGGGTATCACACAGACGGGCAGGTGCAGGAACCAGGGCAAGCGCTTTCAGCTCTGGCCCTATGGTAGTGTCTAAGGGTGGGTGCCTGCAACCCCAGTGTTACAATGCTCTTTTAGTTACGTGGCCCACAGATGACTTAAGAGTTAACCAGCTCAGTGCCCTCTCTGCCTTTCTGCAAGGGCAGAGGACCAGTGTGACAGCTTTCTGTATCCTGAGCTCTTGTCCAGGGTCCTGGAAGAATCAGCTCACACGTGGACTTGAAGGATGAATGCAGAGTTTTACTGAGTAGCTTTCAGTGGGATGAATGGGGAGCTGGGAGGGGGATGGAGTGGGAAGGTGATCTTCCCCTGGAGTTTGGCCACCCAGCAGCCAAACTCCTCTCTGACCGCCCCCAGCTGAACTCCTCTCAGCGTTCAGACATTCCTTTTCTTCTCTCTTTCTCTGCCATGCCATTCTGCCATTCATCTGCTTGTTTTCTTGTCTCCTCATCTGCTCTTGGAGCCTGGGGCTCAGGGTTTATATGGGTACAGGACAGGGGGGCATTGCAGGCCAAAAGGCAACTTTTTGGGTGTGAAAACAGAAATGCCTATTCCCATTTAGGGCCACAAATTGACAGTGAGGCCTTTCCTAGGGAACCACCCTCTTCTACTCAGTATTTCCCTGTCTCCTGTCCATATCAGTAATCTGTGATTGCTAGTTCAAACAATACAGAAGTTTAAACAATAATAAAGGAAATAACCCTTTAGCATTCCTCCCTATCATTTTCATACTTCCTTACAGATTGTTTTTATAAATAGTTGATATTTTAATTGCCCTCCTGTGCATGTATTGGACATGCATATCTATTTTACTGTGTGTATGTATATATATATATATATATATATATATATATATATGGAGAGAGAGAGAGAGTAATCTATCACAGATTTCTTGAGGAAATTTACAAAAGAGTTAGTTTTTCATGTATTGATACAGAATTAGGTCCATGACAACTTTATATAATTTCATTAAAATTTTTTTTGTAATTTACCTATATAGATATTTAAATGCAAATATTTGATATCATACTACACACATTTTGTTTCATAACTATGTTTTCAAAAAATAAAAATTAAAAATCAGAAATTTTTTAGAAGGTAAAGAGATATAAATATTCCAGAAATATACAATCAGTTAATCCAATTGAAAGTTAATTTAGCATCTTGACAACCAAGGAAATAGAAAAATATGATGAGTTTTACATTTCTCATTATGTGATAAGGCAAAGCCAACATGGTTTCTGAAAAGAAACATATTTGGACACTAAAATCTATGTGGAATCCATTACATTGATCTTTATACACCTTCAGGTATGTAGGACAACCTATCAGACACTTCTTTGACTGTGATTTTGCAAAAATAGAGAAATATCCTCTATATAAGAGCATATAACTTCTCCCTCACAACAACAAAACACCAAAGAGCTGAAGACTTAATTAAGAAATTGCTTTACATAACAATAGCAAATCTGGCAACTCAGGAAGAAGATGTGGATCTGGGGAAAATTGCAAGAGGGAATTTGTTGGGCTTCCAGCTTCTGCTTAGGATGCAGAAAGATGGAAAGGGCATTCTAACAACAGCAGTAACAACATGCCAGGTCATCTGCAAGAAGCACCACTTTTTTCAACCCTATCAGAAAGCTGAGGTTGCAGAACCACCAAACTAACCCAAACTCTGAGGAATAATCCAGACACTAAGGTCACATATTCCATAATTCTATTTATATGAAATACTCAGAATCGAGAAATCCCTAGGAACAGAAAGCAGATTACTGTTTGCCAGAGGCTGGGTAAAGGGGAGTGGAGAGTGCCTGCTTGCTGAGTACAGGGTCTCCTTGGGGGATGATGAAAATGTTTGCAACTAGATAGAGGTCATGGCTGCACTCACTGTGAAGGTACTAGATGCCACTGAATTGCACACTTTATTTCTTTTCTTTTCTTTTCTTCTTTTCTGAGATGGAGTCTTGCTATTGCCCAGGCTGGAGTGCAATAGCACAATCTCGGCTCACTGCACCCTCCACCTCTCAGGTTCAAGCAATTCTCCTACCTCTGCCTCCTGAGCAGCTGGGATTACAGGCACCAGTCCCCACACTGGGAGAATTTTTGTATTTTTAGTAGAGATGGGGTTTCTACATCATGTTGGCTAGGCTGGTCTCGAACTCCTAACCTCAGGTGATCCCCCACATCAGCCTCCCAAAGTGCTGGGATTACAGGCGTGAGCCACCGCGCCCGGCTTGTACACTTTAAAATGGTTAATTTTATGTTATGTGAATTTTACCTCAGTTAAAAAACAAAACAAAATCAAAGGAAAAGAGCTCCTGAGACAGGATGTAAATCCTTGCTTACCTCGGGCAGAAGCAAACGGACGCCAAACAAGCCAAGTAAAAAGGATTAAGCTAAAGTGTTTGACAAAGTGCTAAAGGCCAAGGGATGGCCAGAGTGGGTGCAGAGAAGCCCTAAGCATGGCAGACACAAGAGGAATTCACACCCACTAGCAGGCTCTTCTCCACACGCCTCACTGCATGCTCACCAGAAAGATCAGAAGAGACCCAGAGATGGAGAAAACCACCCTCATGGTGCACCTGGTGGAAAGGAACAGTGGCCTCAGAGATAAGGGCATAAGGCACACCTGGGACCTTCTCCCCTGTATGAGTCACAGAGCTTAGCAGAAGCAAACTAGAAATCAAAAATAGACCTATAACTGGAAAACCAACTAAGCCATGGAAATTAAATAATACACTTCTAAATAATCCATGGATCAAAGAGGCAGTCATGAGAAAAATTAGAGAATACTTTGAAATGAATGAAAATGAAATCCATATCAACATTTGTACAATACAGCTAAAATCGTGCTTAGAGGGGAAATCTATAGCATTAAATGCCCATATTAGGAAAGAAGAAAGTTCTCTTATGAATGATTTAAGCTTACACTTTAAGAAACTAGAGAAGTAAGAGCCAATTAAACCCAAAGTGAGCAGAAAAAAAGAAATCATAGCATGAACAGCAGAAATCAATGAAATGGAGAAAAGAAATATGATAGAGAAAATCAATGAAACCAAAAGCTTGTTCTTTGAAATAGTCAGTACATTTGCCATACTGATTAGAACAAAACAGAAGTAGAAGTTATCAATATTAGGAATTTTAAAAAGATATTGAAAGATGGCTGCTCAAACCTCAGGCCATATATCCATTGGAGAGGCAGTCTTCTGCCCAGTTAATAAAACAGGCTCAGGAATTGAATCTCATTGGTCCTGATGAGCCTGTTCTTGTCACATGTCCACCTCTGAGCCAATCACTGATGCCAGGGTTGGAAAGTGCTGACTGGCTTCCTCTAGGTACCACCTTCCAGTCCTGGAGTCTGGGACAGACAGAATTGTCTCATCTAAAACCTGTGGCCTCAGAGGAGAAACGTGGATGTGGGCTGCCATGCAGCAAGTAGCTCAGACATCTGGAAATACAAACTCCAAAGGAGGGCAAATGGCAGCCGACACCCCCTCAGAGCTTCCAGTAAGAAGAGCAGAGCATTCTTGAGAGCCTCCTTGTTCCATGGAAGCTTCAGCACAGGGAATGATAACCTTGGGACACCCCAGTGACCACGCCCCAGTCCTAGAGCTGACATGCCACACTTTGTCCATGTAGGACTGCCACGCCCCTTATTGACTCAGTCCTCTAAGTATTAAAGCACCCCAGGAATGGAGGAGTCCTGACCTTGCCATCCCTGGGAGAGGGTGGCATGGGGAAGAAGCAGGCGGGAAGGGACTCGGAATAGCTCTTCCTCTAGGTGTCCTCTTTTCTTGTCTCCAGCTACTGTGTTGTTCCCACCACCAACACGATGGTCTATAAGGAGAAACTTATAAAGGGCAACCTGACACCAAAAATGAGACGTCAGGTTGCCATTTCAAATCTCTAAGTCTCTCTTCTTTAGCAGAGACAAAGGAGAATGAGCAAGAAGGTCATTTTTCTCAGCATCATTTATCAAGCTGTTACCATGTAAACTGCTTTGTAATTAACATTTCCTTGCCTTATTTCTGGGGCTATAACTGTGCTTCTCACCATTATTTTGGCTTCATTACAAAGAACAGCAGTTTATTTATTAAATGACACACAGCTTGTGGGACATGAGTGTTAACTGTCAGAATAGACCTGGTTTTGTTAGAAGTACTGTTTCATTTATGATATATGGAAAACAGAACCTGGTTCTTTCCTTGAATTCCAATCCTTTTCCTATTTGTTTCATAAAGATAGCAAGCAACACAGCACCCAGGTGATAGCTGCATTATGAATAACTTAAGCTCAGTTTGGCACATATTTGGATGGGTCTCTGGGCACCTTGATATAGTTGCTATCAAGATGTCAATAAATACCTATTTAAGGATAAACTCATTAGGAGCTAACATGGTAAGTGAGAATTGAAGCATATTTATAGTGGTGGGTAAATCAATATGCCATTGCTTAATTATATTCAGTGCACAATTGCTTTTTCTACCTCCAAAATAAACCTTCAAAGTGAAACATTTTAAATTAGAAAAATATCAACACAGGATGGAGTTTGAAACACAGTCACATATAAACAGCAAGACAGGCAGGTGGTGCTCCCATGAGAGGGAATTTTGAAGACATTGACGTTGCAATCAGGCAACATAGAGCATAAGGCCAGGGTGGACCCCACAGGCTCATGCTCAGCTGGTGGAGACATTGGTGATGGCCCAAACTCAGGGGCTGATCGTTGAAATTTTGCCTCATGGACAAACCCAAAGAGCCTTAGTGCCCTCCAGTCACAAGCCAAGCAAATGACCTGTTCCTTGAGTCTAAGAGGATCAGGTGGAAGGTAAGAACATCCATGTTGTGGAACACACAGAGGGAAACCCAGCAAGTGAGCTACAGTCTTCTGGCTCCTCTAGAGGACAGGCCCAAGGATACGGGGGCCCCAGGATGGAAGTGAGTGCTCACACCCTGGAGGAGACTCAGGAAGCCACAGAGCACGAAGTCTGCAGGGGCTGGGAGTTGGTGATGTTGCTCTCCATCTAGCCTGCTCCTTCAGAATTTGCAGGGTGTGTTAGTCCATTCTCATGCTGCTAATAAAGACATATCCAAGACTGGGTGATTTATAAAGGAAAGAAATTTAATGGACTCAGTTCAGAATGGCTGGGGAGGCCTCAGGAAACTTACAATCATGGCAAAGGGGAAGCAAACACGTTCCTTCTTTACATGGCGGCAGCAAGCAGAAGTGCAGAGAAAAGGGGGGAAAGCCCCTTATAAAACCATCAGATCTCGTGAGAATACACTCACTATCCTGAGAACAACATGGAGGTAACCATGCTGATTCAATTACCTCCCACCGGGTTCTTCCCATGACACACGGGGATTATGGGAACTACAGTTCAAGATGAGCTTTCGGTACAGACTCAGCCAAACCATATCATAGTAGTTGGCACTCCCTGGTGCCTGTGTGGTGTGCCCAGATGAAACTCTACCCACCAAGTGTCCTGTTCATTATGGCACATCAGCATGCTTACCCAGTGATGTCAGTGGAAACTAGCTTTGTGCTCCCTGTGACATAAGTTTTGCAACTTTCATTACCAGTCCCAAGGACTGTGCTGACCTTGTGGATAGGTGCCATCAGATCCCAGCATCAGTCAAAGGGGAGGTCAGGCCATCCGTCATCCTCAGTCCGGACTTCCTAGGCTCCCTCTTGGAACTGCATCCAGGGTACATGTCATCAGGAGGTGTTTCCTGTGTAAGTTGCCAAATTTAGTGGCACGCTAATGAAATGGCCTTTCTGCCTACCCCGGAGAAGCTGAACAATGAGCCCCATGCTGTGTCTACTCAGGGCCTGTGACTCCCGGCCCAGGCACTTTTAGCTTCAGCTCTACCAATGCTTTTCTGTTATCTCCTGGTGTTTAATATGGCAGGGGAGAAATTTTAGTCCAACCTACCTGACATTCATTTCCTCAAGGGTAAATTCAAAGGCATCCTTTTGTTAATTTTGAAATTATAAAAAATTGCCAGCCTTGTCTTCATGCCCATTTCTCTTCATTAATGGAGCCTGGGGACTGCGGGCCCCTGCCCTGGCGGGCAAGTCTATTTCCAGGTCAGAAAAGTTTTCTCTAATACCTTTTATTGTTGCTTCATTCTAATTTCCAGGGCGTGCTTTGTCAGGAGCAGCTTTTATTCATGGATTGGATCTCCTTGGTGAGTCCTCTGCTTCTATTATCTTATTTTTCTTATCTTTTAATCTTTTTATTCATTTCCTCTGTGATCGTATAAGGTCACTCAAGTTCATCTTCAGCTTTACTGAGTTGATTTCCTTCAACAATGAGCCTGATTTTTCCCTTCTGGTGTGGATTTAATATCTGTCTCTGTTCTTTTTATCTATGAACTTGTTCCTAGGACTGAGCTATCCTTATCTTACCCTGGAGAATTAAACAAGAGCTGCGTCTTCTTGAGTCACACAGAGAATACTGAGTGGGGGTTTTCTGAAAACAATCCCTCTGTTTCGTGGAGTATGTCTGTTATATCGAGACCTCTTCTTTGAGGGCAGGGAGCTGGGGTTGTTACCGGTAGAAGGTGTCCAGGTTCTTGGCGTCTCAAACAAAGAAATGGACAAAATGCATAAACAAAGCAAGGAAAGCAAAAGTAGGGATTTACTGAGAACGAAAGTACACTCCACAGTGTGGGAGTGGGCCTGAGAAGAGGGGGTCAAGAGCTCTGGTTACATAATTTTCTGCGGTTTCAATACTCTAGAGGTTTCCCATTGGTTACTCGGTGTATGTTCTATGTAAATGAAGAGAATGAAGTGAAGTTACAGAGTCATTTACTCAGAATGCGCCCTGTTATAAATGGAGAAGATGTTACTTTGTATGTGTGGTCTATGTAAATGGAGGATGAAGTGAAGTTTCAAAGCAATTCACATTCCTGTCATTGCTGAAGTGCTTTCATTTATTTATTTATTTACTTTATTTTATTTTGAGATGGAGTCTCACTCTGTCTCCCAGGCTGGAGTACAATGGCGCAGTCTCAGCTCACTGCAACCTCTGCCTCCTGGGTTCAAGTGATTCTCCTGCCTGGGATTACAGGCACCTGCCATCATGCCTGGCTAATTTTTGTATTTTTGTTGAGATGATGTTTCACCATGTTGGCCAGGCTGGTTTCGAACTTCTGACCTCAGGTGATCCACCCACCTTGGCCTCCCAAAATGCTGGGATTACAGGCATGAGCCACCATACCCGGCCTAGGAAGTCAGCGTGGGTTAGCCTTATGTTCCCTGCTTCCAGGCCCTGTTCTCCTGCCTCAGGGTCAGAGGTCGGAACCCAAATGCCTTTAGGGCCAGGCAGGCATCTGCAATGAGTGGAACCACTGGCTGGCTGGAAGGACGGTCAGAGCTCCTTGTCTGACTTGTCCACAGAAGTGGAAAATTCCAGTTTCCAGGTGAAATGCTGTGACTTTTCAATGTTAGGCCAATCCAGGGGTGGGGAGGGCAAATGCAAAAGGTTTCCTGGCCAGTGTTCTGCCCATTGGCCTCTAGTCTTTAGCTAAGGCTTAGCAGAAAAGCCTTCTCCTATGGGGAGAACTTTCTGTGAGGTTCCATATGGTCCCTGCTGACTCTTCCTGGAGTGAAGAAGGCTTTTCCAAGCCCCTTGATGGAAGACAGGATGCACATGTGGTCCACTCATTTGCCTGGAGGTGGAGGAGAACTCTGCTGGCCTTGCCTAATAAGATGCAGCCTCTAAAATGACGGCAGCAGTGAAGATGAGAGTGAGATGACATAGTGCACTTCCTACGGGCCAGACAGGCTAAGTGCTCTGTGTGTATTGCATCCTTTATTAGAAGGCACCCAGCAAGGTGTTTGGGACATAGTAAACTCTCAATAAATCTCATGATGTTCATGATTGTTAAGATTGCTCTTTACATCTGGAAGTCTACGAGGTGTGAATAGCACAGTCCCCAGGGCACACCAGGCTTGCATTATTGCTCACTCCTGCGTCTTGCTTTTTCCTGTGATTAGCAGCAATTTTCCAAGGTGCTGAGGCAGAAAGTGGGAGGTCAGGCTTTCGGCCAGTAATAACAGTGGGCACTGTGCTACAAGCTATGCATAAGCATTTCCTAACAACGAGCTTGCAAAGCTGGTGGTGTTGTCTCTTATTTACAAATGAAAAATCTAAGATTTGGAGAGGCTAAATAGAGGATTTATAACTGGGTTGAGCAAGATGAGGACACTAAATTCGGTAATATGGAGGTTGTTGGGAACCTTGAATGCAGCAATTTGCGTGAAATAATTAAGGTGGAAGCCAGATTCAAATGGTCTGCATAGGAAGTGAAAAATGTATACATGGGCTGGACGTGGTGGCTCACGCCTGTAATCCCAGCATTTTGGGAGGCCAAGGCGGGTGGATCACCTGAGGTCAGGAGTTTGAGACCAGACTGGCCAACATGGTGAAACCCCAGCTCTACTAAAAATACAAAAATTAGCCAGGCATGGTGGTGTGTGCCTGTAGTCCCAGCTACCCAGGAGGCTGAGGCAAGAGAATCACTTGATTCTGGGAGGCAGAAGTTGCAGTGAGCTGAGATCACGCCACTACACACCAGCCTGGGCAGCAGAGCTAGACTCCATCTCAAAAAAAAAAAAAAAAAGAAAAGAAAAATGTAAATATGGCAAGAATAACCATTAAGGAATTAAACAATCAGACTATAGACTAAGAGAACAATTTGCAAGATATGATAGACACAGGATTCATCTTACTAATATAAAGAAGTCTGCTATAACTTGAGGAACAAAACAAATACAATCCAATATAAAAATGCTCAATGAATATGAGCAGGTGATATACAGAAGAAATCCAAACCCTCTGTAAACAGCTTCCTTATCGTCTGAAATTTTCAAATTAAACCCAGAAGTCTATTTTTTACCTATTGATGATAAAAGCCAGTATTATGCAGAGTGAAGGGAAAGATACTCTTTCCTTCTTGCTAGTATGAGTGTGAAATACTGCAACCTCTTAAAGATGTAATCTAGAAACATCGTTTAAAATGTAAACTATGTATACCCCTTGACTCACTAATTCTACACTTTTGTGTGAGTATCATAAACTCACACTCACAGGATGTGTTGGCTATGTCATTTCCTAGCTCCGTAACTCTCCGACCCATTATCTAACCTCAACATGCTTCAATTTCCTCATCTCTAAAACGGAAATAATTAAAGTGCTTATCTCACAGGATTGTTGCAAAAAATTCATGAGCGAACAGAGATATAACCAATGCCCTACTGCCACTATCGTCGTCTTCATCTCTACTGGATATTGCATATCCTTCTGCAATTTGCTTTTTCTGATCAAATTATATTTCTTCATGATGATAGGTGTAGCTCAGTCTCATTCATTTTGATTTTGCTACTGTATAGTAAGTACATTATATGACTATATGACAACTACATATACGTTTTCTGATTGATGGAGGTAGGTCTTATTTGCCATCACAAGCATGGCTTTGGTGATCTTCTTGTCCTTATCCATCCACACATGTGAAAAGTCCTCTAGGCTGCAGTTCCAGAAATTGAATTTTAGGGCCCGGTGAGTGAGTATTGTTCATTTTCCTTGATAGTGCTATCTCATCTTTTAAAGTATAGTTTGTGGTTTGTGTTGCTCTAGATTTGCACACATGCATTATCATATCAATCTAGTTAATTTTTGCCAATACAAGTTTTTTTCATTTAAGTTTTTTCTTCTGGGAACTGCCTATTCATGTTCTTTGCTATTTTTTTTTTTTTTTTTTTTTTTTTTTTTTGAGACGGAGTCTCGCTCTGTCGCCCAGTCTGGAGTGCAGTGATGCAATCTTGGCTCACTGCAACCTCCGCATCCCACATTCAAGCAACTCTCCTACCTCAGCCCCCTGAGTAGCTGGGATTACAGGCACTCGTCACCGCACCCAGCTAATTTTTGTATTTTTGGTAGAGCTAGGGTTTCACCATGTTGCCTAGGCTGGTCTCGAACTCCTGACCTCAGGTGATCCACCCGCCTCAGCCTCCCAAAGTGCTGGGATTACAGGCGTGAGCCACTGTGCCCAGCCTGCACTTTTTCTATTATGTTGTTTTTCTCTTCTTGTTGATTTATTGAAACTTTTTACTTGATTTTATTTTTTGCAAATATCTTTTCTGAGCCTGGCTTATCTTTTCACTTTATTTGCTTTGTGCAGAAGTTTTCATTTAAATGTAATCAAATGTATCTATCTTTTGATGTTCCTTTAGTGGAATTTTTGGTGTCTTTTTAATAAATTATATCATTCCTTTTTTTTGGTCTAGAGGAAGATGGGAGGTTTTCATGTTGGCCGGTATGTAGGTATATGTGCTGAGAAATATTATGTCAATAGTGCCCAAATTCCAGGTGTTATGTTTCTTTGTATTTGGGAGGATAATGTATGTTAATCTGTACATTAACCTGGAGTGAAAGTTCTAGAATACCCCATACCATTGGTCACCTAAAAAGGTAACCCATATAACAAGTCCCTGAATCTTTATAGGGTTACTTTCCCACCCTCTGGAATGCATGTCTTGCCAAAGTCTCCAATATCCTAGCCACTTTTTTTTTTTTTTTTTTTTTTTTGGAGATGGAGAGTCACTCTTGTTGCCCAGGCTGGAGTGCAATGGTGCCATCTCGGCTCACTGCAACTTCCACCTCCTGGGTTCAAGCAATTCTCCTGCCTCAGCCTCCTAGTAGCTGGGATTACAGGTGCCTGCCACCATGCTTGGCTCATTTTTTGTAGTTTTAGTGGAGATGGGGTTTTGCCATGTTGGGCAGGTTGGTGTTGAACTCCTGACCTCAGGTAATCCACCTGCCTTGGCCTCCCAAAGTATTGGGGTTACAGGGGTGAGCCATCACCGCACCTGGCCCACTTCTTTTTTATCCAGTCAAATTACCATGACTTTATTCATAATGTAGCCCAACAGAATGTTCTGAAAGGTGACTAGTAGGCCTGTGTCTCTTAGATTACATTAAGGAGAGAGTAGAATAGTTGACACAGCCCTTATTCAAGCATGGAAATGTACATTCTTGTTCATTCCAAGTGACTGCAAAATATTTCTGATCTGATTTTCTGATAAGGATAAAATAATGTATTTGGTAGATCAATAGCCACACACCATGTGCCCAAGGCTATGTCAGTCTGCTCTAGTAAAGATACTACACCAGGCACAGCAACTGCCACTGGGCTACTATGCGGTTGAGTTTCTTGTCATTCACTGTTGACCTCTAGGATTAGGAGCCAGACTAGTGAATTGTAAGGAGGCATAATGAAGCACCCCCTTGTACTTTTTCTTTAAGAATGGCACTAATTTCTACCATTCTCTTGAGGATGTGATATTGGTTTTGATTAATTATATTGGCTGGTGAGTGGGTGGGGGAAAGGAGGCCAGTTTCAGGGGTTTCTATTTGCTTTTTCCCACTATAATAGCTCTTATCCCTAGGCCAAGAAACCAGTGTAGGAATTGTGCTAATGACCACTGCAGGTATTTGTAGTTCAGTGGTTGTAACATGAGCTAAACCAGGGCCAGGACTCCACTTAATACGTGGCCCCCTGAGAGGGTACCATGACGCTGCTATCATTGTCAACCAGGACCCTGTCTCTAACAGTACCTAATGTTTTGTATTCCCCTTTCCACACTGTGCAGTGACCAAGGTAAACAGCCACAGGTCCTTGCAGGGAAAGACTGAGGACTCCTTTTCATGAACATTTGCTATGATGTTGCAGGGTCCTTTCTCCAGGGGCCGACCTTCCCATTAATCCTAAAACTGGGTACCAGGTAAAGGATATTACTTTACAAAGATCAATTATCTCAGCCTCCTGGTCATCAGTCTTGATTCTTCTGATTGTATAGGTTGATATTACCCCTGTTGGCTGCCTAGTCATCTTCCCCTTGGGAAGCCACATTCAAATAAACATCTCAATAACTTTCAGCCAGCCAGGCCCCTCTGGCTACCCTCCAACACGCTCATGATAATTTAATCCACCTGCCTTCCGATGACAAGGTGTTGCCACCTTCCCACTGTTGTTTTGGGATCCTGTCATTCCCATTGCTGCGGGTGAGCCCAGTCCCTAACGGCATCTCCTACCACCAGCCTTTGCATACAGAGGAGAATCACCTCTGCTCTTAGCATCCTTGGTGTCCCCCATACCAGCACATTTCTTACAGCCTTGCTGAATTGTGTACCCTCTGGGTGCCTCTCTGGGCACACAGTACTCTGGTAGGTTTTCTGGATTTAGGTGCTATATACCCTTTAGCATACCCACTTCTCTCTTCTATCACCTGCCACAGGAATTCTGAGATTTCTACCTGACTTAGTGTAGCCCACTGTGTTTTTGTGCTCCCACAAGCCATCCAGACCGCACATTTATGCCGTTACTCGAAGTCCTTGCCAAGGTATTGCATCCTGTTTTTATGGAGAATGCTGCCAAATCAACTAACTCTTCGTTATCCAACCTTACAATCCATCCCCCTTGATCAAAAGCCCTTGAATCCATTTCCGTATGGGCCCTCCTCGCTTCTGCTGCTACTGCCGGCTGGGCCCCGCAGCTTCTCTGAGGTATAGGCACTTTCCTCCCAGATGCTATTGAGTGCTGGATTTTCTTGTATTCCTTAGCAGAAGATTGGACAATTTGTGGCCATCAGTTTTTTAGTGGATGAATGATCCATCCATGGCTTGTTTCTAAGCTGCATTGGGAAGAGTCTAAAGACACCTTCTTTGCAGGGCTAATTAAGCTCCATTTTAAAAGACACAGCCTAGCCAGGATCTCTGTTGAAAGCCCTGTGAGTTCAACAGTCTCTCCACTCTGGCTAGAGAAAACTTGAAAGGTCTCAGGCACCCCATAAGCTCATAGAATTTTCTCATCACTCCTTGTAAATTATTCTTTATTCAGAAATTGTTCCTGTCCAGTCTTGGGAGTTTCACTCTATGTATGTGCAGTTTGATTTTCAACCAAAGACTCAGGGGACCCCATGCAGATTTCTGAGTTCTTTTAAGAGTACATAGCTTCTTTCTCTCAGGTTCTCTGGCCCACAGATTCTAGTGTCTTCATAGTCTCTGAACTCCAGTTGTATGTATCTTCAATGCAGCAGGAATGTTAGATTCTGTGTGGGTCCCCTCCATAAGCCACAGTCCAGGGACTTCTCCAGGCAGAAAGCCTAGGCCAGGATAGGGCCCGTCTCACTTCCTGCCCTTTCTCCTGTGCTGTGTGTTGTTCATTGTCTGACAGCTGTGCTTTTTGTGTGTTCGGTTCTCTAGTTGTCTACTGCAGGAGGGTGATCCTGGACCACTTCCTCCCCATGACCAGAAGTCCAGAGGTTTCCTATTGCATGTTCTACTTTTATTTACTGATAGAGGAATGCTATTGCTTTTTAAATGTTGATTTTGTATCCAGCAACCTTGCCAAACTCTTTTTTTTTTTTTTTTGAGACAGTGTCTCACTCTGTTACCCAAGCTGGAATGCAGTGGTGTGCAATCACGACTCACTGCAGCCTCCCCCTCCCAGGGTCAAGACATCCTCTTGCCCCAGCCTCTCAAAGTGCTGGGATTACAGGCACGAGCCACTGCACTTGGCCGCCAAACTCTTGTATTAGTTTTCATGGCTTGTCTGGACATTCTGTTAAGTATTTTATATTACAAAAAGATCATGTATCTGCAAATAAAGATGGTATAATCTCTTCCCTTCTAATTCGTATACATATTATTTCTTTTTCTTTTCTTATTTAGCTAGTGACTACAGAACATTTTTGGTGAACATTGTAACCGCCCAAGGGCTTCACCTTGCCCTCTGCCTAGACAGAGCAATTCATCAAGACAGGGGAATTGCAATAGAGAAAGAGTATTCAAGACAGGGGAATCGCAATACAGAAAGAGTAATTCATGCAGAGCTGGCTGTGTGGGAGACCAGAGTTTTATTATTACTCAAATCAGTCTCCCCAAACATTTGGGGAGCAGAGTTTTTAAGGATAACTTGGTGGGTCGGAGGAAGCCAGTGAACCAGGAGTACTGATTGGTCAGAGAAATCATAGGAAGTCGGAGCTGTCTTCTTGGGCTTAGTTGTTTCCTGGGTGGGGGCCACAAGATCAGATGAGCCAGTTTATTGATCTGGGCGGTGCCAGCTGATCCATCAAGTGCAAGGTCTGCAAAATATCTCAAGCACTGATCTTAGGAGCAGTTTAGGGAGGGTCAGAATCTTGTAGCCTCCAGCTGCACGACTCCTAAACCATAATTTCTAATCTGTGGCTAATGTTAGTGCTACAAAGGCAGCCTAGTCCCCAGGCAAGAAGGAGGTCTGCTTTGGGAAAGGGCTGTTACCGTCTTTGTTTACATGATGAACTATAAACTAAGTTTCTCCCAAAGTTAGTTTAGCCTACGCCCAGGAATGAATAAGGACAGCTTGGAGGTTAGAAGGAAGATGGAGTCAGTTAAGTTAGATCTCTTTCACTGTCTGTCATAATTTTGCAGAGGCGGGTTTCAACATGACGACAGAGGCCATCCTTCCCTTGTTCTTGACTTTGGTGCTAATGCTTCTAGACGCTAACCATTAGGATTAGTGTGTGCCGTAGGCTTTTCAAGTTTCTTCTTTTTCCCAATTTCATGAGAGTTTTCAGATCATAAACTGGTATTGACTTTTGTGACTGACCTAGGTACATCTATTGAGATTTTCCTTTGTTTTCTTCTCATTATTCTCTTAATATGGAATATTATAATAACAATTTTTCTGTTTTTGAAAATTATACATTCCCAGAATAAACATGCATTATTTTAAAATATAAAGTTGAGTTTGATTTGCGAACATTTTGTTTAAGATTATTGTATCTATGGATGCAATGACAGGCTGGTCTATCTTCTCCTTTTCTTATACTCTTCTAGTCCAGTTTGGTGAAAAGGATATTTGCTAGATTTTTCAAACAAGTTTTGGAGGCTTTCCTTCCTTTTCTAATCACTTAAACAGTTATTTAAGATAGTTATTTTTTGAAGGGATGGCAAAAGGTACCATAAACCCATCCAATCCTACTGTGTGTGTGTCTCTTTAAGCAGGAATCTTTTGACTACAAGTTAATTTATTGTTTTCAGTGTGTATGGTTTTAATGAGAATTCCTATTTCTTTGTGAATCAGTGTTGGTAACCTGAAGAGAAACAAGCAGAATTGCTTCCAAAGTGTAGGTTGCCTAACACCAGAATGACTGACACTCTCCCTTCTCAGTGGGAGGGTCTGTGCTTGAAGTCAATCTCCCTGGCGATGGGGGTTCCTTTCCTGTTGGGGTAGTATAAGAAACCAGCAAGCTGCAGGTGCCTTCCCAAAACTCCTGTCCAGCTGGCCTGTATCCTGTAAGAGCCTGGCACCCAAACCTTTTCTGTTTATACATACCCACCTGATGGTTTTTCTCCTGCTCCATACAAGGTATTATAAGAAGAGGCAGGTGCCTCATTAGAACCTGAACCCTCTGCACATCCAGAAGCATCGGCCTGTCCCCAGTGCTCTGCTCTATGAGATGATGAGACACCAGGGAACCGCCAGCCTTCTTCTCCACTTTTTGTTTTTTCTCAATTTTATTATTTTATTTTGTTTTAAAATTTTTAATTTAAATTATTTTTAGGATACTGTGGATTGTCTTTACGTTTTAATTGTGTTCTCCTTGAAATGTTTCTGTTTTTACTAAGCTTTTAAATTTTCTGGCATAAGGTTGCATATAGCAGCCTCTTAGGGTTTTTAAATAACTGATCATGTCATTATAGCCCCATTTTTATTCCCTGTCTCTTGTTGGTGCCGCTTTTCTCCTGTTTTAATGATTAATATTATTTTATAGGCTTATTAAGGAATTGATCTTTGCTGATCTTCTATTGTTTCTTTTTCATTTTGTTAATATCTGCTTTTATATTTGTCATTTTCTTCTTGTAACATTTTTAGGCTTTAGTAATTTTTCTTTTTAAACTTAAAATGAATGAACTCATTTGTTAAAAAAAAAAAAAAGCTGTTTTTAATAAATACATGAAGGCTATAATCTAAACCCCAAGTACTAATTTAACTAGAGCCTTCATGTGTTGAGGTCCACAGCATTTTCATGCTATTCATTTCTAGATACTCTGTAATTTGCATTATGAATTCCTCCTTAATTTGTGAGTTATTAATAAATGTATTTTTAAGTATCTCCATATCTGGAGAGCAGAAAGTGTTGTCTACTCCATTATCTTTTATTGTTGTTTTTCAATGTAGTTGAATTATGCTTAGCAAACATGATCTGTATTTTATCGATGCCATGAAATGTATTGGCAATTTCTTTGTGTTTTAAGCCATGATTAATTTTTCTTGAAAAGAATATATCTTCTATATTTTGGTGTGATGAGACATTTTCTACATATATATTATATATATTTTACTTTTGCTGGTTATTAATTTTTGTCTCATATAGTTGATATGTTAATTTCTAATATGAATGTGTTGAAATCTTTCTCAATGGTTTAAAATTTGGCATATTTCAAGGCAGTATTGCTAAGAACAAAATTATGATTCTTCTGGTTGGATTGTTATTTTTATTAATATAGAGTGTCCTTAATCTCTACTAGTGCTATTTATCTTAAATTCTATTTTGTCTAATATTATTTGTTCTTTAATTGTTATCCTAATTTTGTCAGCATTTGTAAGGTATACCATTTCCTATCTTTTGATTTAAACTTTTCTATGTAGTTTTATACGTCTTTATGTGCTTCTTATAAGTAGTGTTAGCTAGATTTTTAAATATCTTACCTGATAGTCTCTGTTTTTTAATTGGTGAGTCTAATCCATTTATATTTATTGAGTTTATGATATTTTTAGACTCATTTCCCCCATCAGATGGTGCACTTTCTACTTACCATCTTTTGTCTTTTCTTTTCTTTTTACCCTTTCCTTCCTTTTGTTAGATTAATGAAATTTTCTATATCCACCCCTCTGTCCTACTTCTATCCTCTGTTGATGAAGAAGCCATGATTATATTTTCATTGATTTAATGGTTACCATTAAAGTTTTAACTATTCATTTTTTTCCTAGCAAATTCTACAGTAATTACTATCTCTGTTCCTCAAATTTCTGCAAGAATTTTGTCATGCGTCTACCCACTGAAAAACCCCACACTCCTATTATCATCCTAAGACTTTTTATTTTATCCTCTTTACACACACACACACATACACATACACACACAGTTTTATAGTCAATAATGTGTCACACACATTTTTATAGTCAATAATGTGTCACACACATTTTTATAGTCAATAATGTGTCACACACACATTTTTATAGTCCATAATGTGTCATACTTACTACCATAGTTTATATTAATTTCTGAGCTCATTATAACTTCCCATGTGCCTTGCTATCCTTCTGTGCTCACTTTTTTTCTAGCTGAATGTATCAACGTTTTTAGTTAAATGCAACAGAAAATGGCTTTAGCTAATTAAATAAAAGGAGTTTATTCAAAAGATTGTGGGGTTTACAGAGTCATGAGGAGGCATAGAGAACAGGACTTGAGGCTAAGTTTCCAAGAATAACAGCCATTCCACAGACCTGATCTGAGGGAAGACTGTCTCTGCTACCAGTAAGCACTACATGAGGCATTTCCACAGCTTCCATGTGCATCAGTAGATAGACTTCAGTCAGCTTTATTGCACCTCCTCCATCACAAACTCTTTGAAGGAAATCACTATGTGTGGCCCACCCTTGAAGAATCAGGAGTTACGTTTTCCCTTTACTGTAGGATGAAGTGTCTACACAGTAATTGGAATTTTTCTATACAGGAGAATGTCTTCTCTCCCTAATTTATTTAATCTACTCGATCATTTATGTAGGCAAGGATTTGTGAATATTTACCTTACACTTTGGTTTAGAATCCAATACTGCTTTACTGATGTTGTTGTTTGAATTGTTCCAGCTTTGGCCACTGGGGGCTCTTTCAGTGAGCTCCTGGGCTCCTGTGCCCCTTTGACATCAATGGCTGCTTTTTATCTATAATTACTATTACTTTTTGTTTTTTTTTAAGCACTTTCTTACTTTCTGGCATTACAAGGTACTCCAGGCTCACCTTGTTTATTTCCTGCCCCAGCCCTAGAAGCATTCATTTTTCCCTGGATCCCTGGTTCCTTTGGTTGGAGAATGGTATTAGAAACCAAGATCTGGGGGCGAAGAGTGCTATCCTGGCACATTTTATAACTTGTCCTTTGATTGAAGGAATTGACAATAATGACATGCAATCATAACTCATGTGTAGTTTTGGGATTAAAAGACAGATCTCTCTCTCTCTCTCTTCTTTAGTAGCAACTTTAAACTGCAAGCCGGTACCACTTGGGGACAGAAGATTTCCTACTGGGACTCAGTAGGTGTATTAGTCCATTTTCATGCTGCTGATAAAGACATACCTGAGACTGAGCAATTAACAAAAGAAAGAGGTTTAATTGGACTTACAGTTCCACGTGGCTGGGGAAGCCTCACAATCATGACGGGAGGCAAGGAGAAGCAAGTCACGTCTTACGTGGATGGTGGCAGGCAAAAAATGAGAGAGCTTGTGCAGGGGAATGCCTCTTTTTAAAACCATCAGATCTCGTAAGACTTATTCACTGTCACAAGACCAGTATGGAAGAAACCCATCCCCATGATTCAGTCATCTCCCACTAGGTCCCTCCCACAATGCATGGGAGTTATGGGAGCTACAAGATGAGATTTGGGTGGGGACACAGAGCCAAACCATATCAGTAGCTATTAAACGTTCTGTTCCTTATGTGACAGTAATGTAAGATTTATCTTTGTGAGGAAGGCACTCCCAGTTCTTGGTTAAAACTGCTTGAGAACGGCAGTTAACAGTCTTACTTTGTTATTATCATTTTTGTCCTGAGAAAAGTGAAAAGTCGCATTTAAGGTAAGGTGGGTGAGCTTAGATTAGGCAGAAAAAGTTTAGCAGGGGCCTCCTGGAGCATCAGACATTTGGCAGACTTCTCCAGAGACCCTTTCTGGGCTCCTCTAGAGGAAGGGAATGTACAGTTAGAAGATGTTTGCTGGTAGAGACAAGAGTAGGGGGCACTCAGGGGCCTGGACGGAGAGGTGCCACAACCACAGGGCTCATGAGGTCAGGGACTGAGACAGAGAGGGGCCTGTGTGCAGCCAGGAGTGGAGCAGGGGACGTTCAGTAAAGTAAGTGCATGCACATCAGACTTCCAGACTACTTTTCTAGATGAAATTTGATGTAGATAGTAAGTTCCTTATATGATTCCGGTTGATCATGAGTGAGACGTGATTGTGCCTTTGACACCCATGGCGGGAAGACGCCTGAGCTTGCCACGAGTCACCCCTATGTTTCTTTGCATCATAAGCTAGATGGCATTCATCTACTCTGGAAGAGCAGTGTTTCTGGCAACATACAGGCAGCCAAACTTATTCAGGCCTCACTCCCGTTTCAATTACACTGTTGTTGACCACTGACAGAGCCCCCCTGGGTCCACAGCACTGCCAGTGAGTTCTGCCGGGTATATGATTCACCCAGCAGCCATTGCTGCCCACAGCAGGCAGAAGCTAAAGGACAAGGACTCTGCTATTGGCATTCCCACTATCAGAGCAGGCTACAGTTTTTCAAGGAATTGTGTTTTAAGTTCAACGTGCATTAGGGCAGAGAAAAACATAGTGTGTTCCTGTAATTAGGGATGGTTTCTGCTCTGCTGGGAGGCTCACAAGACTTCATTTTACCTAATTATCTCCAGGTGACCATTGGTGCGCAGAGACAGCTGCAAAGCAGGGCATTGCAAGAATTGTGCTGAGTGGGGCCAAGAAGGCTCCTACCCAGAGTGATATGTGCCTGGGGCTTGGAAGGGATGCTGATGCCAGATCTTTTACAAGCCTAGTTAGTTCACGTCAGCGTCAGCATCCAATGACACACATATCAGTGCTCTTCAGCCACGATACTGACTCGAGGTATTTTGTACAACACAGTAGCAAATTTTCAAATAATACCTTCCATTTATCTTTCCATGTGTAGGAACTACTAGAGTGCTGTAATAATGCACTGGTACATAAATACAGAGATACACTGTAATCATGATTGCTGGGGAAATACGAAATAAAGTGCTGGTTCTCAAATATGCTTGTGCACTAGACTTACCTGGGAAACTTCCTAAAATTATTGGTCCTAAGTTTTCTCAAGACGCTTCAAATCAGAATCTGCTGGGGGGACTCCATTGCAGAGCTGCCATGTACAGTTGTGAAGTTTGCGCACTGCACAAAGGCACCTGGCAGGGGAAGACAATAAAGGCTGAAATTCAGGCCATGCTTGGCTTACCCACTGTGTTCCACTCAGGGCTGAGTCAGGTTCCCCAGATAATCCTGAAGCATAACCAGATTTACTTTCCTACGGGCTATAAAGCAGTGGTCAAATTAATTGTATTAGTTAGAAAAGGCCTTTTGGGGGATATTCTTAAGAGGTTAAAAAAAAACCCACCCTGCATGGTTGGATGATGTGTTTAATGAGACCTGTTCCATTTTACTTTTCCTAGAGGCTTTTGAGTTTACAGAATGTGTAAAAAAAAACCTAAATAATAACAATAGTTATTCGTGACCATTCTCATACTTCAGTTAACAACATTTTAATGCCCTACTGATTCATATCAATTTTCAGCAATTTCAATTTCACCAGCACGTCAGGCAGAAGACGGCAAATTGAAAAAGATCCTCAAAATTCTGGCGTATTTCTAGTGCTGTCCATGTACATGACCTTGGAGGTGATGAGAGATTGCTGTCAGCTGCATCGCGTCACATCCAGTCAATGAACCCGCAGCTTAACGAGGTGCAGTCTTTGCTGGGGGGTACACACAGAGAGCTGTGCTTGAGCTGGAGCCCTGCATCCACCTGCTTTGCATGCAGATGGGCACCTTTGTGATGTTCTTCTGGATTTCATGGTTAACAAAGTATTTGTTGAGCTGGGTACCATGTGAACCACCACAGACATCCATGTGTCTAAGGCAGAGTACGTGTCTTTAAGGAGTTCACAGTCTAAGCAGGTGACGTACCTATCTACTTAAGGACTGAAGCATGTCACATCCAGCAATTTTTTTTTTTTTTTTTTTTTTTTTTTGAGATGGAGTCTCACTCTGTCACCCAGGCTGGAGTGCAGTGGTGCGATCTCGGCTCACTGCAACCTCCACCTCCCAGGCTCAAGCGATTCTCCTGTCTCAGCCTACTGAGTAACTGGGATTACAGGCACATGCAACTGTGCCCAGCTAATTTTTGTATTTTTAGTAGAGAAGGGGTTTCACCATGTTGCCCAGGCTGGTCTTGAACTCTTGACCTCAGGTGATCCACCTGCCTCGGCCTCCCAAAGTTTCAAGATTACAGGCGTGAGCCACCGCACCCGGCCACATCCAGCAAGTTTGACTTGAATCCCTAGATTTTGTTATTGCACTCTCAGAGGTCCATGTGGATGAGGCAACATGACTGCTGGGTTAGAGTGGCCGCATCCTCGGCATCTAGGAATGGCTAGGAAATCTGGGCAGCCCAGGGAAATGCCATGCCATTCTCCTGTCATGCCTTCATAAATCATCTTGGGAATCTCCTTATTCATGTTAAATATGTGTTCTATCCCATCGCAATGGTACCAAGTAATTTTCGTACCTAGCTCACATAAATAAATGTTTTCTTGAGTTTCTACCTTTCCATTGGAAGGAAGGAAGAAGGAATAGAAGAAAGGAGGGAGGAAGAAATGGAGGGACAGAGAGGGAGGAAGTGAGGGAAGACCTTCTTTTTTTTTTTTTGAGACAAGTCTTGCTCTGTTGCCCAGGTTGGAGTGTAGTGGTGCAATCTCGGCTCACTGCAAACTCCACCTCCCGGGTTCAAGCAATTCTCTGCCTCAGCCTCCCGAGTGGCTGGGATTACAGCCCACCACCACGCCTGGCTAATTTTTTTGTATTTTTAGTAGGGACGGGGTTTCACCATCTTGGCCAGGCTGGTCTTGAACTCCTGACCTTGTGATCCACCCGCCTCGGCCTCCCAAAGTGCTGGGATTACAGGCGTGAGCCACCGCGCCCAGCCCGGGAAGACCTTCTTTAGTGAAGTGTGGGATTCTAGAATGTGGGACACAAAGGGAGAGCCCACAGGCCGACACACATGACTGATCACACTCGGTTCCATGTGGGAACAGACCTGGAATGCAAAGATAAATAAGATTCCTTTTCTTATTTCAAAGACATCAGTCTGGCTGACCCATCTGGTGGGGAGACAGGCGTGTAAAGCAGATTGTGTTGCTGCATGATAAATGCCTTGACAGAATGGAGAACGCAGGGCGGGGTGAGCACAGCCTGGCAGATGGAGCAATCAACCCTGATGGCGAAAGGGTGATGTTTGTGAAGTTTCTCAGAAGGGGAACTCCTGAGCAGGGTTTCCAAAGATGAAGAAGTGTTTTCCAGATAAGCAAGGAGGCCTTGGGTTTATTAGTTTTTATTCCTATTTTATTTATGTATTTATTTTGAGACAGAGTCTCGCTCTGTTGCCCAGGCTGGAGTGCAGTGATGTGATCTTGGCTTATTGCAACCCCCACCTCCCAGGTTCAAGCGATTCTCCTGCCTCAGTCTCCTGAGTAGCTGGAATTACAGGTGCCCACCACTACACCTGGATAATTTTTGTAGTTTTAGTAGAGACGGGGTTCCATCATGTTGGCCAGGCTGGTCTCGAACTCCTGACCTCAGGTGATCCGCCCTCCTCAGCCTCTCAAAGTGCTGGGATTACAGGCAAGAGCCACCGCATCTGGCCTTTAATTGGTTTTTATAGGCAGCTGAGGTCACTGGCTTGGGATGACCAAGCCCTTTCAAAAGGTCCTTCTGAAAAGTTAAGAGATAGCACAGAAACCTGGTTAAAATGCAGATTCTGATTCAGTAGATGTGGCTGAAGTCTCAAGGGGCACCAATGCCGTAGAGACCACACTTGCCACAGCAGGGCTTTATTGAAGCGGCTTCAGAGAGTAAAGACTGAGCATGTCTTCCAAGCGCCAGGTGCTCTTGTAGGTCTGGGGGACACAGTCAGCAAGACCAACAGGGTCTCTGTCCTCGTGGAAATTTGAGTCTGATGACAGCAAAAGGGAGAGCAAAGCCCAAGGCATCTCAGTCTGATCTGGAATCTTCCTTTAAACCCAGGCTCGTGATAATGTTCTTGCTGTGTGTTAATTGTCTCTATGCACTCTTGGCTGTGGGTATCTCCTGCCATTCTGCTCTCCTGTGTCTCGGGGAGCCTTGGAAACACATTGCTAGGATATGCTCCCCTGCTTATCATGTAAAAATAGTTCTGCTTTGATGCGACATTGATTTTACGGATGCGTGAAAGGTGCTCTGGGAGGCTGAAGCACGATTGAAGCGTCGTCCCCCCCACACCCCCCAATGTTTACTGTGCTCTTACTGCTAACTCTGAGACACAGGGGATTGGATAATGGTCTCCTGTCCGCAGTCACTCGCAGGAAAGTTGGCAAAGGCAGTAAATAAAGTAATAAGTTAAGAAAATGTCATGAAATGTATGTGCTATGTTTGGTGTAGGCGTGGTGTTCGGTAGGGCCTCAGAGGAGAGAATGATTATTTCTGGGAGCTGAGGGTAGCGGATGAGGGTGGAAAGGTCATTTCAGAGAGGCCTGACTCACTGCAGCCCGACCAGGACTCCTTCTGCCTTTTCCCGCCCACCTCTCTCAGGTGCTTCTCCCAGGTACTTCTGTCTGCCTGCAACCTCTCTCCATCCTCCTGCCCTCTAACAAACACCGACTTTTCTCCTGGGTCTCCCTTCTCTGACCCTGCAAGGTGTAAGGTGACAAACCATCTTGGTTTGCTGGGACCGAGGGATTTCCCAGGAGATGAGAATTTACTGCTAAAATGGGGACAATCTGGGCCAGTTGGGATGGTTGGTTACCCTGGGTGTCTCCTCTGATGCTTCCCTTGGGCAGCACTCAGGACACAATGAATTGCATATCCTGCGTCTCTGTCCTTTTTACAAAGAGGTGGCAGCTCCATGAGGCCAGTCCTGAGACAGGCATCCGCAGTGCCCTGTGCAGCTGGCACTCAGTGAACTCTCATAGACAGAACTCTTGTGGTCCTTGAACCCTCTCGAGAAAAGAGGAGGTGTTTATCAGGCAGACAGGGAGAGGATGAAGCTGTGGATTTGGGGGGCAGCCCGAACGAAGGCCCTGGGGTACTGGCCGAACGTGGTGTATTTGGGGAGCACAGGCCGCCTTCTGCCATCTCTCCACGTCTGTGAGGGGCTGAGGCAGCCCCGGCCTAGAGGAAACACTGCAAAAAAGAAAAGAGCAGCACAAGGGGATGAGGATGCACCAGACCACAGAGATGGCACTTGCTTCTGCAGACGACATTAAAATATGGGACCATTTCAAATGGGATTAAATGTGACTTCGTAAAATCTTGCTCTCATGGCACTGTGTGGGGAGGAAAACTGCCAGGAAGCCTTTCGCTAAGGTTATAGCAGAGGGGGTGGAGGAGTGGGGTAGAATTCCAGCATACTCAGGAGGCGAACCTGGACTGATGACTGAGGCATGAGGATGGGGGTTGGCAGAGGAGGAGGAGGAGACAAGTGTTGCCCTGGAGTTCTCATTGGCCAGGAGAAAAACGAGCGGAGGAGGAGGTGGCTGGGAGCACCATCTTGGTGCAGCAACGTCCGGGAGGCCTGCTGTGCTCAGCCCTGCAGGTTTGCAGCTCAGCTGAGAGTTCTGGACCACAGCGATATTTAATTACTGTAGGCAAATGGATGTTAATTAAGTCAAAGAGTGGAGGAAATTGTCCAGGGAGACTGTACCAGGTAAGAAGAGGAGAGTGCCCAGGGCCAGGCCCCTGAGAGTATCAAGATAATTAGGCAGCCGAGGCAGAGGAGTGACATCGACTGAGAGAGGGGAGCCAGAGAGAGAAAGTGCTGTTTGGAATTAACAGGAAGAGAGAATTTTTGAGAACTGACTATCATTTTTTTCCACCCAGCCTGGAATTCAGTGGCATGAACACAGCTGAATTCTGAGCTGCAGCCTGAACCTTCTGAGCTGAAGCAATCCTCCCACCTCAGCCTTCCGAGTAGCTGGAACTACAGGTGTGCACCAACACGCACAGCTAACTTTTGTATTTTTTTTGTAGAGATGAGGTCTCACTATGTTGCCCAGGGTGGTCTTCAACTCCTGGGCTCAAGTGATCTACCTGCTTTGGGCTCCCAAGGTGCTAGGATTACAGGCATGAGCCAAAAACTGGCAGTCTTTTCAGTACTGGCTTCTGTGCACTTCCAGCTCCAAACAGTGCATGCTGTTTAGATGGGAGGTAGGGAGGTGGCCGCAGACCTGGTGGCCAGCATGGAGGAGGCAGCCTCCCTCAACCTCCTCCCACCACCACTGTGGCCACAGGGAGCTGAGGTTGGCTCCCGGCAGGCTCACCTGCTGGGAACTCCTTCTCTGATCTGAATGGTTTCCCTGTGGATGCGTCATTTCTAGGCAAGAGCAACAGGAGGCGCTCCAGGCCTGGGCCAGCCCTGGGCCAGCCCTGCTTCCATAGCTGACTCTGCAGACAGCTGGGCCAGGTCCCAAGCCTCAGAGCTGGGGCAGCTTTGGCTGGACCTGACAACTCTGAGGCTGCTTCTAGCTCTGATGATCTGAGTCCGTGACCTTAGATTCTGGAAATTCTGGAACAGGCCACTATTTTGAGGGTCCTCTGTAAATTTCCTACTCATTATTATTTCAGTGAATTTGTTCCACAAATGTCTGCCGAGCACCTGCTGTACATTAGACCTGAGGTACAGAGAGAGAACAAAATGGAAATGGCCCCTGGCCTGCAGGTGTCCCAGGAGGTAGGCATTAAACAAGCATGCGTTAGATGGAGAATAACCTGGTTCTTAGCAATGGGCATGCTGGGGACCGAGAATGGATCGTTGCAGACGTCGAATGTTGGGGATATGGGAACTGAGTTTGGGAAGAGTGAAGAAAGCTGTCACGTGGAGGAACCAAGTGCTCCCACTAGCTACAGGTTGGCAGGACAAGAGCCCAGTGAAGGAGTTGAGGGAGATGAAGTTGGATGCAGACCCAGGCTGAGTCACCTGGGGCCTGCATGCCTGGGGAAGAGGCTGGTTTTATTCTAGATGGAAGGGGGATTCTAGAAGGTGAGTGTCGTGGTCTGATTAACATTTATAAAAATAGGTCAGCCGGGCGCAGTGGCTCACGCCTGTAATCCCAGCACTTTGGGAGGCCGAGGCGGGTGGATCACGAGATCAGGAGATCGAGACCATCCTGGCTAACATGGTGAAATCATGTCTCTACTAAAGAGACAAAAAAATTAGCCAGGCATGGTGGCGGGTGCCTGTAGTCCCAGCTACTCGGGAGACTGAGGCAGGAGAATGGCATGAACCCAGGAGGCGGAGCTTGCAGTGAGCCAAGATCATGCCAGTGCACTCCAGCCTGGGTGACAGAGCGAGATTCCATCTCAAAAAAAAAAAAAAAAAAAAAAAAGTCAAGATCACACTTTTAATCAGGACTGATTTGCTCCATCTGATACCCTGCACAATTTTGGAGAGTTTTGCTAATGGCTCTGCAACATTGCTTTGACAAATGGGTAAGAACATGGCAGTATGTGACAAATTACTTGAATATCAGCCAAGGTTAAAATCACCACTAAACACTTTTTAAAAAATATCATTTCAAATGTAATAGCTGCCAAATTTCCCTGATGGGTTAATTTACCTGCTAGTGAAGAAGGGTTTAGATGACAATCCCAGACCAGCTGAAAGCTCAAGGCCATGGGAGAGCCTCTCTTCCATCCATGATCACTTTCATTCTGACCTTGGAAGAACAGGTCTTCTCCAGGCCCATGAGAAATGGGCAGCCTCAGACTGGCCGCTGTGACTTTCCTCCAGGCCATGAGCTGCTGGGACACTTGGCATGGAACCTGTAATAAGCAAAGCAAAGGGGTGACCTGGTTGGGGTCTTGGAAGGGAAGCAGAAAGGAGATGTAAGTACCCACAGCCTCTACTCCAGGGAGTTTGCCTTCCAAGGTGGTTAAAGACGAGGAGCCAGGACTCCAGACTTTCCATGCATGTCCCATCTGCTCTGGCATGTCTTCCATGAAAGACTCCATTTTATCGTGTAGCTCTCTTCATACAAGTGCACCATGATGTGCCATATTTTGTCCTGACAACATCACTCTTCATCTGTATGGAAGCTCCAAATGAAACTGAACTAGAAAATGGGGCTGTTGAGAGTGCTTTCTCTGGCTTAGTCCTAGCTCTCTCACTCCTTCTGTCCCCAAGACTTTGGGACAAGTGTCTCCATTTCTCCAGCTCCAGTTTCACTGCCTACGTAATAGGAATGATCTTAGAGGCACCAGATCTCACAGGTGCTGTGAATTACCTGAGAGGGAGGGAAGAGGTCTTTTTCAACCCAGAGTTTATCACACGCAGCAAGTGATGGGTTCGTGTTGGGCCCTTGATAAACCTTGAATTACAAATGATTGTGAAGTGACCATCAGCATTCTCTCGCAGGAGGTGAGGGCTGACAAACACAGCTTAAGGCCTGTGAAAGGAAAATAAATCTCAGGACCCCCAAATCACTAAGCCAATAGGAAAACTAAGGCTGGGAAGTGCATCAGGCAAGCCTGCCTCCTATTTTATTACTAAATAAGATAGCTACGAAGAGTAAAAAGCTACATACCTCCATCACTATTTGTCCACAAGAAAATTCCCTGTCGGCCTCAAGATCTTTACCCTAAAACAATTCTGTTGAATTTCACCCCGGCAATGTAAATTGATGATCGCTTATCTTCACAGATGTGGGACAAAGGACAGAACTGAAAGTCATCCCTCTGCTCACTAAAGACAAATGTGTATCTGATTGTTTCTTCCGCCTTATTGTTTATGTAAAAATGCAGATTCACTGAGGCAGACTGGGGCCGAAGTGACTATTCCTCCACTCCCTTCTCACATGTAAATTGTGTACTCAGTGAAAGGCTGATCAAAGACCCAAATTAATGCAACCTTTTGTCTCTTATCTACTTATGGCCTGGAAGTCCCCATTTCAAGTTGTCCTGCCTTTCTGTATTGAACCAGTGTTCATCTCACACATATTGATGTCTCGTGTCTCCCTAAAGTGTATAAAACCAAGCTGTGCCCCGACTACCTTAGGCACATGTCGTTAGGACCTCCTGAGGCTGTTGGGATGCGAGAAGCAGAAGCCCATTCCACTTGAGATAAGAGGATATTTACTGCAGGGATGCGGGGAACTCTGACTGTAGGAACTGGAATGTCACCAATAACTTCTGGCTCCACCCATCTCCACCTCCTCAACCTGCCTCTGCTTCTCTGCATGCCCACCTCAACATCCTCTCTGTTGCCAGCTTCTTCTGCTGGCCTCCTCATTTATGCTCCGTCATGGTTCATCTGGCATCTGTCTTTGCAGGGTACCAACTCTGAACCCCAAATCTATATATATTTCTTATTATTGAAGAGAAATTCACATAACATAAAATAAACCACTTAAACATGCACAATTCACAATGCTGTACAACCACTACCTCTTGCTAATTCCAAAACATTTTCATCACCACAAAAGAAAATCCCATGCCCATGAATCTGCCGCCTCCCCTCAGCTGCCAGCAATCACGAATCTGTTTTCAGTCTCTGTGGACTTACCTCTTCTGGAATTTCATATGAATGGAGTCATTTAATAGGTGCTTTTTGGTGACTGGCTTCTTTAACTTAGTGTGATGTTTTGAGGTCCATCCACATTGTAGCATGTGTCAGAACTTCATTCCTTTTTATGGCTAAGTAATATTCCATTGTATGGATAGAGCACATTTTGTGGACCCATTCATCTGTTGATGGACACTTGGATTGTTTCCACATTTTTGGCTGTTGTGAACAATGCTGCCATAAACATGCATGTCCTTGAGTATGTGTTTCTGTGCTTTTGAGCATATACTTCGGAGTGGAATTGCTGAGCCACATGGTCATTCTGTGTTTGAGGATCACAATGAGTTTATAGCTCCAGTGCCCTACACTGCATGCCAACTTGCCTTCAAGTCTCAATTTCAAATTCCTTGTGCAGACAATCTAATTGGCCCAGAGGAAGTAGGCATTGCTTCTAATGTAATCAGCCTGTGTGTGTGGTGGGCGTAGGGATGAGGTGGGGGGTGAGGGAGGCACAGAGGACATGGGGCTGCCCAGTGGCAGGAGGAGAGGATCTGCAGGAGACAAAATAAGAAGGAAATAGCAGCATCTCTAGCCCAACCAGCAACTCCCAGGAGCCACCTGTGGCTGGTGGAATACAACTCTCTGTCTCTGACTTAGAGGATTTGGTGGTAATTTTTAAACACCTGCTTTCATGATTCACTGTGTTACCAAATTTTACATTATTGTTTCTAAAATACTACTTAAATTTGTAGCATTACCATAACAATCTGGTTGAATGACCATTTTCAAATCATTTCAAATGAACAAGACGAAACACTCAGCAATTTTATGGGAAATTGCTGTCTGCATTGTACGCCTGTAAATAGTGCACATTAATAATGCAACATGGAGGCTCACACATTACACAGGATGAAAGTCGCTTCTTTATGCAGCGGGTGCAATGAAGAATTAATTTCTTTGCCAATACCAAAAGGTATATTCTGTTATGAAAATGCATTGACATTTTCATTCATGACAGACACCCACGCTGTGTTGGAATAATAAAGATCAAATTGTTTTTCCTCAAGAAAAGGATTTACACATATGTCAGAATGAAAAAACACAAGCTGCTTGACACAGTGAATCATTTGTAATTATTTAAAACTCTACTGAATGTGTGCTTCCATCCAAAGGTAGAGTCTAATTGCTGAGATGGGGAGGGTTCAGTTATTTGCTTCAAATACCAAGAAAAAGAAATCCTCAAAAAAATCTTCAGTATTTTTTAAATCAGTAGGTTTTTTTTCTATATTAGATGACAAATTAAAATTTACTCATGATAGGCCAGGCGCAGTGGCTCATGCCTGTAATCCCAGCACTTTGGGAGGCCGAGGCGGGCGGATCGTGAGGTCAGGAGATTGAGACCATCCTGGCTAACACGGTGAAACCCTGTCTCTATTAAAAATACAAAAAAATTATCCTGGCATGGTGGCGGGTGCCTGTAGTCCCAGCTACTTGGGAGGCTGAGGCAGGAGAATGGCGTGAACCCGGGAGGCGGAGCTTGCAGTGAGCCGAGATTGCGCCGCTACACTCCAGCCTGGGCTACAGAGTGAGACTCTGTCTCAAAAAAAAACAAAAACAAAAACAAACAAACAAAAAAATTTACTCATGATAAAAAAAAAAAACTCCTTTTAAAATCCTTAATATCTTAAAGGTCAAACATGACCATGCAATATCATATTTAATATTTTAAAATATTAAAGTATTTTTGAAGGGGACAAATAAACATTAAATAGAAAGATTTTTCCCAAGCCATTAGGACTCTGTGAAATACAATTCATAACATTATATTTTATAGAAAGCCATATGACTTTTGCCACCCTCCCTTTGTTACCTAAGTAACTTCTGGTTTTTTTCTTTTGTTATTATATTTACATTATATTTATATTTATATTATATATTGTATTATATTTACTTATTATAAATATTCTATGATCGTCTTGTGCAAAAACTTTTGCATTTCAAAATATTTTTCCAGGTTAGATTTCTAGAAGTAGAATTAGAAGTCTAAAAGACATGGGTATATGCAGTGCTAAGTTACTTTTAAAGAAAGTTGGAACAATTTATAACCCTACCAACAGTATTTGAGAGTGTTCATTTTAAACACATGATCGTGGTTGTTTGGCATTTTCAATTAAAAAATATTGTTCACGGTTTTAGGACATGGAATTATGTTTTGTTTTGTTGTTTGTATGATTGTTTTTTCATTGTATATTATGATTGTTTACTTTTTGTTATTAGCAAAGCAAGGCATTTGTCCCAATATTTAGTAATCATTTATATATCAAACTGGTATACATTTGATCATGCATTTGTCCATTTTAGTGCCTTTCTATTGATGTATGTGAGCTGTTTAAATATTATTGATATTTTCATTTCTCATTTTTTGTTTAAAACACTTTTTAAAATGAGATGTCTGACTTTTCGTTTTATTTATAGTGTGCTTTGACACATACTATTTTAAATTTTGATGGATTCAACTATACCGATGACTGTCTTTGAGATAAATGCTGGTGCTTCAACTTGGAAAATCCTGTGACATTCGAGGATTTGAAAAATATATTTAATGTGTGTTTCTAAAATGTTAGCTCTTAGATTTTCTGAAGCACAATTTTCTCTAACCTAACTGAAATTTCTCGTGCAGTATGTTGCTAAGTCTGGATCTAAGTTGCTCTTTTTACAAATAGTTAACGAACAGACCAAGCTATTTGATGAATAAGGACTCCATTTCTACCTGATTCATATTCCTTCTTCCTGGGAAGCTACATTTTTTTCTATAGTAAAGTGTGCTTGGAAGCTATCTAACGGACTATGTTGATATGCTTGTCCACATGAAGCTAATCTAGGTTCTGATGGAAAAGAGACAGGCAGCCCCTGACATCAGGGAGCCACATGGCACACCCAGCCTGGTCTTGGCGTTCTCCTGCTGAGCACAAATGACGTCACAGAACATCAGCATCCGCATCAGACTGTGCCCACCACAGAGTAAGACCAAAACCACCCATGGCGCATCTGAACACAGATCAACCGAAGAACCAAGCCACAGAATGACAATCACCCACCATCCTGGCTGACAGGAGTGCATCCCCACCAGACTGTGCCAGGTGGTGGAGGGAAGATCGCGCCTGAGGCGTGGCAGTTCTGCTGTCCCCCAGGGGAAGGTTGTCCTTATCCCCTCGCTGGGTATTCTGCCAACTTCTAGAGTGGACGAGCTCATGTTCTGTTCCCTCTCTGCTAGTCAGGGCCTGGTTTTGTCCATGTGCCTCCTCCAGGTTCAGAAGAGCAACTGAGTCCCCTGAGCCTCTGTCCTGTCCTTCAGCTGATGCCGGTAGAATCCAGTTCAGCCCCCCAGGGTGTGGCCTCAGCCACTGGTCCTGGCCACCTGGGAGCTTCCAGAGACTCAACGATTCAAACCCAAAGCACTCTCTTTGACCATGCCGCTGACCCTCTGAAATATGTTGGGCCACCTTATGTCTGTCTAGCATAGCCCCCTTTCAGTCAGATCCGGGAAGGGGAAATGAGAACCACAGCTTCCCATAAACTTCTCCCATGGGTGAGGAGGGGGGCCCACCTACTCTCTTTACATTAAAGTCCATGGCCTAATAATCATCATCATGATAATGGCCTCATAGTCCCGGCCTGGCTCTTAGTGTGCTAATCCTTTCTTACAATCCTGCCTCGTCTTGGAGAGTGCACTAGTTCTGTGAAATCCTACTTTGAATTTCATAAGCTGAAATTGCTTTCTTTTCTTTGGATTCCCTCTGTTTTCATGTTAATTTCAACCCTGCTGTTTCTCTGGGAGCCAAGGCTGAAGGATGCCACACTCAGGGGAAAACAAAAGAAAAAAAGCTTTAGTAATTTCCAACTCTTCCTCTCATTCCATTTATCCCTTTGTTCCTTATAGTGGGAGGGTCTGCCAGCGTATGGGACTAGAGCAAGTATGAATGTCATCTATGCAAAACACCCCACGGTGGTAGCACATCATTATATTAAAGTTAAAAGGCAGGGGCAAGGGAAAACAGCCCTGTTTTTCTTTTTCAATTTGGTTAAGTTTTATTTTCCTGATTCATCCAGGAGACCTTTTCTCTATAACTCTGAATATAATTAACCCAGGAGTTGCGTATAAACATCAGCAACCAAGGACCTCTGTAAATTTATGAAAATTAATTGCAGCATGTGCTGTTGATGGACCACCCCGTACCTACTTCCTGCCACACGCACACACCTGAGTGTCCCTGGAGCTTTCGCAGACAGATCCCTGCCCACTGACAGCTTCCCAGCTGTGTCTCACTGGTTCTCTGCCCACGAGGTTGCTGGGCACTGCACCTCAGGTCTTGTTCAGCCCAAGCTCAAGAAGCCCAGAAATTCTGGGATCTAACACTGACACCACCTTTGCAAAAATCATCACAGTGAGAAAATTATGGCAGTGAAAGAGATTTGACCCAACTGACTCCATCTTGCTTCTAATCTCCAAGCTGCCCTTGTTCATTCCTGGGTGTAAGCTGACCTAACTTCAGGAGGAATTTAGTTTACAGTTTAACGTTGAAACAAAGATGATATCACCCCTTTCCTGAAACAAACCTCCTTCTTGCCTGGGGACCAGGCTACTTGTGTAAGACAAAAAAATTAGCCGCAAGATTATAAATTATGGTTTAGGAGTCATGCAGTCAGAGGCCACAAGATTCCAAACCTCCTAGGAATAATATCACTATTGTAAAACCTACTGGTGCTTGAGATATTTTTCAGACCGTGCATTCTAATGCACCATCTGGAGCCACCCAGGCCACTAATTTGGCTCAACCAGTTCTGCAGTCCCACCCAGGAACAGAAGGCAGCAAGAACAACCCACCCACTTCGACCCCCTAAGAGTTCATCTTCAACCTGACCCATCAGCTCCCCCCAACTCCCTGGCCCCCTACCCACCAAATTATTTTTTAAAAACTCCAGTCTCTGAATTTCTGGGGAGACTGATTTGAGTAATGAAACTTCAGTCTCCTGTTTAGCTGGCTCTGTGTGTATTAAACTCTTTCTCTATTGCAATTCCCCCGTCTTGATAAATCGGCTCTGTCTGGGCAGTGGACAAGGAGAACCCGTTAGGTAGTTTGACACCTTTAGGATAAACCCTCCACGAATGAGGCATGAGAATTAGAGATAAATATCCCAGCTTTCCTTCCATCGGAGGGGCAGCCACTAAGCGTGTTCTGCATGATGCTGTGGGGCCGGCCTCAGCTGCCCAGTGGAGATTTGCTCAGCAAACACCATGATTGCATTTCCTTGCTTCTCAGTCTCACCTTCTCCACTCCCTCCTTCATGCTTCTCAGGATGAGCCCCCACCCCTCAAGTAACTCCTGCATTCAAGTCTTTGTGACTGGAAGGTTCCAAACTAAGATATTAGCTGACAACAAGGACACAGTTGTCCTTGTTGCACAGTCAATGAATAAAGTACTGAACTTCAGGGGTTTAGGGCAGTGGTTTCTTTGTGGGGGGGGGTGGGCAAGGTGACTCAAAGCCCGTCTTCATAAAAAACTTTGCATAGAGCAAAATTTTTAAGCTAGAAAAGTGGACAACCAAGAGAAGTAGACAACCATGGTGCTCGAAAAGAATTTGGGAGCAGAGCTACAGGCTCCCGTCTACACACCCCCCGACGGTCACTTCATTTGACTCATTGACCTCCCTTCTATGTCACCCCACCCAGGCACTGAGGGAGAAGGGGAGATTGTGATCCCAGAGGAAGTCTAGCTCCATACAGAAAGTGCACACTCAGCTGCTGTGTCTTTCGGGCCATAGTCTCAGAACATAAGTAAGGCTTTAGGTGGCTGGATGGAGTGTGGAAAATGATCACTGTGGCTCTTATATGAAAGTACAGCACAAAAAGAGACACTTTAAAGAAAATAGAATGGTTTAGTAAAATGCAAAATAATTTTTCATCTTAATGATGGGCCTTTGCCTCTTTAGACATGGTCATTTCCTCATGACTTTATCATCGTATGAAAGCTCCCACTAGGATATTCCATTAGGAGATCCCAATGTATTTCTTAGAATGAAACACATTGATCTGACATCTTTGGCTTCCCTTCGGCACCTTCACTTTAACTTTGAATTAGGTCTACTCTGACCTCTGGAACCTCCTCAGTGCATGTATTCTAAGAGGTGAGTCCAGTATCACTCACAAGTCATTGCATACTATACTGATGAACTGTAGTTGCAATGTGAAATGAAGTCTGCTCTAGGGTCTGACAATTTGGGGACACTTAAGGTCTTCCCACCTCCATGGTGGTACTTAAACAATTGGCCTTTCTTTCAAAGGAGGATCCATGAAAATGTGCAGAAGCATAAACATTTGGAAACCCAGGAAGAGGCTTCCTTAGCCATAAACATATTTCTTAGAGGGAGTGGCACATCCTAGCATCTAATAAAGTGGGAGTGTCTGACGAGGAAAGCAGGCAGAGACCCAGGATCCATTAGGAAGAACAGTCTTATGGGCCCACTCATAGACGGCCCCCTTTCTTGATTTTTTTAAATTAGCTGCTTGTGTAGAGGAAGGATTTGATGTACATGTTGCTACTGGATAATGACCACTCTCAAATATGTGGGGAAATGAGATGTTCCTCCAGCTGGCAGGAAGGCTACCATGTCCATGAGCAAGCCACGAGGATCTGGCCAGGACTTAGAGTGTCGGGGTCAAGAAGGCAGAAGAAAACTCTCTGCAGCTGCAGTCAGGAGCAGGGCCTAACCCCTATCCACAGAACCCCAGCTCTTGGTATGCTCCACATGGTAGGCATGTGCCCTTAGAAATGAAGAGGGCAACCCATGAGCTTAAAAAGTAGGACATGTTGTGGTTAGCTGGCCTAAAGAGAAAAATTTAAAGCACTTTTCTCTTTCAATTACAAATGACTCCCTGAGACAAGCAGGGGTAGGAACATTCATCTTTGCTTCCTGTCCCAAGCCTCAGTTATTTTTGTCTCATTAGGACACCACCCCATTGACTTTTACAGTCAAAAATGAAACAGAGGGCCAAGTGTGGTGGCTCATGCCTGTAATCCCAGCACTTTGGGAGGCCAAGGCGGGCAGATCACCTGAGGTCAGGAGTTCGAGACCAGCCTGGCCAATGTGAGTGAAATCCCGTCTCGACTAACAATACAAAAATTAGCTGGGCATGGTGGCACATGCCTGTAATCCCAGCTACTCGGGAGGCTGAGGCAGGAAAATTGCCTGAACCCGGGAGGTGGAGGTTGCAGTGAGCCAAGATCACGCCATTGCATTCCAGCATGGGCAACAAGAGTGAAACTCCATCTCAAAAAAAAAAAAAAGAAAAGAAAAGAAAGAAATGGAGACGGGTAGTACACAGTTTACAAAACATACAATGGCTGCCTATTTTTGTTCTGGGCTTTCTAGAGCTAGGGGCTCCTGAAGGAATAGAGATTGAATTTAGGAATAGACAATTCAGAAAGACTAAGAAAAAAACTGTATCACAAATGTGTGTGTGTGTGTTGCATGTGTATGTTTTATGTGTGGTATATGGGTGTGGTGTGTATGTTTTTGTGTGTGTGTGTGCATCAGTATGGTGTGTGTGTGTGTGTGTGTGTGTGTGTGTGTGTGTGTGTGTGTGTAGCAAGTTTAAACCATCTCAGAAGCTTTGCTGGCCAAGTCCATTATTATCAGGAGCTCCACTTACCCGAAGTCAACTTGAGCACACCCAGAGAACAGGAAATGGTGGGAAGCTTTCCTTTATAGTTCCCATCTCTTCACCTTGCAGGGCGTCCAGTGTCCACCTTATACAAGAACCCAGGAGCCCTCTCTGGCTTAGGCTCTCACTCACTTTCTTTTTCTGCACTCTCCCACCTGAGTCCTGGTTTCACCATCCCCTCTGTGTGTGGGCCAGGACTGCAAGTCCTGCTTGCATTTTGTGACCAAGCCTGGGTAGTTGTGGGCTTAGTCCCCATCATTTTCAGAGTCAAGCATGATAAGACAAGCTCACTGTCGCTGTGATACTGATCGCCTTGTAATCACTTAAGTCTTACGTATCATGCTAAAGGGGCTTGTCCTCGTGAAAGGTAGGAAAGTGAGGAGAGAGGGGGTTGAAGGGAGAAAGCCATTTATCCCTCCACCTTGTGCACGTGTATATATGCACAAATATACTAGCAAGCATGGGCTTCCCATCCACATGGAATAGAACATGAGCTTCTGTCCCAGATTGGTGTCCCAGGATGGTACCCACCTCCTGTACACTACCTCCTGGGGTGGCAGTGGCCCTTGGTGCTCCAGGTACATACCCTGGATTCTGATGGTGCTGGTTGAAGCCTCAGCTCCCACCCTGGAAGAAGGAGTTGGTGCCACCCTCCATTTCTGAGAAGGTTGCCTTTCCTTCTAGTATAGCTCTATTCCCCCCCAAGAAACTCAACCACCAGTTCAGAAACAACTCCCCTTAGCCCAGGTATGCCCTGAACCTCAAACAAGAGCAGTGTCCTGGGAGACCCTGTCTTTAATCTAGGGCAGAAGCTGGGGGCTGGCTTCCCTGCCTGAATGCCAGCAGCCTCCTTCTCCCTTTCTCCTTGTTCAGTCTCTAAACCTTGACTCTCTAGTGATGACTAAGATCCAGAGGAGCATCTTCTCTAGAATCTTCTAGAATCCTAGCTGCCTGGAGCCCCCCCATGGCTGCTACATCCACTGTTGGTTCTCTTCACGGGTACCATTTGCAGGAAGTAGTCAGTTTTGCCACAAGCAAAGTAAACAGGTGGAAAGCTTTGCTTGTTTAAATGCATAGTGGCTGTCTTGGAAAACTTCTGCTTGGGAGATTTTCTTTTGATTTGTTATTCTGTCCAGTTCTCTGACCATATATGGCCTGAGCTGATGAATTTGCGAATGCTTAAAGGGACTGCCAATTTGATGGGGAACCCAGGTGCCCTTGTCCTGAAACCTAGAGCAGGTATCACAGGAATTACACTTCCATCGCCGAGGAAAAAGATTATATATATATTTTTAAACAGTCTCACTCTGTCACCCAGGCTGGAGTGCAATGGCATGATCTCAGCTCACTGCAACCTTTGCCTCCCAGGTTCAAGCGATTCTCCTGCCTCAGCCTCCCAAGTAGCTGGGATTACAGGCGCCTACCACAACACCCGGCAAATTTTTTGTATTTTTAATAGAGATGGGGTTTCACTATGTTGGCCAGGCTGATTTTGAATTCCTGATGTCAGGTGATCCACCCACCTCAGCCTCCCAAAGTGCTGGGATTACAGGCACGAGCCACTGTGCCCAGCCAAGATTCTATTTTTTTTTTTTAAAGAATTTCCAACTTTGTATTAGGGGCCTTCTAGATAACTCTCTATGCCCCGAATCCTTTCTAGGACTATTCCTGGAAACAAAGAACTAAAGTCAGCAGAAAATCCTAAGAAGCTCCATCAGCTCATTATTCAGCTCATGGTCTTGATATGTTTGGGGAATGTAGAAGATTTTGCAGGAAACTTTGAAACTAAATGCCACCTGAAGCCACTGACATTTCTGAAATCAGCATTGGCCGCTAAAAGACCACAGCCATTGCCTAGAAATGGCATGGCTCTAATTTGAGGGTCTGTAGCCAGCTCACGGTGTAGACCTGGAGTATCCAACTGTTAGCAGTCTCTGCCACAACTCAGGTTTGCAAGAAATATGATTGCCTTTATCCTGTAGCTTCAGATTAATTTCTATTTAGACCCTCAGCTCTGTCGGAGTGAAGAAAACAGTCTCAGTCTATATGGGCTCCTCAAGAATGCAGGTCCTTTAAAATTGCGTATCACCAAGCATTCTGGTGGGACTGCAGGGCGGGGCTCTCTAGATTCGGGTTGTCAACCCATGCAGGTGTGCCTTCATCTGCCCTTAGCTACTGAGCTGCACAGGTCTCTGCGGAGAAAGGGAGCAGGCCTGGAACTATCAGTTGGTCCTGAAAGTTGCTGGGAGCTGTGTGACTCTCACCACAGGTCCTGGGTGTCCTGTTGAACAGAATTTCGCAGAGCATTCACACCACACCAGGCCACTCTGTGACCCTCAGACGAGCGCGCTCCATCATCATACCTGAACAGAGACAGAGCATGAGGATTGCCCATGCCGCAAAGTGAGCAAGCGTGATGTGCCTCAGCTGCCTCTTTCCCAGGGAGATTTAGTCTCTGCACCCCCTCCTCCTTCCAGATAAAAATAAGCATGCACTCAGAGAATCACGCTTGCTTCCTGCAAGCATCCAACCTGGATTGGTGTCCCGGTTCTTTGACCCCTTCCCTGCATTACCTAACATGAGCCCAGGCTCTATAATAGGTCCTTCCAATGCCTCTTACCTACGTGCCCATGATTCTTCTGCCTACTGCAATGTGTCAGTGAAACCAACTGAGTTCAACTGCAGCTGTGCTCCTGGTGGTTTGGCTGGAGGGCACTGGCCTTGCTACCATGAACTATCTGTCTGCCCACCTGGCCCCTTCAAGTGCAGCTCTCAGCATCACTGTGGGGGAGGAAACATGCATTTGTTTCAGTGCCACCCTCTCTCAGGCACAAAAACACCTCCATGGTTACCCAATGTCTTACCTGCCCTGACCCCACTGACAGCACCTGGTCTCAGCCCCTCCAGGGCCCACCCGAGAGTGGCTCTGTCTGAGACCCACCAACATTCTCTCTCCTCAACATTTATCCATTTCCTTCCCCCAGTCCAGAGATGCGTTCCTGTCTCTAAGGAAACCCCACCCATATTTCTGAAACGTTTTGTCCATGCTGTAAACCTTTTATGGTGTTTTAAGGGCTTAGGCTTTTAAAGAGAAGATTTATTCATTCTGCTTTATTTATTTGTCTATTTATTTATGATTTGTGCCCCGTCCCATGTCTCCTCTTTAGCTCAAAGCTACAGATCTACTTGAATGAAGACAGGGTGCTGGGGGGAAAGGGAAGAGGAAAATATGAAGATAAAATAAAAAATGGGCTGGGTGTGGTGGGGCTGTAATCCCAGCACTTCAGGAGGCTGAGACAGGAGGATCACTTGATCTCTGGAGTTTAAGACTAGCCTGGGTAACAAAGTGGGACCCCATCTCTATTTAAAAAAAAGAAAAAGAAAAAATGTGTGTTCATAATTTTATTTAAATGAGAGTCTCTTCATTGCTAAGAGCTTTTAAATGTCAAATTAAAAACAACTGTGATGATCTTAAAAAGTCAAACTCATAGAAGCAGAGAGTAGGATGATGGTTGCAGGGACTGAGGAGCGGGAATGGGGGGATGTTGGTTAAAGGATCCAAAATTTCAATTATGCAAGAGGAATAAGTTCTGGAGACCTAATGCACAGCCCGGTGTCTAGAGTTAATAATTGATATGGTTTGGATCTGTGTCCCCACCCAAATCTCGTGTTGAAATGTAATCCCCAATGCTGGAGGTAGGGCCTGGTGGGAGGTGATTGGATCATGGGGGCAGAGTTCTCATGAATGGCTTAACACCATCCCCCCACACGGTACTGTCCTCGCGAAAGTGAGCAAGTTCTCGTGAGATCTGCTTGTTTAAAAGTGTGTGGCACCTCCCTGCCCCTTCCTCCTGCTCCCACTATATGAGATGCCAGCTCCCCCTTTTTCCTTCTGCCATGGTTGTAAGTTTCCTGAGGCTTCCCCAGAAGCCAAGCAGATGGCAGAATCATGCTTAATGTACAACCTGCAGAACCGTGAGCCAGTTAAACCTCTTTTCTTTATAAATTCTCCATTGTCAGGTATTTCTTTATAGCAGTGCGAGAGCAAACTAACACAATACTATATCATATAATTGAAATTTGCTAAGAAAATGGATCTTAAAACGTTCTCACCACACACAAATAACTATGTGAGGTGATGAATACATTAATTAGCATGATTGTGGTAATCATTTTACAAGGTACACACATATCAAAATATCATATGCACCATAAATATACACAATGTTTCTTTGTCAATTACATTTAAATAAAATTGGGGGAAGATACAGACAGGAAAATAATAAAAATGCAAACTGGAAAAAGACCCAATAGCAAACAATTAGGATGAATATAATCTTAAGAAAACCTGACTTTTGATTGGCCAAGAGATGCTAAACTATCTCTGTTGACTAACAATGGTATCCAACAATCACAGTCCATGAGTTTTGCAAATATTCTGGTCATGCTTTTTGAAATAGAAGGGAAATAATTTTTGGCAATAACTGTTTAAATTTCTGAAAAAAATACTAGTGGGACCAAAAATAAAATCAAATTTAAGGAAATTGACCCTAGGCCTGTAAATATTTGTAACTTAAGGCATAATGGGTCATTTTACTGGAATCACATGCTAGAAAAAGATCAGATCACAAGCCAGAGAATTCTGTGATGTGGCTGAACACAAGGGCCCTTCACTTGAGTTCTGTGGGAGAGAATTTACTGGTATTCTAGACACTCAGCTAAAAGGAGTGTCGTGTGACTTTGTGCGGTCACACGGAGCTCAGGAAGGTCAGGGATAGAGGAGTTGAGTGCATGGTTTTGCGGTTGTGAGAAAATTATGTACAAGTTGGTTGGAGGAGGTTTTAAGTATTTATTCCAGTGAGAAAAGAGAGTGAAAAGCTTATTCACATGTTTTTTAATCCACTATGAAAAGGATGAATGGTCTTTCAAACCTGTTCATTGGATCCACTGTTGGCTAAGGGTTTCATTAGGCCAGACCGAGACATTTGAGAATTGGGTTTTTTGATGGCCCTTCCTTCATCCAGGTTCTTGTTGAAATCTGGGTACTCAGTTAATATGAACAAAACAAATAACAGTGTGCTTCTACCCTGCTACCTTCCAGAGCCTCTTGAAAGTGTGGTCACCTCTAGGAAGCTGCTCATGTTTCTCTCTGTTTGCCCGAAACAAACAGCATTTATTCTTGCCATCCTACTGAGAATTCTCAGAATTGAACAAAGACTCTGTGAACGTTTATCACATTTTTGTGAAACCCCACTATGTTATGTTTTTGCAAAATGTTTTAACATTAGTCACAATTCACTCGATAGTCTTTGTAATTGACCTCTGGCCCTGAGATCAATGCCTCCAGCTAGAAAAATGAACACTTCAGCTGCCATCAGCATGGGGCAGGAAACCATTAGTCTGTCACAGTGTCCTATTCATTGGTATCAGCTTGAAATTAATGGTGAATTACAATGAAATACCAACAGGACTACTCATGCCATGTCCAATAAGCACTCGACCACCCTGGAGCCTGTGCAGTGTCTCCTGCTGACACGAATTCAACTCCTTGGCATGATGTACTTCAAAGGCAAGTCTCAGCTCCCCCAGTTAACAGCCCCAGAGAAAAGTCCAATGGGCCTGTGCATAGGACATGTTGAGCACTTGATAGGAAATGTCCCTTCATTCGTTCCCCTCTGTAGCCTTCTACCCCATCCGTGTCTGGGTTTATGGTTTGAAAATAGACCACAACGTTCAACCCTTCTTGAAGCCATTCTGTGAGCTCGCCTTGTAGAATGCATATCTCTTGCTCAGCCACATAAAAACATGGAGGCCTTGAGTGCTGGAGAATAAGTCCCCGCATGCTGTGTGAAATGACAATCCAGGCAAAACCAAACGGTGCAATAATCCCTACATGCATTTGGACATTTCAATAGCTTCTTTCCAGGTTTTTCTAATTTCTGGGTAAGTTATTCAAGTTAAAATTTTCTCTCAATCTATTGTCCAGTTCTGCTGATTCCCCGCATGCGTGGGCGACCTGCTATCTGGGTCACCCAACTCTAGGCTATTGACAAGGTCCTTTTAATGTTTCAGCAAACAGGACTCTGGGTGGGTTCTAAGCTAGATTTTTGTTTTAGAGTGAATACATGTCCACCTCAATTGCCATTGCTTTTTTTTTTTAAGCATTAATTACTTTTCCCATTGTGAATGTCATACAAGGTCAATATAGAAAATTTGTAATAAAGAAAACTAACCTTTATAGTCTTAGTAAGCAAAGCCAATCATGGTCAATATTTGGAGAGCTTTGTACAACACTTTTTCAGTGCAGGGTTGAGTGTCTTTGTTTTGTCCATATTCACACTAGACACAGTACAGCATGGTATTCAGGAAATCAGTTCTGGGGTCATACAGCCTGGGTAAGTGCCCCAGCTAAGCCTGGTAGTATCATCTTGACAAAATTTGTTAACGCCCTAAGATTTGTCTTCTTAATCTGCGATGTGGAAATAAAAATGCTATTTGCTTTAAAATTAAAACATAGTTGGAACCCCAAAGGATCATTAAAGGGATTAAAAGCAAACAAAATATATATAAATTGCACTTAACACAAAAGGAGGCTGGGTGTGATGGCTCACACCTGTAATCCTAGCAGTTTGGGAGGCCGAGGCAGATGGATCACTTGAGGTCAGGAGTTTGAGACCAGCCTGGCCAACATGGTGAAACCCCATCTCTAATAAAAACACAATTAGTCAGGTGTGGTGGTGCATGCCTATAATCCCAGCTACTTGGGAAGCTGAGGCACAAGAATCACTTGAACCCAGGAGGTGGAGGTTGCAGCGAGCCGAGATCATGCCACTGCATTCCGGCCTGGGCGACAGAGCTAGACCGTGTCTCAAAAACAAAACAAAACATAAACGGAGCGTAATAAATGTAAGCTCTTTTATCATTATGAATACAATAATACATTCTTCCTTTTCTACTTTTTTTCTCCCTGACATTTCTGTCATTATCACATGAGCATTTTTAATGACCTAACATGCTCCCAATATCATTTTTATGAATACAGGATAATCTATGTACATTTTGTTCTTATTCATTTAATAAATATTTATTGACTCTCTACTACAAGTTATATAGTACAGTCATAATGGAAATGGACATATAAGTAAAAAGCATCCCTGCCACAAAGAATTCACAGATGAGGAAGCAAATAGATAGATAAATACAGAGACAGGTAATCACAGTGGGATGTGATCCTCGAATATTAGAGATTTGATCAAGAAGTAAGTCCTGAGTGCTCACCGGGGAGATGGGACTCAGACCGCACTCTGCAGGAGATAATTGTAATTGACTTAGCCATTCCTCTAATGTTGAACATTTAGATGATTTCCATTTTCACTTCATTAAAAATACTATTAAACATTATTAAAATTAATATGTAGGGGCATACATGCTTTTCAGAATGTTGTTTTTCTTTATGATAGAGTCTCCAAAGTGGAAATTGTTGCTAGTCCATTTTCAGAAGCAGCATGTAAGAGATTGCTTCATTATGCTTCAGAGAGCATTGAACAAATTTTTTAAATACTCTGAAAACAATCTTGATATTATTTTAATTTGCATTTCTTTGATAACTAGGCATGTGGTGACCTTGTTTCCATATTTATTCATCATTTCTATTTCTCTTCCTGTAAGTATCAATTAACACCATTAGCATGTTTACCTCTGGAGTTTCTACTGTTCTTATTGACATTTATGAACTCTGTTTGTATTGTAATATTAGCTCTTTGTCTCTTATGATTATTGCAAATATTGCTCTCTGATTTTTTGCCTTCCTTTTAATTTTAATAACCCATGCTTTTTTGGAATGCACCAGCTTGGGGATGAAAATAGGATTATAATAACAATAATAAAGTTTTATTTCTTGGACCTACCTCACCTTCTATTGCAGAACTTTCTGCATATTGGATTCATCCTTCTTTTTAGGCTGTTTTGTGTGTTCTAGGTTTCAGGACCCTCCAAATGGAGAAAATAATCCATCTTCCCTGTGGGTACGATATATTGTGTTACATGGACTGATGCAGTTTGTCTGAAGAGAGGACCATACCTACATGTTTTGAAAAAGCTCTGCAGGTGGTTTTGGCACCTAGTCCTAATTAAGAACTACCACCTAAGAAAATGAACTGAACACAGGTAATGTCAGACTCTGCATTGAGTAATAAATCCAATAGTACACATAAAGCATGGGGGTGGCCATGGCTTAGCCACTGCTATGTGTTTTAACTGAGAGGAGTCCTAGTAGGAGCTAGCAGAGAGATGTGGCTGCCAGCAATCATAATTTGATGTCAGGCGTAGTGGAAAGGAGCTCAGTGTCAGGGTGCAGGTGGTGACAAATTCCACATAATGAACTTGTGAATACTTAAATTAATAGCAATGAGGAGAAGGCTCAGGGTGCCCAATTTTGGCATGACAGAAGAAAAAAAATGTCCTCGCAGCCTGAACAGCTCAAAGATGGGATTACTTGCCCTAGGAGGTAATGAGTTCCCCGTCACTGAAGATGCTTGATTGGAGGCTGGAGGGCACTTGGCATGGCGACATCATGGAACACACCGGGAAGAAAGTCAGTGAGTCAATGGTCACTGCATATCCCTCTTTTTTTTTTTCTTTTTCTTTTTTTTTTTGAGACAGAGTCTCACTCTGTCACCCAGGCTAGAGTGCAATGGTATGGTCTCAGCTCACTGTAACCTCCGCCTCTTGGGTTCAAGCGATTCTCCCACCTCAGCCTCCCGAGTAGCTGGGACTACAGGTGCATGCCACCACACCCAGCTAATTTTTGTATTTTTAGTAGAGACGGGGGTTTCACTACGTTGGCCAGGCTGGTCTCGAACTCCTGACCTCGAGATCTGCCCGCCTCGGCCTCCCAAAGTGCTGGGATTACAGGCGTGACCCACTGCGCCCAGCCTATATCCCTCTTTTAAAACCCTAGCAACTCATCACAGAAGGAAATGAGTGTTGTTCAGTCAGTAAAGCTTTCCTTGCTTTCTTATTTGGGATTAACTACTCCATCAAAAATATATCCCACAGTAGAATTATTTCTGGGATCAATGTCAAGCTAATTGAACTACAGTTTGCAAAGCCCACCATATTCACATTCTCGTTGGGGACACAAAAATGAGTTACTCGTACTCAGTTTCATTTACTCCTGGTCTCTGTGATCCCTCAAAGATGCCTCCTACTCCACAGTTCATCTAAAACCCTCCCATCGACTGTCTGTGCAAACCCAGGTCCTCTCGTCTTCTTGAGGTGCTTTTATGGCCCTTAGAACCCAATGCAAGATACTTGGCACTTTTATACAGATTCCTGTTAACTGCAAGCTAAATGCTTATGAAATTCGGGTTGGACCAATCAGAAGCTTGGGAAGGCACGAGGTCCCTGAGTATGTTAGTGAAGGTTCCCAGAGAAATGGCCAAAGAGCACATGGTGCCTACAATAACTCTGAAAGTTTGCTGGTGGTAGGGATGCTTCCAGAAGAAGCAGATCTTCTAGCACATTCACCTGGTGCTGGGAAAGAGACCTTGGACCTTCCCAGCAACCTACTGTGGAAGCAAGAGGTGTGGTGAGCTTCTGAATGCCTTGAAGCCAGCAAAGCTGATCTCACTTTGGAGGTAGGAGGCTGGCTTGCTAAGAAGGCCTTGCACGATAGTAGTTCCTAAAAGAGTGATGTCTCCTAGAGGCAGTGGGTACCTTGGGAGATTTTTAATCAAGATTGTGTCAGGTGGGTTTTCAGTAGAGTCAGGAAGCTAGGGATAAAATAGAAACAAGGCAGGGGGCCAGTGACTCACACCTGTAATCCCAGCACTTTGGGAGACCGAGGCAGGCGGATCACCTGAGGTCAGGAGTTTGAGACCAGCCTGACCAACATGGAGAAACCCCATCTCTACTAAAAATACAAAATTAGCCAAGCGTGGTGGCACATGCCTGTAATTCCAGCTACTTGGGAGGCTGAAGCAGGAGAATCGCTTGAACCTGGGAGGCGGAGGTTGCGGTGAGCCGAGATCACGCCATTGCCCTGCAGCCTGGGCAGCAAGAGCGAAACTCCATCTCAAAAATAAAAAAAAGAGAGAAACAAAAGTGGAGGGCTAGCCTTGGAAACAGAGGGAGGTCCCTGCGAGACAGGAGAGGAAACTATGAGGATGTGGTGAAATGGAACAAAGCTGAGGAAATACCTAGTTAATGAAAGAAAATGCAAATTATTTGATGAGAGTTTAGGGGCTAGATAATGATTTCTTAACAAGAAAGCTGAAGTCTATCAAGTGCTTTCTAAATATCAGACACCTTATAATGGGTAGAATTGTCTACTCCAAAAAGATGTTATAACCCCTGGTCCCTGTGAATGTAACCTTATTTGGAAATAGAGACTTTCCAAAAGTAATCACATTAAGATGAGGTCTTACTGGATGAGGTTGTACTGTATTAGTGAAAACCCTACCCCAGTGACTGGTGACATTATAAGAAGAGGGAAATTTGGGCACACACAGAGGAGGCAAAGGAAAGAGGGTCCCATGAACACAGAGGCAGGAATTGGAGTGAGGCATCTACAAGGCTAAGAGCACTAAGGGTTGCTGGAAAACCCAGAAGCTAGGAGAGAGGCATGGAGCAGATTCTTCCTCAGAGCCTCCAGAAGGAACCACCTGCTGACACCTTGATTTTGGACTCCTAGCTTTCAGGACTAGCAAGAGAATAAATCCCTGCTGTTTGAAGCCACCTGGTTAGTGGTCATTGGTTAAGGCAGCCCTGGGAGACTAATGCACCTGTTTAGCGCTTTACCTGATGACTATTTGGAATGTTTGCGGTAGAGAATGAAAAGAGAAATGAAGACGAATAAGAAAAAAAAAAGTTAGTCAAGCAAGACTGAAGGCTCAGCTGAGACAGGCAATGAGACGGTGCCAGCAGCCTTGGTGATGGGGGATTTCATCTCACGCTCCTCCTAAGTGGGCAGTCAGTGTGGAGAACACAGAGGTCTGGAATGTTCTGCAGCTGGAGATTGTTGAAACAGATTGAGGGGAAAGAAAAGGGAATGAGAATTGGCTGTGTTGCCGCGAATTCAGGGCTGGGCCATGGATTGAGGTTTAAAAAGTAGAAGGGGAAGCCTGGGGATTTCTGTGGGTGTGGGGTGGTCTGAGAGAAACCAGCGTGAGCTTCCCCTGCTGGACTTGGTGGGTGCAATGGGTGGAAATACAGTGGGGGCTTTTCCTTCTCTGCTCGGAGACAATCACCCTGTGACCCCTTTACTCCTCTGCTTAATGTCCCAGCCAAAGCCAGCAAAACGTCTCACCCTCAGATTCCAGAATTTCCGGGACTGAGGGGCTGGGGACGGGGAGGCTGCCAGCAGGAATAAATGCCCTGCAGCCGTGCATTCTGAATTTCCAATTAACAGCCAACAAGTATTTTTATTGTGTGGATTTTGTCTTTCTCTAAATGCCTCCTCCTTGGCTCAAAGCTTTGCAGAATCAAAAAGACCCCCAGAGGCCCCCAAAGACCGTTGTCTAAAGTGGATTTGGTCTCCTGTTTGTGTCTGGCAGCAAGAAAAGGGTATGACACTGATGATGAAAACAGGGAGAATTGCTTATTCCAGGCTTAAATCATTGTTTGCTGCTAAACATTTGTATTTTTGTGTTTTGTATTGCTAGGTATGTAATTGGCAAGCATGCAAATTAGGCAAGATAATGAGCTGCAATTTCTTCTACTCTAAGGAGGGTATTTGTGATTAAAAGGAATAAGAAACACTGGATATTCAAGCTACTGAATAACGCAGAGGAGCCTATTACACTTTTTAGGAAGAGGAACTCATTACTTGTTTCAATTAGCACCTGCAACAGTGGGTCTTGGCATTTTGGGGCATTCCTTGCCCTAGGTACAAGTTTAAGGAAGAAACAGAGTTAGCAAGTCTCTCCCAGCGGATAAAGAGAAATGATTTGGGGCAAGTCATTAGCAGAGTGTCTGCCCATGGATTTCCTGACATTTTCTTCAAAGGGGAAAAGAGAAACTCCTCTTGTTATTAGCTTCCGATGAGTGTGCTCTGAGCACGGCGTTAGTAAGTTGAGTGGGCATGATTCACACTCAGGCCTGGGAACCAGTCAGCAGCAAGGTCCATACAGCAGGGTGAGTCTCTGAAGTGTGACCGAGGTGCTCATGGCTATCAGAGGGGCAGCACCTATCTGTGTCTTGGAACCTTCACTGATGGGAACAAAGTCATTGCTTCCTTCAAGAGCTGCAAAGCCTTGTTGGACATCAAGAAAGCATCCTCAAAGTTCCTGGTACTTTACCAAGCATGGCCCACAGTGACCATGTGGGTTAAACATCATGGACCTGATTTTTGCCATGGAGGAGGATGAGGCTTGGAGAGGTTATGTTGCTAGTCATTGTTTGAGTACCTGGCCAGGCCCTGTGCTGGGACCCTCTGGCTCTCCCGCAGGGAGTGAGTATGCTGACAGCTACCCTAGGTTGAAGATGCTTGCCCAAGAGGAGGTATAAGAGTGGGGAAGGGAAGGGACAATGAGAACCTTGTTTAACTGGAGGAGGATGGGACAAGGCCGGGGGGAGGGAAGGAGACTCAGGAGGGAAGAGGGAATCACAAAGGTGAGCGTCTTCACCTGCTGCTGGGACCTCTCATTCATACCGGGTATGGGGGATTAGTGCCGTGAGTTAATGTGACGGGCAGAAGCAAACAGGAGCTACCGCCACTTAAGCCCCTGTGATGACTGACTGTTTTGACCCCACTGTACTCCAGTTTAGAAGTGACCTAACCAGTGATTCTCCAGAACATCGGTGCTTGAAGGGATCTAAAGGGCTCTGTGCTGAAAGATGAGCAGATTTATGGAGCCAAGAGAGGCCAGGGTGGAGTCTCGGAGGCAGAGCCAGATGGCAGGAGAGACTGGGGAGCAACTCATCCCTAGGTAGGACTGGCTGTGGCCTCTGCTTGCTACACAGCAAGCCTGCCAGTTTTCTGTCATCCAAACTGACTGCTATCATCTGATCTCCAACTCCTGTCCCCTGTTCCCCATTCTGCAGGACTGAGCTCCTGACCCTCTGTCCTGCCCTGGTCCCTGGCTCTGGGGGTGTCATCAGCTAAGACAGGTTCAGTTATGCTGCTAGAACCACCTACAGTCTAAGCCACTGGAAACAGCATGAGAATGTGTCTTGCTCACAGGACATGATGACAAGAGCCTCTGCTTCTTACAGTGACTCAGGGCCTCAGGCTAAGTCAAAACCCTCCCAGATGCTGCTGGTGGACGTGCAGAGGGGAAGTGAGTCCTGGAGGATCTTAAACCAGAGCCAAGAGCATGGCCTAGAGGTGACACTCATCCCTTCTGCTCACAACTCAGGGGCCAGAACGGGACCTCTGACCCTACTCAACACCAGGGGGCCAGGACAAACAGTCCTGAACATCCTGCCATTATCGGAAGGTTGGATATCAGGATAGTTTACTGGGCAGCCTTGCTGACCAGCACAGGTGTCTGGTGAGGCTCCTGACCAGCAGCAGCCCAAGCTCTGACAGTGCCACTTGCACAATCGTCCAGATAAGTTAAATTAACACGTCTGTGGCTCCCTTTCCTGGGCTCCCAGTGCTCCGCGGGTGTACTCGGGGGAGAGTAATAAATGGGACAGACACAGCCCTTACTCTTGAGGCGATTGCAGTGTGGTATGAAGACTTGGCAGGAGGCTGAGTGCAGGATTGACCCGTGTTTCTGTGAGACTGCAGTGGGCCTACATTCTATGCCCTGCCCCCCACCCCCTTTTTTTTTTAGTTTTTATTTTCAGATGAAGTCTTGCTCTGTCGCCCAAGCTGGAGTGCAGTGGCACGATCTCGGCTCACTGCAACCTCTGCCTCTCAGGTTCGAATGATCCTCCCACCTCAGCCTCCTGAGTAGCCGGGACCACAGGCATGCACCACCACTCCCAGCTATGTGCCTCCCCTTTTTTATAGGAGAGAAGCTTCTAGGGTTTCTCTTCACAGAGAGATAGAAAGCCACGTTGGAGCAGGTCTCCTGTGCTGCAAGGTTCAGGACAGTGCCCTTCCTTGGTTCTATAAATGTTCCCTTGCCATGTGGATATTTACTTTATTGTGCCAGGCTGGCTCAGTATGCAATGCTTCTGTTAAAACATTTCTACAAGAACTGTGTGTGTGTCTGTGTGTGTGTGTGTGTATGTGCATGAGTGTGTGCATGTGTATATGCGTGTGTGTTTGTATGTATGTGTCTGTGTGTATGTGTAAATGTGTGTGTCTGTGTCTGTGTGTATTTGTGTCTATGTGTCTGTGTGTCTGCGTGTATGTATATGTGTCTGTGTGTGTGTATGCATGTGTCTGTGTGTATGTGTATGTGTGTGTCTCTGTGTGTGTGTATGTGTGTGTCTGTGTATGTATATGTGTCTGTGTGTATGTGTGTATGTATATGTGTCTGTGTGTGTGTGTATGTGTCTGTGTGTGTCTGTGTGTGTATGTATATGTGTCTGTGTGTATGTGTATGCATCTGTGTGTGTGTGTATGTATATGTGTCTGTGTGTCTGTGTGTGTGTATGTGTATGTGTCTGTGTCTGTGTGTGTGTGTGTGTGTGTGTGTGTGTGTTTTGGGGGAGGAGGGACCTAGGTTTCAAGAAAAGGATGAAATCCTCAGATCCTTACTTCCAAGACTCTTTGTGGAGAAAACCTCTTGATGAATAATGGAGTGACTCAGTCAAGGTTCACTGGTAGAAAAGGACCCCAAGTTCACCATGAGGTCCTCATGAGAGAGGGAATCTGGGCTAATAAACTGGTTTTACCATCGGGCAATAAGGCAGAGTTTTTCAAAGTGTGATCTGCCAAGAAAGTGCATCTTCTCTCCTGATGTGACTGTTAAAATGTGCATCACCCTTTATCCTTGACATTGAATCATAATGTGCTGGGGAAGACCCTGGAAATTTGCATTTAAAAAATAAGCCTATTTCAGTGCTTCTCAGGGCCCTAAGGTTTGCACACCTCTGGCCTGTGTATTTGTGGAGTAGAGCTTGTTCTGAAACAGAGCAAAGGGCCGTGGTTGGGATGCATTGCCAAAGATCATGAAGATGAACTGAGAGCCACTCAGGGCTCAAGCCCTGGCCCACGGCAGCACTGGTAGGGATCTGGGCCACGGGGTGTTGTACACCAGTGAATAAGCCTTTACCAAGCACCACAGGGCTGATGTCCAGCAGTGGCCGCTAGTGACCGTGGCAGAAATGACAGCACTATTGGACTGATAAGGAGTTTATTTCTTTTGCATGGTCTAGCAATGGAAGCAAACACTATCAGAATAGGATGGTAATATAGTTTGGATGTTTGTCCCCTCCAAATCTCATGTCACATTGTGATCCCCAGTATTGGAGGTGGGGCCTGGTGGAAGGCGTTTGGATCATAGGGGCATCCCTCATAAATGGCTTGGTGCCCTCCCCATAGTAATCCATGAGTTACTGCTCTTTTCAAATGAGAGCTGGTTGTTTAAAAGAGCCTGGCACCTCCTCCTCTGTCTCTTGCTCCCTCTCTCACCATGTGAGACACTTGCTGCGTCTTCACCTTCCCCCATGAGTAACAGCTCCCTGGGGCCTCACCAGAAGCAGATGCTAGTGCCACGCTTCCTGTATAGCCTGCAGAACCACGAGCCACTTTTAAAAAATAAATCAACAAGCCTCGGGTATTTCTTAACAGCAACACAAAATGGACTAACACAATGGCCTCCCCAGGATAGACAACATTTGGATAATTTGCATGGGACTGGGTTTGGTCTTGTGGATTCAACAGTAAAATCTTTGATTTCCAGCTAATTAGGGAACATGCAGCTTGTCTCACTTTGGAAAAATAACAGAAGCAAATGCACTTATATCTGAGGCAGGTAAAGGGGCTCATGCCAGGCACATCTAAGCAATCTCTGTACTTGGTAGGAGGTCTTCCACTGCATGGCAATTACAAATATCTGCTTGGCTGGCTTTCAGCCTCCTCTCAGGGATAAACACATCGAGTGACCAGAGGGCTCAAATCCTACCTGCACCTGAAGTCTCTGAAACATAAGCTCTAAATATGTTCCTTGCTCCTGGCAGTGAGAACAAGGTGCTTGAGGTGAGGTGGATTCACGAGGAAGGCTGCCTAGACAGACCTCTTTTTTCCTTTTACTGAGAAGAAAGGACAGCTTTAGGCACATGTTGGGCTTGATTCCTCACCGTAGTTACTGGAATCACATAACTTTGGAATTGAGGACCTCCTACTGCTACTACTTCGAGCTATCTTTATTTTGTGTCATGTGCCAACTAAAAGGGCAAGTTGAGTATAATATTCATCTCTGCAGTATTTTTAGCCTCCCTGGACCAATACCCACCCTTCTTATTGTCTGGTAGCTCTCTTTTTTCCAGCCTCTCTCTTAACTCTGAGAAAGGATAATTAGAATTTACGTAACTATTGCTAAGTGGATTTCTCAAGCTAGACTTTTTCTCTTTGAGATGTAAGATTACTGTTGGGGGAAAAACTGGCCCTTTTTAAGATATGGATTTATTTATTCATTTATTTATTTTTGAGACAGGGTCTCGCTCTTTCACCCAGGCCGGAGTTCAGAGGTGCGATCTTGGCTTACTGCAACCTCCACCTCCTGGGTTCAACCGATTCTCTTGCCTCAGCCTCCTAAGTCGCTGGGACCACAGGTGCCCACCACAACGCCTGGCCAATTTTTTGTATTTTTAGTAGAGATGGAGTTTCGTTATGTTAGCCAGGCTGATCTTGAACTCCTGGCCTCAAGTAATCCACCCACTTTGGCCTCTCAAAGTGCTGGGATTACAGGCATGAGACATGCCTGGCCTGGCCCTTAATTTTTCTTCAGTATCAAATCTCTGACCACCAACTGCAATCGTGAGAAAGATCACAACAAGCTGATTTTAAAACAGTGTGATAGAGGTGAGGTTTAGAAATAGGGAAACTTCCTGGAATACCTTCTAAAAAAATCCAACACTCCTATCTCTATAGAGCTTTAATAAAAAGGATTAAGATGCATCATACAGATGAGGTGGTAGACAGTGAGACCAGAGGAGAATAAAAGACAAGGTAATGTGTTAATTACATCAGACACAGGAGATTGTAGGACCTCAGAATTGTTGCCTTAGGCAGAATTAGCATGTACATTTTGGCTTATAGGCTGCTAATATCTTTTCATTCTTGTTCCAAGACCCAGCCTCTCTCTCCAGGAAGGTCAGTAATTTTCAATGGAGCTCAGGGCTCTTCAAGGAGCTAAGGGAAGAAGACACCTACCCAGCCAATCAAATTACCTTCAGTGTGGACATGGGAAGCTACTCCTCCTATTGCTTCTTCTACTGTCTTAATGTTCCACTATTTTTCCCTGATCATTTTGTTTTCATTTGATAAATTTCCTTTAGTCACTCTTTAAAGGTAGCTCGGCTAATGATAAATTCTTTTAGTTTTCCTTAGGCTGAAGGGATCTTTATTTCCCCTTCATTCCTGAGGTATAGTTTTGCCAGATAAAGAATTCATGATTGACAGTTTGTTGTTGTTCAAAAATTGAACTGATTTGAAAAATGTGCCACGGGCCGGGTGCGGTGGCTCACGCCTGTAATCCCAACACTTTGGGAGGCCAAGGCGGGTGGATCACGAGGTCACGAGATCGAGACCATCCTGGTGAACACGGTGAAACCCTGTCTCTACTAAAAATACAAAAAATTAGCCGGGCGTGGTGGCGGACACCTGTAGTTCCAGCTACTAAGGGAGGCTGAGGCAGGAGAATGGCATGAACCTGGGAGGCGGAGGTTGCAGTGAGCCGAGACTGTGCCACTGCACTCCAGCCTGGGCAACAAAGCGAGACTCCATCTCAAAAAAAAAAAAAAAAAAGAAAAAAGAAAAATGTGCCACTTCCTCCTGGCCTCCAGGTTTCAGACGAGAAATCCACTGTCATTCAAATGGCTATTTGCCAACTGGTGCATCATTTCTCTTTGGCTGCTTTCAAGATATTTTTCTTCATCTTTAATTCTCAAAAGTTTAATTATGCTGTGTCTTGACATGTGTTTCTTTGGGTTTATCTTATGTGGGATTTTCTCAGCATCTTGAGGCTGCAGCTTTGTTTCTTTTTCCAAATTTAAGGAGTTTTCAGCTATCATTTCTTTAACTATTCTTCCACCTCTTCTTTCTTTTTGCTATTCTTCTGGGACTCTGATGATATGAATGTTGGCTTTTCTGTTATTGTCCCACAGGCCCTTGAGGCTCTGTTAATTTTTTTCTCAGTCTGTGTTTTCTCTGATATTCAGATTGGATGAATTCTATTGATCTGTCTTCCAGTTCACTGACTCTATCCTCTGTCAACTCCACTCTACTATTGAGCCCATCCAATAAATTTAAAATTTTTTAAAATTATTGCACTTTTCATTTCTATAATTTTTACTTGGTTCTTTTATTTTGTAACTTCTATTTCTTTGCTGAGATTTTCTGTTTTTCATTTGCTTCAAGAGAGTTTTTAGCTCATTGTTACAGTATTTTTATGGTAGTTTCTTTAACATCCCTGCCGGATTATTCCAACATCTGATTCATCTCAATGTTGCTATTGGTTGATTATTTTTTCTCATTCAACTTGTGGTTTTCTTGATTCTTGAAACGATAAATGATTTTCTACTGTATCCTGAACATGTCGTCTATTATGTCAGGAGTCTCTGGGTCCTATTTAAGTCTGTTATTTTAGAAGGCAGGCTTCCTGTTTCGGGTTAGCATGCAGGGTCTGGACTCCTTTTCTCAGCTGGGCACCAATGACAATTCAATTTTCAGAGCCTTTGCTGTGCTAATTCAGTCTACTTGGCTCATCTGGTGATGCTGGGGTTCCCATCGCTCCCTGTCGGTGCTGCCTGAGAATGCAAAAGCCATTTCCCCAGGCAGACCTCTAGGTGTCTGATACAGTTTAGCTGTGTCCCACCCAAATCTCATCTTGAATTGTAGCTCCCATAATTCCCACATGTTGTGGGAGGGACCTTGTGGGAGGTAATTGAATCATGGGGGCGTGTCTTTCCCATGCTGTTCTCATGATAGTGAATAAGTCTCCCGAAATCTGATGGTTATATAAAGGGGAGTTCCCCTGTACACACTCTCTCCTTGCCGTCCGCCATGATTGTGAGGCCTTCCCAGCCATGTGGAACTGTGAGTCCATTAAGTTTTCTTTGCAAATCACCCAGTCTCGGGTGTGTCTTCATTAGCAGTGTGGGAAGAGACTAATACAGTGTCCCGCAGCGAGGGAGGCATCTTTTAGACCTGTGGGGATGAAGACATGTCCTGGGCCATTTTATGCAGCTGTTCCCCTTTTTTTTGCCAGTCCCACCCGCTGCTCCTGTGTCTCACCACGAGGAGGGGAAGCTCAGGACCTGAGGGGAAGAACAGAGCTTCCCTAGACACTTATTGTGGGTGGGGCTCCCAAAGGACCCCCTTTCCAATAAGCATCAGGCTGTGATGTCATCAAAAGGACTCCTATCTGATTCCAGGGAGGAGTGAGTCTACCTGTGCTGCCTTCTGCTGCTAGCCAGGGGTGATAAAATGCCAAGTCACCTTCTCTGTTGAGAGTGGGATGTAAAAGGTCCTATTGCTGGGCTGTTCCTCTACTTCTTGGGTCCCAATTCAACTTACCGCCTTCTTACCATCTCTCAGAGTTCTCCATTGGTTGTCCCTTGAGTTATGTTCAGAATTTATAGTTGTGCTTAGCAAGGATGAAAGAAAGGAATTATGTTATGCCATCTTGTTTGGACAGAAGTTCTCAACATGTCTTTTTTTCTCAACTCAGAAAAATAGAGAATATCATCTTAATTGCCTAAGGCAAGTCCATAATTTTCCTATGACTGCAACTTGGTCTCCCACATAAGAGGGGAGGAGGAAAGACCTCTGAAACACTTTTAGTGCAATAAACCTTAGCACAGAAGATTTGTAGAGGAGAGGATAAAGTTTGAACTTGCCAGACCTCCAGAAGAGAGAGAGGTATTGAATGCTGGCTCTGAAAATATTACGAAAACACGTTGCTGATAAGATGGAGCTAAGTTTATTCCTATCAGAGTCAGAGAAAGCACCTGCTAGCAGAGCCTCCTAGCATTTCAGAGTGGTGAGGGCAAAGTAGAATGTTTATGAGAGTGTGGAATATTATTGGCATGTGGTTTAAGGAGCGTCTCTTGCCATGCAGGGGAAATAATTTTGGTTCTCAGTGGGAAAGGGACCGTATATGGAGTTTGGGAACCTCTGGGTTCCTAACCCATCCAGATTCTTTATCTCAGAACAAGCTTGGGGTCTGGGAGGAAGCTGTGCATGTGACCCTAGACAGACTCTGAACAGACATCATTTCTGTGCCCCCACCCAGGGAATGGCCAGAAAGTTTAGAAGGCCCAACTGGCACCGCTTTCTGGGAGAGGATCTTTCCCAGGTCAGTCGTTCATCCACCCTCAGTGCATCCCCTCATGGTTGGTGCGGGAAATGGGGGTATATAAGCTGGGGCTTGGGAGACTCCAGCATCCTGCTGTGAGGAGGCACTAGGCCTGCCAGCACCCCCTCAGCTCATAGCGGAGGAGAGCGGGCACCCCTGGCAACCATGCAACCATCCCCAGCAGCCACGTGGGGCATGTGTCTTTGATGGGAGTATATCACTGAGTATAAACTATATTCCCATTGTTATAATAAGTTCCTGTCATTTGTGGAGCCTGCCAAGCTGTGTTTCCACTTCCTCCAACCCTCGTCTTCAGCTCCACCTTTCTCTCTACCCCTACTCAACTTCCTCAAATCAGTTCCTCTTTAGGGCATGCAGACTAAAACTCAGGTTTACATTTGAGATAACTTTGGGTATGTATAGGGGAGGTTGACAGAGTGCAAAATTAAACACAAGATAACTGGAAAATATTCATACTGAGAAATTCAAAGCTCTTTCAAACTCATCTCCTTGATCCTCACTTTGAAGAAGGAAAGGAAGAGGTGAAGCGACTTTCCTAAAGGCACGGATGAGAGGGACAAAGTTGCTTTTTTCATGGGAGAATTCACTTTCCTTTATACCACTCTGTACACACCACTCCCCCATCCAACAATTACACAGACAGAGAAGAGGAACAAGAAGAGGCCCCAGTGAATGAAAAATAGTTCACTGATGTGTCATGACAAGGAAGGTGCAAAGCTCTAGCCTGGGCTCCTTACACATGTTGCATTCCATGTCATTTACATACACCCTGTGTTATGCTGCCTCTCTGCAGAATTAGAAGCCGTCAACATAGCTACGAACCCAGCAGATTATATTGGTGGCGGCTTTGCATACATTGCTGATGGGGGAGGAGTTCTAGGAAAGCATAAAGCATAGAGGCCTTTGCATAGCTTTTATTTGTAAGGCAAACATTCCTGCAGTACTTGCTATGAAGGCTCTAAATGGACAACATATTAAAGATCATGCATACGTGCTTACAGCAACAGGTTTCTGAGTGTTGGTGAAAATTTTACTATCTCAAGGCTCTTAAAGCTGCATCTCATCAGCCTACCCCTAACCCAGTGCTTGAATATACATCTCTGCCAAGTGGCCATTCAGTCTGTTCTTAAACACCTTCAGTTATAGTCAAATCATTTTCTCCCTAAAGATCTCATGCCTTTCCAGGATGGCCTTTTATTGGAAAGTGCTTCCTTCTCTAGAAGCAAAGCATGACTCCCTGTGTTGTTCCAGGGACAGGCTCACTGCAGCGCTCCTGGAAACTCTAACACAAGTCAAATCCCTTTCCCCTATGGCAGCCCTTCAAATAAATTTTCAAGACTATCATTCTGCAACAGTTTCCCATATAGCACAGACTTGATTTATCCATTCTTCAGAATGTCTTCCTCTGAATGCTCTTTGTCATGTCTGGACGTCTTACAGAGAGTACCGTCCATGGGAGGCAGAACACTACCTGTCCAGGGTAGCCTAGAGCAGGCACCCTCACTCTAGCCATGGGACTCACCTGCTTCTATGAGGTTCCTGTGGTTTTTTCTGGGTTCTCTGTTGGTAAGGACCTTCTTCCTTTCTAGACCCCCTTATCTTCTCCTCTCAAAGCCCTTATTAAAATGCTCTGTACTTGTTTGATTTGCTGTCTCTTTCCTTAGATTGTGAGCCCTTTGAGGAAAAGAACATCAATCTAGCCTATTGGAATGACTCCTCTTGGTTTCAGAGGGAAATGGTGTAAAAGTTTGCATTCAGTCAACGTGTATGTGTAGGCAGTTGCTTGGCAGAATGGTTATTTGAACTATTCGCCAGTGGCTCGAGATTTTATCTCTGGTAAATGAGGGACTTCATCATCAACTGCATGGAATTTTCTCTGGAACAATGAGCTTTCCACCCAAGCGGTCCTGGGCAAATCCCATCACCCTCTCCTTTTTCGTAAGCTTCTGAATTGCTCATTAAAGGGCACTGTCTGGGTTTTAATAGTATTTGGCCCATCACTAGCGCTAACACTAGATATCCATTGGTTTTGTCTGCCCGACATCGCTTCTCCTTTCTTTTGGTAGAGGAAAGTGTCTTCCCGTGGGGAACCCATTTCCTGTGGTTTGGGTGGGCTGGCTGTCATCCCATCCTGTTACAATGGTGGGACAAACCCCAGGCCTGACAATCAGAGCACCCCATTGCTCTGGCTGGAGTGATTGGCTTAGGGACAGGCATCCCACTCATGCTTGACTAGTGACATTCTTCCCCAAGACCTTCCCAGCAGATCTGTAGAGATAAGTGCTTTCTTTCTGCCTCTCAGGGTCAGACCTCTAAACTAATAGGACATGAGTCTGGGGCCTCCGGAAGCCACATGAAGACACTGGCAGAGAAATGGAGAGAGAAACAGAAATGTTATGATTTATTTTTAGGCCATGACCAGACTTTTTGATCACATAAACCGATAAATTGTCTTTTTGTGTCTCAGCTGATTTAAGTTAGTTCCTGTGACCAGAAACTGAGAAAGTTTCTCAATAGTGCAGCAAATGGAACCGTGGAACCACTGAAGAGGAGCAGCAGAAACTTCACAGCTCTTGGGTGGCAGCAGACTCAGATTTACTGAAGCAAGAAAGGGAAGACAGCAGCAGGAGGCTTGACAGCTAGCTAAATAGTTAGCCATGGAAAGAGCAGAAGAAGGAAGCTCAAGAAATCTCAGCAACAAACACTCATGGACTTTTTTCTAAAAATGGAAATTTAAAACTTTCTCGACCATGACCCACAAGAAATACATTTTACACGTTGCATCCAGGACATAGCAATATGCCTGTGAGCCACTTTGTGGTTGAAGGTTTCCATGTTGAGCTAGTTTCAGGAACATTGCCTCCTGTGTTCTCCTTTTGGAGATTCACCCATGGATTTACTGTATCAAAGTCTCTGAGAAATCTTATTCTAGCAATCCTGTTTCATGCACTATTTCTTAAATGTATTTGGTAGCAGTTAACTTGTTATTGCAAAAACAAAAATTATTGACTCCCTATTTTGTGCTAAATACTGGGCTCTGCACTGGTGAAACAGAAGAAAGCCATACACAGCCTGCCCTCACAACGCCTCCAGTCTCAGAGAATACTTAGTAATCCCTCATGATCTACACCTTGGAAAACACTGATTTAGTTTACTCCAATCCCCACTCCTGCATGCAGAATCTGGCCACTCTAGGCTTCGGTCTAGTTCAGCATATACTGCCTCTAGGCACAGATGACTGTGGACAGTTGAACAGGGTATGGGGGGAAGCATCATTGACACGATTGTCTATGTAAATGGCTCCTTTAGGGTTGTGCAGTGCCCAACACGCGCCATTGTCCTCAGTGTCTCTGCTTAGGGCTGATTTCTGGGTTATGCATTACTACTCAAGGCACAGACCCCACGTAACCCCACCTTGGTGGCAAGGTTTCCATCCTGAGTCACTCTTTCTTGTTCCAACTTTTTCCTTTGAATATGTTCAGACCTACAGAGAAGTTTAAAAATAATATAATGGGCTGAGGTAGGCGGATCATGAGGTCAGGAGATCGAGACCAGCCTGGCTAACATGGTGAAACCTCACCTCTACTAAAAATACAAAAAATTAGCCAGGCGTGGTGGCCCGTGCCTGTAGTCCTAGCTACTCAGGAGGCTGAAGCAGGAGAATCGCTTGAACCCGGGAGGCGGAGGTTGCAGTGAGCTGAGATCGCACCACTGCACTCCAGCCGGGGTGACAGAGTGAGACTCTGTTCAAAATAATAATAAGAAGAATAATAAAATGAACATTGCATCTTAGATTCACCAATTGTTAACATTTTGCCACATATGCATTTGACATTTGTGTGCATACACACATATGTGTGCACAGAGACAAAATATATTTATTGATGAATCATTTGAAAGTAAGTTGCAGACATTGTGATCTTTATCCCTAAGTATGCACCAGTCTCCAGTGAATAAGCGCCATCCACATGACCCCAGTACAATGATCCCACGTAAGGAGACTAACAAGAATCCCATGAAATCATCTGAAAGCCACTCCATGTTCAAGTCCCCATTGTCCCAAAAATATTTTACAGTGTTTTTTTAAATCAAGCATTGTATTTGGCTGCTATTCATCTCTATTTTAGAAAATCAAGAATAGCCACCTCATCTTTTGCTTTTCATACTGTTGACCTATTTAGAGGGTCCAGACCAGCTGTCATGAAGACGGCCTTCCTCTAGATTTGTCTGATTGTTTTCTCTTGATCAGATTCAAATACCCTGGCTGGCAACACTCCATTGGTGACACTGCTGTCTTCACAGGGCCCCACCCAGAGGCATGTATGCTGGGTGGCTGCATTCCATCACTCGACGAAGGAGCTGCTACAGAGCGTCTCCATCGGAAGCACATCCTCCCTCTGAAATCAGTGGGTAATGGTGGGATGATACCGTAAGAATGAGGACATTCCCTGTCAAGAGGCTGAATCCCTCATTCTCCTCCTTATATGGGTTTCTCAGGCCTCATTCTTGAACTTTCCCACATTGTCCTCACTTTTCCCTGTCCCAATAAGGGCATCTTATGTCTGGGTGTCATTTTCATCAGAATGCAAAGGTAAACAAGTGAGAAGCGTCTTTGTGTGGCTGGAGCTTAAAGGCTGCAGGTGGACCCCGATATTTGGTGGCCAAGATCACACACTGTGCTGAGGGTCCCGTGGAACCCTCGCCCCAGGATGCACACAGAGAGGCATGTAGCACACACTTGGGAAGCTGAAGAAGGGTTTTTGGAGGAAGTGGTGTCGAAGCTGACATTAGAAGGATGAGCAGCGATCCGGGGGCAATAGGAGAGAGAATGGGGTGGTCAGCATCACATGGGTGGCCCAGATGTGAAGAGAGCACACCCAACCCAAGGGCACAGGAAATCCAGTGTTGCTGGACATCAGGGGAGGAGAGGTGAAGGCCACTGCAAGGATTGGCAGGGGGTTGATAGCAGGGCTGATAGCAAGCGGTCTCATGAGCCACCAGCTGGAGTTTAAATTTGCTCACAAGATCCATGGGAGGAGCATTAAGTTTTATTAAACAGGACTGGTTGGGAGAGGGGCTGATGTGACATGATTGGCCCTTTTAAAGGAGCCCTGTGGCCGTATGGTGGTGGCTGGATTGCTGCAGGGGAACACGAATGGAGGCAGAGCTGCCATTTGGATGGATGTCTGTCACATTGATCCAGGGAAAAGACATTTGCATCCTGAACAATGACCATGCCAATGGGATGGAAAGACTGCATGGAATTCAGTGTGTTTTGGAGGAAGTCTTAATAGTGCTGGGTGCTTGATTGGATGAAGACAAAAACCTCAAGATTGATTATTTCCTTTTCACAATTTTTGTCTTGAATTAGGGTAAACTGTATCCAGGTGGGAAGAAGCACATTTGTCCCAGGGCAAAGGATTTTATGTGAGGTCTTCATAAGAACAGTACACCCTATGTTCGATGTGTTATTTCAGCAAGAACCCAATCTTATTACCAAACTAGGTGAACATCAACATGTTAAGAAACTTGACAGCACAAGAGGAATCTCTGTGCTGATGAAACAACTCTGTATCTTCATTGTGGTGGTGGGTGGGGGTATGAATCTACACATGTGCCCAAACCACACACACACACACACACACACACACACAAATAAGTGCTTGTGGAACTGGTGAATAAGGCCTGTGGATTGCACCAACACCAATTGCCTGATGTTGAAATTGTACTGCAATTCATATCGTGGAAATTGGACTGTAATCATATTGTGTTTGCATAGTACTGTGTCACACTGGGGGAGACAGGTGAAGGTTACATAGTACCTCTCTATACAATCTTTGCAACTTCCTCTGAATATCGAATTATTTTGAAATGAAAAGTTTGAAAAAATAAGAAACTTTGTGTTTAAAAAGAAAACAGACACAGCAAGATGTTGTGAAGTCTGCACCAAGGGTTCATGGGAGATGTTTTCACTCACCTTCAGTGTAGGAAGGAATATTACTGAACTGATGTCAGTCTGGTGCTAGCCATGCTTAAGCACTAAACCATCCAGCTCATCTCAACCTCAGATGTCTGGAATCCTCCACATTTTCACCCAGTGTCAGAGTTATTTAGGTCATTGTTCCCTGGTAACGCGGTTCCCTCCAGCAAGGTCATTGTTCTGTTCCCTGGTTAAGAAGGATCAAAGGGATAGACTGTCAATTTCCTCCGACTTCCCTATTCTCCTGTTTTGACTCCTTTCACTGTGAATAATGGAACAGAAACGGGACGGACATTTTTTAAAAGACGAAAACTACTAGCTAGGTTGCTATGCTGGGTGTTTGTGGAAGGCTGAGGGTACATGTTGTTGTTGATAGTGGTAGTGGTGAAGTTACACAGCAGTGGTCAAGTAAGCTAAGGCTAGGAAAAATAATTTGAACAAAAATAAAACTTTTTGGCTGGGCACAGTGGTTCATGCCTATAATCCCCAGCACTTTGGGAGTCCGAGGTGGGAGGATTGCTTGAGCCCAGGAGTTCAAAGACCAGCTTGGGCAACATCGTGAAACCCGGTCTCTACAAAAAAAATACAAAAAATTAGCCAGGCATGGTGGCAGGTACCTGTAGTCCCAGCTATTCAGGAGGCTCACTTGAGCCTGGGAGGTCGAGGCTGCAGTGAGCCCAGACTGTACCACTGCACTCCAGCCTGTGACAGAGTGAGACCCTGTCTCAAAAAAAAAAAAAAAAAAAAAAAAAAAAAAAAAAAAAAAAAAAAAAAAACACACACACGCACATAGAAAAAAAAAAAAACCCACAACTTTTTGTCACACCTAAAGCATAATGTTGGTAAAGCTATCTGGTTGGTCCACAGTTGATATACACAGAATACTCTTATTTTTTTCACTGGTCCATAGCAGTGGCACTTTTTACAGTACTTCTGCTCAATCAAAGAAGCATTGCAAGGATGGCAGACTCCTGGAGGGACTTGCCTCCCGATGGCAAAATTGGAGTGAGGATAGTTGTTCTTGCCTGGTCTAGGCCCTGGCTTGTACTCTCACTTGGAGCTGCCTGTTAATGAGCCAAGGCCATAGTCCTTCACTGCAGATACAGCAAAAGAGGTCTGCAGGCCCCATCTGTTTAGCCCTGGACTGAGTGGGAAGGTTCAGTTTGGGGTAGAGAAGCATAAAACCACAATTTTACATTGAATCCAAATGTCAGAGATTGACATGCAATAGTAGTCTTTTACTATTAATAGCCTTGTGAGCAAATGTGTAGGTGGGCAAGAGAGAGAAAGAGAGAAAGAAAAAAATAATCACTCTACCAATTCTTACCTTCCTAGATGCCCTTTCTTCAGTTACTAGACTGTTTAAATAAAATTGGGGAAATGAAAAAATCAGAAAACCAGGTTGTTGCTGCTGAAATCATTCCATTTACTTTCAGATTACTAGTTTGCAGAAAAACACTTTTATTCTTTGGTACCAATGTGTTTCATGTGTTTCTATAAATGTGTACAGCAGCAGGAAGCTGAAGGTTAATTTGAATCAGATGTGGCACTCTCTTGAATCTTATAGTTTATTGAAATGTTGTTTAAACTGTAAAGGTTTAGTCCACATTCTCCCCCAAATTATTTCCTTATCCTTCTACCCAAGCTTCTCTTTCTGCGTTTGGAACATCAGCAGAGCCCTCCTGTGGATAATTGAATGACTGTAATTTGCTGTTCTAAACCAGTGTTCCAAGGAAGGTAATTATGTCAGCTTTGTGTTCAGCTAGTTAGTGGATTCTGATCTTGGGAGCTGGAAACTTTAATCGAGTGTTTATTGCCATGTGCAAAATGAATGTGATTATAGACTAGATCTTGGCATTGCCAAAAGGAAAAAAACCACACATCCAATTCAGAGCACTTGAAGAACCAAAGACAACCCAGGGAGCAGCTTTGTTTTGCCATCGAGCGATCCACATGATGAGAAGAGCCCCATTAGGAAAATGCCCCCTCCAATGCCATGTGTCTTCCTGAAGCCAAAATCTAAATGGAAGCAGATTCTTCTGAATGAGACAAAGAACCTAGCTTTTGAAAAAATAAATAAATCCCAGCACTTTGGGAGGCCGAGGCGGGCAGATCACGAGGTCAGGAGTTTGAGACCAGCCTGACCAGCATGGTGAAACCCCGTCTCTACTAAAAATACAAAAATTAGCCAGGTGTGGTGGCTCATGCCTATAATCCCAGCTACTCAGGAGGCTGAGGCAGGAGGATCGCTTGAACCCGGGAGGCGGAGGTTGCAGTGAGCCAAGATCGTGCCATTGGACTCTAGCCAGGGCGACAGAGCAAGACTCCATCTCAAAAAAAAGAGAAAAAGAAAAAGAAAAAATAAACTTTTTTGTTGTGGCCTGGAACAAACATACATAAATGTGAATAATGTCAAGTCCACCACCCAGATCAAAATCAAGAACTTTTAAACTCTCATCTACATTCTCCTCTCGTTTCTCATGTTACTACTGCTTGAGGTCTGCTCATTTCGCCATGTTGAGCAGATAATCAGAATTATAGTACTTGTATGCCTAGAAATATTTCTATATTGCCGTAACTCTTTTTTTTTTTTTTTTCTTGAGACAGAGTCTTGCTCTGTGGCCCAGCCTGGAGCAGTGGTGCGATCTCGGCTCACCGCGACCTCCATCTCCCAGGTTCAAGCGATTCTTGTGCCTCAGCCTCCTCAGTAGCTGGGATTACAGGCACAGGCCACCACGCCTGGCCAATTTTTTTTTTTGTATTTTTAGTACAGATGGTGTTTCGCCATATTGGCCAGGCTGATTTTAAACTCCTGACCTCAGTTGATCCACCCGCCTCGGCCTCCCATAGTGCTGGGATTACAGGTGTGAGCCGCCGCGCTTGGCCACCGTAACTCTTTTTTTTTATTTATTTATTTATTTTTTTTTTTATTGATCATTCTTGGGTGTTTCTCGCAGAAGGGGATTTGGCAGGGTCATAGGACAATAGTGGAGGGAAGGTCAGCAGATAAACAAGTGAACAAAGGTCTCTGGTTTTCCTAGGCAGAGGACCCTGCGGCCTTCCGCAGTGTTTGTGTCCCTGGGTACTTAAGATTAGGGAGTGGTGATGACTCTTAACGAGCATGCTGCCTTCAACCATCTGTTTAACAAAGCACATCTTGCACCGCCCTTAATCCATTTAACCCTGAGTGGACACAGCACATGTTTTCAGGGAGCATAGGGTTGGGGGTAAGGTTATAGATTAACAGCATCTCAAGGCAGAATAATTTCTCTTAGTACAGAGCAAAATGGAGTCTCTTATGTCTACTTCTATCCACACAGACCCGGCAACCATCCGATTTCTCAATTTTTTCCCCACCCTTCCCGCCTTTCTATTCCACAAAACCGCCATTGTCATCATGGCCCATCCCCAATGAGCCGCTGGGCACACCTCCCAGACGGGGTCGTGGCCGGGCAGAGGTGCTCCTCACTTCCCAGTAGGGGCGGCCGGGCAGAGGAGCCCCTCACCTCCCGGACGGGGCGGCTAGCCAGGCGGGGGGCTGACCTCCCCCCCGGCCGGACGGGGTGGCAGCCGGGCGGAGACGCTCCTCACTTCCCAGACGGGGTGGCTGCTGGACGGAGGGGCTCCTCACTTCTCAGACGGGGCGGTTGCCAGGCAGAGGGTTTCCTCACTTCTCAGACGGGGCGGCCGGGCAGAGACGCTCCTCACATCCCAGACAGGGCGGCGGGGCAGAGGTGCTCCCCACCTCTCAGACGATGGGCGGCCGGGCAGAGACGCTCCTCACTTCCTAGATGGGATGGCGGCGGGGAAGAGGCGCTCCTCGCTTCCTAGATGGGATGGCGGCCGGGCAGAGACGCTCCTCACTTTCCAGACTGGGCAGCCAGGCAGAGGGGCTCCTCATATCCCAGACGATGGGCGGCCAGGCAGAGACGCTCCTCACTTCCCAGACGGGGTGGCGGACCGGCAGAGGCTGCAATCTCGGCTCTTTGGGAGGCCAAGGCAGGCGGCTGGGAGGTGGAGGTTGTAGCGAGCCGAGATCACGCCACTGCACTCCAGCCTGGGCGCCATTGAGCACTGAGTGAACGAGACTCCGTCTGCAATCCCGGCACCTCGGGAGGCCGAGGCTGGTGCATCACTCGCGGTTAGGAGCTGGAGACCAGCCCGGCCAACACAGCGAAACCCCGTCTCCACCAAAAAAATACGAAAACCAGTCAGGCGTGGCGGCGCGCGCCTGCAATCGCAGGCACTCGGCAGGCTGAGGCAGGAGAATCAGGCAGGGAGGTTGCAGTGAGCCGAGATCGCAGCAGTACAGTCCAGCTTCGGCTCGGCATCAGGGGGAGACCATGGAAGGAGACCGTGGAGAGGGGAGAGGGGAGAGGGGAGAGGGGAGAGGGGAGAGGGGAGAGGGGCCACCGTAACTCTTAAAAGACGTTTGAGTTGAGCAGAGAATATTGCATTGTTAGATGTTTTCCCTCAACATTTTGCTCCATTGTTTTCTGGCCTCTTTTTTGCTGATGAAGATGCTCTCGAACAGATAGCCATTCCCTAGGCTAAAATGTGTTTTCTTTCTGGTAGTTTGAAATTGTATTTATCATCTCTGATCTGTAGTTTCACTCTGATACATCTAAATATGGAATTTTGTTTGTGTGTTTATCTTACTTGGCCCTCGACTTGTTCTTTTAGTCTGAGGAGCTCTTATTTTCCTTCCCTTCTGGAAATAATTAGCCATGACCCTACTGATTCTATTCTGTTTCATATGTACGGAGCTTTTCAGTATCTTCTCCACATCGCTTTACTTCTCTTTCATATTTCTCTCTCTCTTTATCTCTCTGTGCTGCATTTTGATTGATTTCTGCAATTCTGTCTTACAAAGTCGCTCATCAACTTTTTTCCAGCTTATTGTTTACCTCATTGCGGCGGGCTTTGATTTCAAAACTACCTTTTTTTTCCAGATTTTGAAATTGATCTTTATTGATCATTGATCAATGGATCCATATTGATCTTGATTCCTGAGTGCTATGTTTTTGTTTCATAACTCCCTGTTCTTATTTACAGTTGCTGTCACTTTTTTTAAAACTTTCTGAGGATTTTAAACACACACTATTAAAGTCCTTTTCAGTTTTCACTATTTTTCTATTTTTTTCCAGGTGTGTATTCTCCAATTTGTTAACTTCGTGTCTTTCTTCTGGGGCATCTGATTTTGGGAGATTCTTTATAACGCTCATTTATGGGCTCGTTTGGCATAGGAGCCGTATTTTCTCTCCTGCAGGCATCACCTTTTCCTGTTTGATAATTTCAGGTATCCTCAGTCAGATCTCCAAGAGACCAAGACTCAGAGGAAGAGCGTTATTAGCAGTTCAGGGTTCTCACCCCAAGAGTTCATGGCAGCTTCGATCCTGGAACTGGTAAGCAGTTCCAAATGCCAAGATCCCGATCCGCTGTTGTTTGTCTGCCTTTTCCTTCATCACAGACCCGCAGCTACATTCTGGCTGCCATCCCAGGGGGGCAGAGAATTTGAGTTTCTTTCACGAGTGAGAGAATATAACCATAGCCCTTGGTCTCATGAAGGGTGTCCAACCTTGCCCTGCAGCCTCCCTGGGGCCATTGGATCCCACCCGGTCAGAGCTGAAGTAACGGCCCCTGCATCTGCCCTTCCGGGCTCCCGTTGTGGGAGAGCTCCAGTCTCGGCCCTCCTCTCTGTGCTTCTATCCACTTAACGATTTACAGGTTTGTTTAACTCTGACTCCCCCATGTTGACTGGAATTTGGAGGTCTCTTTCCTTCCTCTCTCTCCCACCAGTGCCCCCTAAAGTCCTCTGGAGGCTCCTCTTCCTCGGACTTCTTGCCCACCGCCCTGGGCAATCTCACCGTTACCCCTGGCGTTGCTGTTCTCCCGTGTCCTATGACTCTCAACAGTCCAAGCTGTTCTGAGCTGCAGACACCATGCCATTGTCCAAGGGATGCCCCTAGGTGCCTCCCAGTGTACACACCCCAAACCCAGGCCCTTCATCGCTTCCCCATACAAGTGATGAAGGGCCTGGGTTTGGGGTGTATACATTGGGAAGCACGCAGGGACATCCCTCCAGTGCTTCCTCTTCCTCACTAAGCTCTGCATTTCACACTTCAGTGGATGTCCAGTATCCACAGCAGAAATGGGTCCCTCTGCCTTCTCATGTGATCAGCGGCCAATGTTTTCAGCTCTCCTAGAACTCGACTGGCTCCCTTCTCTCTCTCCACCATCACTGACTTAGTTCAGGCCCATGAATACCTCTTTCCCTGGACAACTGCAGCAGTCTTGGTCTAACCCTTGTGATCAAGGGTTAGACTATGCAGTCACTCGTTCACTCACTGCTGTTCATCCCCTTCTCCCATTCTGCAAACTGCTGCCACTCTGATCTTCCTAAAACATGGTCAAAGTTCTCAAAAATGTCCTCTTAGCCTCTACGATGAAAAATCAATCTTAGCATGGTCAATTGGTTCAGGCCCCCTGAATGGTTTGTGATTGCTTCAGAAACACTCCCACTTACCCTGGCCCCCTGGCCTTCACACACACGGTCCCTCTCCCAGGATTCTCTACACTATCACATGAGGGAAAACGTCTACTCTTTCTTCTAGGAGCTCCTGATCCATAAAGCCTTCCCTGAGTCTCTCAGTTCAAGGCACGGTACTTCCAGGTGCCTGCTGTGTCCTGTGTCTGCAGGAGGTGTTTGCCTTCCCTCTGATTCATGCACTCCTCAAGGGCAGGGCTCTGACTTCTCTGGAATTGCAGTGAGGTGAAACCGGAAGGTAATGCATCTCTTCCTCAACTTGTGCATTGGGTTGAGTAGCAGAAATGGTGACAAGGAAACAATGACTTGTGCTCCAGCATCCAGGGAATTTTCTTAGTGTCAATATTGCCGACATTTTTTGACATCTTTTGTGGACTCTTGCTATAGGCAATTATTGATATAGCATATCAATTTTCTTTTTGTTTTTGTTTTTTGAGACAGAGTCTCACTCTGTCACCCTGGGCTGGAGTGCAGTGGCGTGATCTCAGCTCACTGCAACCTTTACCTCCCGAGTTCAAGCGAGTCTCCTGCCTCAGTCTCCCGAGTAGCTGCGATTACAGGTGTCCACCACCATGCCCAGCTAATTTTTTGTATTTTTAGTAGAGATGGGGTTTTTCTATGTTGGCCAGGCTGGTCTCAACCTCCTGGCCTGGTTATTTGCCTGCCTTGGCCTCCCAAAGTGCTGGGATTACAGGCGTGAGCCACCAGGCCCGGCCTATCATATCGATTTTTATAAAAACCAGAGAAGCCTGATTCTCATTCCCTCTCCAACATGGCTATTGGTAAAATTCAAAATACCTGGGAGAGGTAATGATTAGATGGGGCAGAGAATGAATGGATACTCTATCATATCGGTTTTTATAAAAACCAGAGAAGCCTGATTCTCATTCCCTCTCCAACATGGCTATTGGTAAAATTCAAAACACCTGGGAGAGGTAATGATTAGATGGGGCAGAGAATGAATGGATACTTCACTCACGCCTCAGAACCCCTGTGAGGCAGGCATAAAATTCTCATGATGATTCTGGAGGAGGCCAAGGCTTGGAGAGGCACAATTCAGCAGTGGTTAGGAACCCAGCTCCTGGGGAATGCAAATTAAAGCCGCAGTCAGATACCGCTACATCACCGCTAGAATGGCTATACTTCAAAATACTAGCCATGTCAAGCACTGGCAGGAATGTGGAGAAATCAGAACACTCACACTCTGCTGGGAGGAATGTGAAAATGATACAAACAATTTGGAAACAGTTTGACAGTTTCTTAAAACCTTAAACATACACCTACCTTATGACCCAGCCATTCCTCTTTTAGGTATTTACCCAAAAGAAAATAAAGCAAATGTCTGTACAAAGGCTGATACACAACTGCTCATCACAGCTTTATTTGTAAAAGCCCCAAACTGGAAACCACCCAAATGTCAATCATCAGGGAAGGGAGAGACAGATTAGGGTTAGCCACACAATGGAACACAACTCAATGGTAAAAAGGAACAAATTACTGATGACATGCAGCAGGGATGGATCTTAAAATATTTACATGGAGCTAAAAAAGCTGTAAAAAAAAGAGTACATACTGTATGATCCCATTTATATAATATTCTAGAAAAAAGAAAACTATTCCATAGTGACAGGAGCAGATGAGTGTTGCCTGAGGACAGGTTGAGGTGGGTTGGGGACAAGGGGGAGAAATGGCAAAGGGGACCCTCCCGCAGGGATGACCTTGAAGGTGGCAATGGCTCCCCTGCCATGTACACATGTCAAAACTTACCAAACTGTGCGTTTCAAACACGCGCATTCCATTAATTGCCAATGATACCTCAATAAAGTTGTATAAAAAAGAAAAAGCTTTGGGAGGCCGAGGTGGGTGGATCGCCTGAGGTCAGGATATCGAGACCAACATGGAGAAACCCTGTCTCTACTAAAAATACAACAACTAGTCAGGCATGGTGGCACATGCCTGTAATCCCAGCTACTTGGGAGGCTGAGGCCGGAGAATCACTTGAACCAGGGAGGCAGAGGTTGCAGTGAGACAAGATCGCGCCACTGTACTCCAGCCTATGCAACAGAGCAAAACTCCGTCTCAAAAAAAAAAAAGAAAAGAAAAGAAAAGAAAAAGAATCAGAAATCTTGACAAATATTCATGTTCCTCTAGCATTTTTAATAATATAACTCCCCTCTCCAACAAATGAACATTAATAATGGGATGCATTAATTGAATGTTTGTGTCCAACCAAAATTCATATGTTGAAGCCCTAACCTCCAATGTAATGATATCTGGAGATGGGCCTTTGGGAGGTAATTGGGGTTAGATTAACCATGAGGTTGGGGCCTTCATGATGGGATTGGTGACCTTATAAGAAGAGGCAGAGCGAGAGATGAAATCCCAAAAGGGCCTGCCGAGCCTGTTGGTAGGAACTTGCTTCTTGCCCTGACCTCCATGCCCCCCCACTTCCCTGCAGGCTGACCTCACCTGTACATTGGACACCTGCCTTCCGTGTTTCTAGTTCCAGCTCCTGCACTGCAGCCAGTGCTGGGCTCCACGCACAGGGACCACTGGACCTGCCCAGGGTGGAGGGTGCAAATGTTGACTCAGGCTGATGATCAATTCAGAACATTCCTGATCATGAACTGAGGCTGACTCAGCACCAGCTGATGCAGGAATTTTGTACCTGAGTCCCTTTTTTTCAGTCCAGGTAGTTTCACAGCAGCTCTATTAATAAACATGGCAGTGAACACAGCCCAGACAGCTCTGAATCCTTCCCCAGCCCACCTTCTCTTCTTGGAAGTGTGAACTTGGGAGATGGACCAGGCCTCAGGGTGCAGGATGCCTCGTGGGGCCATCTGAAAAAGGCACATCCTGCCAGGGAGGACCAGGCCACCTGCCCCTCTGCCGGTGTGATGTCCATAACTGCTGGGACACCAAGCATTTTCCTTCCGAGCTGGCCACTGAGCAAACCTGGTGAGTCACTTTCCCATTTCTCATTTGCCTAAAGCTGAGACACAATGCAAATAGAGCAAGAAGGACTAGAATGATTGGTAAAGATTTTAACAGCAAATGAATGGACTATTTCCTATTTCTTAGAGGATAGGGGGATTGGAAGGTAGTCTCAGCATTCCATTTACTTAGTTATAATATATTTCATATAAAATTGTATTTATGTCATCTGTTAACTGCACTCTGTATAGTTTATTTAGAAATATAATTTGGATAGCTGTCATTGTTTTAGCTATTCATTTCATTTATTTATTCCGCAAACATCAAATGCCAATTCTGTGCCTGGAACCTTGCTCAGTACTGGTGATTCAGTGGTGAGCAAAATACACATATTCTGCTCTCCCAGGACTAATGTGCCACAGATGTCAATTACACACACACATACACACACAAAGAGCTATAACATTTACACACACAGAGTTATAACTTATACATGCACACACACTCACACACTCACACACAGAGCATTATAAGCTACAACTTCTGTGAAGGAATAGCCTAGAATGCTATAAAAGCATAGAATAGGAGGGCCTGATTTAAGTTGCTGGGAAAGGGTGGTCAGGGAAGGCTTTGCTAAAACAATGTCATTTAAGCTGGGATGATAAAGAAGAGTAGGAGGTAGGCAGGGGTGTTAGTATGTGTGTGTCTGGGAGGCAGGAGTGAGGCTCTGTGCACTGGGAGAGAAGAGCCTGCATGACCGACCTGCCAGGCGGGCCCACCTGGCACATCAAGGCACCTAATAGGGGACCAGAAGGCTTTTGCTTGGGGCTGAGGTGGGTGCCGCAGAATGAGTTTGGGAAAAGTTTATCCTAGAGGCAGTGGAAATTCAATGAGGGGTCTGAGCAAGAGGGGGTAACAGGCTCCTACATCTATCCTAAGATGACTCTTGGAACCCCATGAGGAATGGTCTAGAAGACTACTTGGGAGTATTGGCAAAAGGCCAAGTGAAAACAGCTGAAGCCGTCATGGTCAGAATAAGACTAAACAGATTTGATCTCTGTTTGGAGATAGAATCAGCTTGGCTTGTGAGTGGATCAGATGGTGGAGGTGGTTGTCAGGGATGGGTTCCAGGTTTCTGGCTTGATTATTGTACCTTTGCAGCCTTTCTTGGTCACTGCCTCAGGCTGCATCAGCCTCATCTCCTCTCTGGGCTCTGCAGCAGCCTCTTAACCAGACTTGCGCTCTTGACCCCTCCAGCCACATCCTCCTCGCGACCACAGAGTGAGCTCATGCAGAGCGAGCTTTTACGAACCTAAATCAAATCCTGTACATCTGCAGCCTAATGCAGTCCCATGTTTTCCTCTTGCATTCAGAATTAGATTCTAAATCTTTTCCTTTGCGTGGTGGCCATCAGGGCTGTTCACCAGCAGCCCGGTCTCCCTCCTCCCCAGCACATGGTGGGGTTGCCCTTCCCTGACACGGGCAGGCAGGCTGAGCCATGGGACTTGGGGTTAATGAAATGTGGGTGGAGGTGATATGTGTCACTTCAAGGTCAAAGATTTCAGAGACAAAGCATGATTCTCTTTGTTAACCCCCAGTGAGCTTAAGGAATGAGCAGGAAAATAACCTTTACTATTTGAAACTGCTGAACCAGGGAGACTGTTTGTTACTGCCACCTAACCTAGGATTTCCTGACTGATACACATAGACTTCAAGCCAACAAGACCTTGCCTTCCTAACTCTCTGACCTCATCTCCAACTACCCTCCTTCCTGCTCTGTGTCCATGCCCAGCTCATTCTCATTTTGTGGCCTTTACATCTGCTGTTCCCTTTCCTTTGCAAACTCATCTCTTACCTTGTTGAGTGACCAGCTCCCCCTCATCAGCAGCCCAAATGTACCTTCCTTAGAGACGCCTTCGTAGGTAAGGAATCTAAACATCCTGTGGCATACCAATACAACTCAGAGAAAACTATTCTATGAGAATCATTAGAAACTTAGAAAAGAGAATCACAACATGTTTGTTATCGTTTAGTCCTGGGCTTCCCAACACTCTTGTTTGATCATTATCTGAAATTATCTGATCAATTTGTTCATTCTTTCATTATCTGTCTTCCCCCCAAAAATGTATACTGTATGAATGTCATATTTGGTTCTCACTCTCTTTCTGGGAAAAATAAACTCTGCGTGTGTTGAATGAATAAATGGGAAAAACTGAAGGGAGAGAAGACTGAAGAGACAAGATGAAGCCTGTGGTTTTACACAAGTTGAGTTTGAGGTTCCCATAGGACAGCCAGGTGGCTGTCACATCAAGAAGGCCATTAGATGTGCAGGTTTGGTTGGGGTGAAATGTGTGAGTCACTGGCCTACTAATGGTATTTGAAACCTTGAAAATAAATTAGATCAACCAGTATACGAGGATGGAGAAGACTTTTTTTTTTTCCTTGAGATGGAATCTTGCTCTGTCACACAGGCTGGAGTGCAGTGGCATGATCTCGGCTCACTACAACCTCCGCCTCCCAGGTTCAAGCAATTCTCCTGCCTCAGCCTCCCTAGCAGCGGGGATTACAGGCATGTGCCACAATGCCTGGCTAATTTTTGTATATTTAGTAGAGATGGGGTTTCACCATATTGGCCAGGCTGGTCTCGAACTCCTGACCTCAAGTGATCCACCGATCTTGGCCTCCCGAAGTGCTGGGATTACAGGTGTGAGCCACTGAGCCTGGTCTGAGAAGCCTATTTTTTAGTTAGGGTTTAGTTAGAAAGATAGAACTGGTAGGAATTTAGAGAGCTGTTTAGAGAGAGATGTGAGAAGAGATGTATGCGAAAGGGATTTATTAGGGAATTAGCTAACTCAATCATAGCGGCTGAGAAGTCCCACGACAGACTGTCTGCAAGCTGGAGAACAAGGGAAGCTGGTAGCATGGCTCAGTCCGAGTCTGATGACCTTTGCACCAAGGAGGCCAGTAGGGTAACTCTCAGTATCTTCAGTCTGAGGCTGAAGGCCCAAGAGCCTGGGGGCCTGCTGGAGCCAGTCCCAGAGTCCAAAGGCTGGTGAACCCAAAATTCTGATATCCAAGAGCAAGAGAAGATGGGTGGTGTCCCAGCTCCAAAAGACAGAGACCAAGAATTAGTCCTTCCTCTGCCTTTTTGTTCCATCTGGTCCGTGACTGATCGGATGATGCCTGCCCACCCTGAAGGCAGATCTTTCCTATTCAAACCACCCACTCAAGGTTGATCTCCTATGGAAACAGCCTCACAGACACCCCAGAGGCAGCCCAATCACTCAAGTCAAATGCCAAACCACCTGGGAATCAGAGGAATGGGTTCAGTGCCTACTGGAGCACTGAGAATAACGCTTTATCGCTGTCCGATCCTCTTTTTTTTTTTTTTGAGACAGGGTCTCACTCTGTCACCCAGGCTGGAGTGCAGTGCTACGATCTCGGCTCACTGCAACTTCCGCCTCCAGGTTTCAAGTGATTCTCCTGCCTCAGCCTCCTGAGTAGCTGGAATTACAGGCACGCGCCACCACGCCCAGCTGATTTTTGTATTTGTAGTAGAGACAGGGTTTCGCCATGTTGGCCAAGCTGGTCTCGAACTCCTGACCTCAGGTGATCCGCCCACCTCGGCCTCCCAAAGTGCTGGGATTACAGGCGTCAGCCGCTGCGCCCGGCCGCTGTCTGATACTCTTAATGCAGTCATGTTGACATCACAGATCAGCCATCAAGAGTCTTCGTCACTTTTGTGCTGCTATAACAGAATACTACAGTCTGGGTAATTTATAAAGAGCACACATTTATTTCTCACAGTTCCAGAGGTTGGGGAATGGAAGATCAAGACAGCAGCAGGTCTGGTTGTCCGGTGAGGGCTGCATCCTCCAGAGGGAGGGACGCTGTGTCCTCACCTGGCGGAAGGTAGGAGGGCGAGCAGACTGAGCACAGAGGGAAGACTCTTCTGTGAAGCCCTAAGTCCCATTCATGAAGGACTCTTTTTTTTTTTGAGATGGAGTCTCACACTGTCGCCCAGGCTGGAGTGCAATGGCACTATCTCGGCTCACTGCAACCTCCACCTTCCGAATTCAGGCAATTCTCCTGCCTTAGCCTCCTGAGTACAGGCACCCACCACCACACCCAGCTAATTTTTGTATTTTTAGTAGAGACAGGATTTCCCCATATTGACCAGGCTGGTCTCGAACTCCTGACCCCAAGTGATCCACCCACCTTGGCCTCATAAAGTGCTGGGATTACAGGTGTCAGCCGCTGCGTCCGGCCCTTTCTCAGCTCTTAAAGGCCCCACCTCTCAATACCACCACAGATGGACACATCAGAGGAGACTCATTCAAACCACAGCACCTGCCTTGCCTTTCATTCGTTTTCCTCTCTCTTCTTCGTTGCTTTGTCTTCCTGCCTGTTATATCTTTGCCTGGTCCTTCATTCTTAGCCTTTCAGTCACCTTTCACTTTAAGTGTCCCTTTTAGAAACAGAAAATGGCTACACTTTTTGAAAACCTGATATGTCTTATTTTTCTAACTATGGAATTTTTTTTTTTTTTTTTTTGAGACGGAGTCTCGCTCTGTCGCCCAGGCTGGAGTGCAGTGGCGCGATCTCGGCTCACTGCAAGCTCCGCCTCCCGGGTTCACGCCATTCTCCTGCCTCAGCCTCCCGAGTAGCTGGGACTACAGGCGCCCGCTACCACGCCCAGCTAATTTTTTGTATTTTTTTTTAGTAGAGACGGGGTTTCACCGTGTTAGCCAGGATGGTCTCGATCTCCTGACCTCGTGATCCGCCCGCCTCGGCCTCCCAAAGTGCTGGGATTACAGGCGTGAGCCACCGCGCCCGGCCCTAACTATGGAATTTAAACAACTCTCTTTCACTCATTCTTGCTGTGTAGTTTCACACTTTTGTCTCTTTGGGGGCTCACTGTTGTTCCTTTCACTTCCTATCTTTTATAATTAAGAATATAATATTTAATATATAATATTATATTATTAATATTGATGTTAATATTATATGTATTAAGTATATCATATTTATTTATTTACATGAATTTTCTCTTGTATTTGAAAGAAGAGACATTCAGTTCTTAGTCTTTAATTTTTGGTTTACCAAGTTGTGTTTATCCCTATCGCTTAATTATCAGAGTTAAAAAAAAATGAGTAGGAATTTTGACTATGCCTTATCCATGGAAAGAACTGCCATCCCCTCCTTTATACCCCGATTTTTGTTCATTCGATGCTATAAACCAACAGTGTTGTTATAATTCCATTTTTTCTTATTTGTTATAGAAATATTCTTTTGTAAAAATAAATTGGCTGGGCGCGGTGGCTCAGGCCTGTAATCCCAGCACTTTGGGAAGGCCGAGGCGGGGGAATCACCTGAAGTCAGGAGTTCCAGACCATCCTGGGCAACATGGTGAAACCCTGTCACTACTACAAATACAAAAATTAGCTGGGTGTGGTAGTGCGTGCCTGTAATCCTAGCTTCTTGGGAGGCTGAGGCAGGAGAATCACTTGAACCAGGGAGGCGGAGGTTGCAGTGAGCCGAGATCACACCATTGCACTCCAGCCTGGGCAACAAGAGTGAAACTCCGTCTCAAAAAATTAAATTAAATTAAATAAATAAATTGAGGCCTTTACCATTCATATTAGAAACAGGATATCCGATGATGACTTGTGCTTCTCTGTCAAACTCCACTAGCAGCCCAGTGGATTTCCTCTTGGCCTGTGGATTTTCTCTCTGTTTTTTAGGTTCCTGGTGGTAGGGGCACTCTTGTGAATTTCTCTCTCACTCTCTCCTTCTTTTCTGTTTTCTTTCTGTAATGTCATGGCCACTTTTAATGGGACGTTGTGGATGAGTTCCCAGGAACAGCTAGGATGTCAAAACATGACTTCAGGGGCAGAAGCTTGTTTTCAGTGAGATCATACAATTGTGATCTTCAAAGAGCGTCCTGAGTCCTGGGTGCTTCCTGGGAACACTGTTACAGGCACCATCTTTGGAGTCCGGAAGACTTACTTGCTTTATCAACTCGAACAAGTTACTCTCTGGGCCTCAGTTGCTTCTTCTGCAAAATAGTGACTCACGGAACCCTTGTGAGAAAGGTGTGATTATCCATCAAAAGTGTCTGTAAGGCACGCGCTGGAGGCTAGCAGACAGCAAGGACTTGCAAATGAACTTACCCAGCCTGTGGTCTACCACAAGATCGTTTGACCTGTGTGCATTCTCAATTCTCCCATGAGATCGCTGTAACGTTTATCTGTGGTGGGTGGGGGATGCCGAAGGAAGTTTCTGGACCCAATTTCTTCTTTCTCCCTAACCTTATGATGATGCTGTGGGCTCTGCGCTCCCTCTAGTGGTGAAACTGAACACCTTCGCTATGAGAGCAGCGTCGTTCGGGGCTGAGATGGTTGTGGTCACGATGTGGGTTCCTCTCTTTGTTCTCCTGCCCTGGCTAGGGATGCAGTTGGCACCTTCCACTCTTGGAGAGTCTGAAGAATGCAGAAAAACTTCGGAGAATGTTCTGATCGCGGAATTTGTTAGGACAGAGTCTTACAAGAACTAATTTGAGGATTTTACACATCTGCATGTATCTTTGACCTTAAAACTCTATTAATTTTTCATCGCCCTTTTCCACACTAATTATACTTATCTTTGCAAGGGTATTATACTTCCTTCCAACAGGATTTCTTACTCTCTCAAGTGATTTTGATAATCTTCATAATCCTGTTAAAAATAGCCATAATTCGTTCAAGTATATGAGAGTTGAGTACGAAATTAGTTTGGCTGGTTGACTCACTGCATTTTAAACCCAAGGATATGGGAAGAATGTCTTAATAGAGCCATTTAAATTTTCAAGATGTGAACTTGAACTTACCCTCTGAAGTTGGGGTCTAAGTTAGACAAAGAATTCTGCTTTGTGTGTGCCTGAGCACGTGTGTGTGTCTAATTTAAGCTTTCCAAAACCAGGATCGAATTCCTGTCGGTGTCATTAGGTTGTAGAACTTACGTTAAATGTTCCCTCTTTTTGTCTTAGTGACGTCTGTGATGACAAAATAATTAAGATTGTGTCTCTCTTCATGGAATCAACCTAGATGTCCATCAATGGTGGACTGAATAAGAAAATGTCATACATGTACACCATGGAATACTATGGAGCCATAAAAAAGAGTGAAATTATGTCCTTTGCAGCAACATAGATGTGGCTGCAGGCCATCATTCTAAATGAAGTAATGCAGAAACAAAAAGGCAAATGTCACATCTCACTTACAAGTGGGTGCTAAACCTTGGTACACGCAAATATAAAGATGAGAACAATAGGCACTGGGGACTCCAAAAGGAGAGAAGGAGGGAGAAAGGGAGGGAGTGGGGAGAAAGGGCTGAAGACTTTCTACTGGGTACTACCCTCACTATGTGGGTGATGGAATCAATAGAAGTCCAAACATCAGCATCACATGATATATCCTTGAAACAAACCTGCACGTGTAACCCCTGAATCTAAAATATAAAACAATTTAAAAACTCTGTGTCTTTAAATGTTTTCCACCTGCACCTGAAAGAAGAAGAACCTACGCAACTTTGAATCATACGAAGGAGTAATAGAATCTTAGAGTTGAGCCAGAGATCTCAGAGGTCCTCGTCCACACACCTCCTGATGGAGAGATTCCTTCCATAGCAACCCTGAGAGAGGGCGGACTGACCTCAGCCAAATCCATCAGAATGCTTTTGTTTGCAAGACACAAAACGAGGCAAACCCAAACCATGTGACTTATCAGTGATGGGAACTCATTGACTCACTGTCTGCATCTCTATATTGGAGTATGAGAGGGGACCGGCCAAGAAGCCAGTACAGCAGCCAGCTGTTTGGGTTGCTAGGATTCCAGACCACATGTCCCTGGGCCCCAGGAGAGGAAGCTTCCCTCTCTCCCCAGCCCGCCCCCTTTCCAGATTGTAATGCTAATGATAAGCACAGGTGTGACAACATGGGTGTAAAGCCCCTCGATTTCTTTTTCAAGCAACTCAGACGTTACTAGAGTCTGTAGGAGAAGCACAGACCCATAGCCTGGAGAAGCCATGGAGGCCACAGGCTCAGGCTGCCCTTTTCTGGTGAAGTCATTTTCTTCTTCATAATATTCTTGCTGTAGCACAAACTCCTCCCGGGCCCTCCCCGCTGGTTTCCCCTAGACACAGCTCACTCAGCACCCTCACCGTCTGAATGGATGATTATCCTTTTGTGTGTAGTTTTTCTCAATTCTGACTTTGTTCTCATAGAGGAGGAGGCCTTGGCCAGGGCGAAGGGGTTCGGGAAGGCAGCCACGCCCTCGAGCGGGTGTCTTTAGCCCCTGCCTGGGCTCCCTCGACTGCTCCAAAGAATTCAGAACTGCCTGTTTCCTCTCTCTCACTCCAAAACACTGGTTTCTCTCTCCTCCAAGTCTGCCTGAGCTGCAACTTTTTCCCAAAGTTTAACAATTTAATTCCTTGATGCCTTTCTTCTTGTCAACGTTTATTTTGGGTTCAGGGGTACATGTGCAGGTTTGTTACATAGGTAAACTCATGTCACGACATCCGTTGCACAGATTATTTTATCCCCCAGGAATTAAGCCCAGTACCCAGTAGTGATCTCTTCTGCTCTTCTCCCTTCCCCCACCCTCCACCCCCAAGTAGACCCGTGTCTGTTATTTTCTTCTTTGTGTTCATGAGTTCTTATCATTTAGCTCCTGGATGCCTTTCACTCTTTCTTCCAATCACCCCTCCTAGTGGAAAGCCCAGAGGCCACGAGCTTTGGACGCTGTGGTCAGGTAGGCCAGTGCCCCCAGGGACCGCTCTGTGCCTCCCTTGGCCAGGGTTTTTATGGCAGCTGGGGCTGGCCAGCTCTTCCATCATGTGGGTGCCCCTGGGGAAACAGGGATTGGAGTGTGCTGACTTATACAAGCGCTGGGGAGCTAGCCACAAATGTCCACTATATCGCCCCCTTCTAGAAAATTTCCAGCAATGAGATCCTCACTGCCTTAGAAGGTGCCTGCTTCATGGTTGGTTGCCTTTCATTGGCACAGGCCTGGGAACCAGGCTTCCTGGGTTCAAATCCCAGCTCCACCAATTGGCAGCCCATAATATTGGGCAAGTTTCCTAAGTGCACTGGCCTCAGCTACCTCCTGTGGAAGGTGGAAGGTATAATTGTTCCACTCCAGCATTGCTGTGAGAATCAACAGGAGGACACACATAAGGCACCTGATGTGTTGCACCTGCTCAGTAACTGCTGTCTCTGCTTCCATTTATCCTCCAACACTCCTCCTTCTGCCCTTCAGCCATTCATTCTATTCCTATGACATGGAGGCCACAGAATCCGTCTACCCTTGCGTCTGTGTTTTCAGCATTTTGGGCAGCTCTCACTGCTTCAAAAAGAATTGCCCTTGATTCTTCCTCAGGCCAAACTGACTGCTTCTTCAACTTCTCCTGAGTTTACCTCACCTCCTCATACTGCCCCTTCTCACTTCCTTGAATCCACCTCTGCCTTCCCTGCTGTGCGCCCACCACACACAGCACGCCCTCACCACCCTGTGCACCGACCTTTCCTCCCTGGGCCCTTTCAGTTTGGCATGAGATGTCCTCTCTCCAGATCCTCTCCCCACTGCCCCCATCATCTCCCTGAATGACACCTGCTTTCCTCAGCACCTGATTTAGGTAACACCTCCTCCAGGAAAGCTGAATATCTTAAGACTAGTGAGGGCCAGGGCCTCCTCACCCCACTCCCTTCCTGCTTGCCTCTCTCTTCTTTGTTAGACGCTTCCCAAGGCATGAATCAACTCTGTCTGTTGGTCACTATTCCTGGAGTGTAAGCCCCTGGAGGGGGAGGGCTGTCTTTCTCACCTCCACCCCTCTGTTGTCTAGAAGAGTGTCTAGCATATAGGACAAGCTCAGTAAAGATTTGAAGAATGAATGAAGGAAGAAAGGAGCCAGCCCTCACACACTAGATGTGGTCTGACAAATGCAGAGAAAGCATGAACTCCCCCTGGTTTGCTAGGTCTGCTCGGCAGGAAGTGAGAAGGACAGAGCACTCAGGTGAGCTGATGGCTAAAAGCTCGCTGTATGCACATATGCACCTCCTACTGCATGCACATGTAGATAGGCAGATGGGTCTTTCCCCAGTGCTTGCCAATTGCTATTCTCATTGTGTGTAACAGTAAATGGGGGAAGGAAATTTGCAACAACAGGAGTGACAGTTGGTGCTGATCATGTTTTCTACGCTGCAAACCTTACCTGTAAACACATTGGGTGGGTTGTAAGTTTGTAAAACTGTTCAAGAAAGAATCTCAGAGAGGTTTCGGGAAGGGCTTTTAAAAGACAGCATTTGGTCCTAGGAAATATACATAGGCAAATGGGACGACTAAGTAGAATAAAGAGAATGAGAGTGAAGGTGTGAATCCAGGACACAGACTTTTGAAAGTGGCAAAGAAATTTATTTAAAACCATCCTATATAAGAGCAGTGGCAACAACATTCTCCCAGGCAAAAACACACAGACACTCTATCCGTCTCACACACACATGCAGGATCTCACACACACACACACACACACACACACACGATGCAAGATCACTAATATGATATAACTGACTAATAATGAGGATTTTTTTACAGCCTGTAATGAAATAATATCACGGTACAGACTCGTTATAATTCTTCCTCCTCCTTGCATCTCACTTATTTAACTAGAATTGAAGTAGGGAGAAAAAGAAACCTTCCATTCATCCTGTGGAGAACAGCTAATAATTGGGAAAAGCTGCCTGAATATTATACAGGTAGATGTGAGTCCGCCACTATGTTTTTATCCTCAGGGATCCAAGAATTTTAGGTTTGTATGTGAGGAGGGAGGGATGGAAGTGAGAAGGGTCTTTTAAAACTAAATGAAACCATGAGGAGATACCATCTCTTCTGGATTAAAAAACTTATTTTTTTTTTTTCATCCAGGCACGGTGGCTCACACCTGTAATCCTAGCACTTTGGGAGGCCGAGGTGGGTGGATCATTTGAGGTCAGGAGTTCGAGACCAGCCTGGCCAACATGATAAAACCCCATCTCTACTAAAAATACAAAATAAGCCGGGTGTGGTGGCAGGTACCTGTAGTCCCAGCTACTCAGGAGGCTGAGGCAGGAGAATCACTTGAACCCGGGGGGTGGAGGTTGCAGTGAGCTGAAATCGTGCCACTGCACGCCAGCCTGGGCGACAGAGTGAGACTCTGTGTGACATTTGAATGCCTCAAATGTCAAAAAAGAAAAGTTATTTTTTTCAACTTGCCTTTTTGGGGGATTCATGAGAGTCTAAGTTAGGGCTTCCCTAAAGAAAACTGGGAGAGAGCTGCAGAAATACAATATAGAGAAGTCAGAAAATACAGACACTCAAAAAATAACCCCAAAGTACTTCAATGTTATGACTTAAAACAGAGCTCACCATCCCCCTTCAGAATGTTTTCCTTCACTTGCAAGAGCACAGACACCTTTTGTTTGTTAGAGATCACCAGGAAAGCTCATTCTATACCCAGTCTTCCGGCCTCCCGGGAAACTGACCGTCTTCCGTGTCGGTAAATCCGGATCTATTCAGATGAGCTTTTTACGGTGCAATTTCTGATTCTAGTCATAATTACCACACAGCTCCTCCTGGGTGTGTGTAATCCTGTGCCATATAAAACCTGAGAGCACTGTAGTTCTCAATCCAAAATCAATCCATTTAGCTTTCAAACACCCTACAAGCTCATTTATTTTCTCAAATTGGTTTTTGCTTAACCAAGTGTTAAAATGAGTTTAGAACCCGCGGGCGCGCACGGGTGGGACAGGTAAGCAGCCCTACTGGGCGGTGCTGCACGCAGGGGCAAAGCAGCCCCAGGTGAACCCTGACATCCGCCCCAGGGACATCCCGGCCCGGCTCTGGTTCTCGCTCTGCGTTTCTTCTCTTCACCACCAGGGGGCAGGCTCCTAGCGGGATGAAAACCCTGCGCTGCCTGATGCTGCATGGGTTTGCTGGGTGGGTCCCGCTTCCACACTGGGGATCCTTGAGAAAGAGACGGTCTTTGATGACTTTGGCTACTGATTCAGCATTCCAGACCAAAAAAGCCGTATCTAGAGAGCCAAATTCTACTGAACAGCTAGGAAGTGTGGAGGTAGTCCTTCCTTCCTCTCTCCCTCCCTCCCTCCCTCCTTCCCTCCCTCCTTTCCTTTCCTTTCCTTCCTTGCTTCCTTCCTTCCCTCCTTCCTTCCTTGCTCCCTTCCTTCCTTCCTTCCTCCCTCCCTCTCTCCTTCCTTCCCTCCCTTCCTTGCTTCCTTCCTTCCTTCCTCCCTCTCTCCCTCTCTCCTTCCCTTCCCTTCCTTCCTTCCTTCCTTCCTTCCTTCCTTCCTTCCTTCCTCCCTCTCTCCCTCTCTCCTTCCCTTCCTTCCTTCCTTCCTTCCTTCCTTCCTTCCTTCCTTCCTTCCTTCCCTCATTCATTCACTTCTGGCTAGCTCCACAAATGTGTTGATGGCCCCACACCTTGCTAGACACTGGGCACCACCATAAGTAAGGCATTTACCTCGATCTCCAGGAGCTCCCTGCGAGGGTGTGGCTGCCCTCTTGCCGTGATCACGTGAGGTCCATCTCATTGGAGTTTTAAAAAGTAGGTTAGCACCTTCCAGGAAGGTGAGGGTGAGCAAACAGAGGAAAGGGGCTTCCATTACGTTTCAAGCAAATTCCTCGTGCTTTCCGGGCACTCTCTGGTCTGCACCCCGCTGCTGTTCCTGAACCCTGCGGGCCCATCCTTCCCTGCCTTCCTGCGTGCCATGCCCTCTGCCCCAGACACACCTCCCTGACTCCTCACATTCCTGCTCCTTCCACCCTCTCCAAGGTCATCCTCCTGGCCCTCTGTGGCTGACCCTGGTCAGCACAGCTTGATGACTTAGTCCAAGCTGCAAGAATAGACTCTTCTGCAGGCCTCCTTTGTCTGTCATCCATCACCCTCACAAGAACAGAAACCTCACAGGTGCGCAGTCTCTGCTCACCAATGGGCCTACAGCATCGAGAACGCTCCCTGGCACACAGTGCTCAGCAAATGCCTGTTGAATAAGATTGTCATCTGTGTCTGAGGACTGGTGAATAAATAGAGGCAAGGAGGTAAGGAACAGCCTAAAAGGCATGAAGATGTAGGGTGGATGATCCATGGGGACCAGGTCGGGAGAGAGATGCAGGTGAAGGAGAGACCCCAGAGAGAGCCCTACCTAGTGAGAGGCCCTCAGGCTCCAGGCCACACACGCTAGGACCAGCTGCTCATACAGATGTGGAAACTTCGTTTCCAAAGCTACCTGGCCTATTTCCAGTTTCTGTAAACTGACCCTGTAACCCGTCTACCATTTTCTCTCTGACTTGGCTACTTGGACGACTCATTATCCAACATTCATAGCATTTGACTCTGGCCTCTCCTCTGACTACCCCCTCCCCACCCACAAGTTTCAGCCACAATTTTAAGACCCGAACCCCATTGTTTACCATTAGTCTTCTATATTAGACGTCATACCTGGGGCATGGCTTCCACAGATGACCATGAAAACTGCAAAATGTCAAGAGGATAAAGAGCCATTCTTGGGGAAGGATCTGCCTATCCCTGTAGCCCAACCTTATTCACAAAGTCGGGAATATCCAGAAGGGTGCTGACATTTTCTGGTATGTATGATGAGGACCCACATGATCAATTTAAAAGGTTAACCCCAAGGGCTCTGCTTGAGTTGGGTTTCTCTGAGAGATTGTTCTCCACTAAGAGGTGACAGAGACATCCTCCATCCTTTCTAAGAAAATGTCTGCAAACTATTTGGATGTGATTGAGTCCTTACGCAGTCCCTGACATCTGTTTTCTACCATCACATAAAGCCTGGGAGTCCTCAAATGCCTCAAATGCAATGTCTTTGCTGCATCGAACATTGCCATGTGAAAGGCTCACCTCATGACCTGGGAAACCACTGATAGACCTGAAAAAAATGATGCGTGGTGCTCGGCCGACCCTAGCACCAAGTCGGGGGTATTAACAGGAAGCAGGGCCAGGCCCTGATAGGTTATGTTCGTCACTGACCCTCATGTGTGACTAAGGAAGGCCATTAAAAAATGAGCTGCGTCAGCAGAACCAGGGAGAACCCCATTAGATGGTCAGATTTGCGTGGCGAGATGAATGTCGCTGGTACACTTTGGGTCAAAACCATTTTTAGAACCTCCGTTATCATGTCTGTCTCTGGCCACTGAGGAATGAATATAGAAAATACTAATGGTTTTGACAAAAAGAATTTATGTTTATAAGAAGCTGTTTTGGTGTTTGTCATTGTTTACAGCAGTCCCGTGGCTGGGCAAAAGTCCTCAGCGTTTGGGCAAAAGTCCCCAGCATTTGAGACATTATGAGAAAAGAAAAAAAAAACCCAGTTCCTTTTTCTCAGATACTCTAAAACACTTAAAATATAGTTTACCTTATGGAATACTGGAATAAATCATCTAAAATGTAATTAGTTCAGATTTTAGATTTTCCCCCCAAATAATGACTTTAGTAAAACCATAACTATTCCCACTAACTTAGCTTTATCATGTGCTACCTGACTCACGCAGAAAGCCTGAAGGTCATGGAAACTGAGGTCAGGGAAATTGCACTGTCTGCCTGAGAGGGAGTGTTGCTGCTGGGCTTACAGGCGAGTCCATCTGGGTCCAGGCAGTGCTCTCCCCACTGGCCCTGCAGCCTCTCCCAGGGCAGGGCATCGAGAATTGACACAGGGCAGAGGGACTACATGGCAGAGTTGTCTGGCAGGACTAGATTATTTGAAGAGGAGTACTTCAGTTTCACTGATCGTCAGCCCCACGTGTGACCTTTTTTAGGTAATTTAATTTTTAATTTTTAAAATTAATTAACTTTTAAATTGACAAAAATTGTATATATTTATGGTGTACAACATGATGATTTAAAAAAATTTTTTTAATTGACACATAATAACGGTGCAAGTTGGGTGCAGTGGCTCACACCTGTAATCCCTACTCTTTCGGAGGCTGAGGAGGGAGGATCACTTGAGGCTAGGAGTTTAAGACCAGCTTGGTCAACAGCAAAACCCTGTCTCAGCTGGGCATGGTGGCTCATGCCTGTAATCCTAGCACTTTGAGAGGCCAAGGTGGGTGGACAACTTGAGGCCAGGAGTTCAAGACCAGCCTGGTCAGCAAGGTGAAACCCTGTGTCTACTAAAAATACACAAAACTAGCAGGGTGTGGTGGCGCACGCCTGTAGTCCCAGCTACTAGGAAGGGTGAGGCAGGAGAATCACTTGAACCCAGGAGGTGGAGGTTGCAGTGGGCCGAGATTGCGCCACTGCACTCCAGCCTGGCAACAGAGCAAGACTTCGTCTCAAAACAAACAAAGAAACAAACAAACAAAAAACCCGTCTCTACAAATAATCTTTAAAAATTAGTCAGATATACTGATGTGCACCTGTAGTCCTGGCTACTCCGGGGGCAAAAGGATCCCTTGAGCCCAGGAGTTCAAGGTTGCAGTGAGCTGTGATCATACCACTGCACTCCAGCCTGGGTGACAGAGTGAGATCCTGTCCCTGAAACATCGCTAAACATCTCCACCCCCAAAAAAACTATCTATTTATGTGGTAGAGTGTGATATTTTAATCTACGTATACGCTGTAGAAAAATTAAATCAAGGTAATTAACATATCCATCACCTCACCTACTTATCATTGTTTTGCAATGAGAATGTTTAAAATCAACTTTATTAGTAATTTTAAAATATACATTACATTATTATTAACTATGGTCACCATGTGGTGTCACAGATCACTGAAGCTTATTCTTCTGGTCTAACTGAAACTTTGTACCTTTTGACCAACATCCTCATCCTACTCCCCAGCCTCTGACAACCACCATTCTACTCTCTGCTTCTATCAATTAGACTTTTTTTAGATTCTGCATGTGAGTGAGATCATGCTCATACAGATGTGTATGTGTCTCATACTGAGACACAGTATTTGTCTTTCTGTACATGGCTTATTTCACTTAACATAAGTCCTCCAGGTTCATCCATGTTGTCACAAATAACAGGATTTCCCTCATTTTTAAGGCCGAATAGTATTCTGTTGCATATGTATATATATATACATACATATACGTATATATGTATATGTGTATATATATACACATATACATATATATACGTATATATATGTATATATATGTATATGTGTATGTGTGTGTGTGTATATATATATATATATATATGTATATAACATTTTCTTTATCCATTCATCCCTTGATGGACACTTAGGTTGATTCCGTGTCTTGGCTATTGTGAATAATGCTGGCATGAACGTGGGAGTGTAGCTATCTCTTTGACATACTAAGTTCATTTTCTTTGGATCTATACCCAGTGGTGAGATTGCTGGATCATAGTTTTTTGAGGAACCTCCATACTGTTTTCCATAATGGCTGTACTAATTTACATTTCCACCAACAGCGTACAAGGATTCTCTGTTTTTCACGTTCTTGCCAACAATTTTTATGTCTTGTCTTTTTGGTAATAGCCATTCTGACAGGGGTGAGGTGACATCTCTTTGTGGTTTGTACCTGCATTTCCCTAATGATTAGTGATATTGAGTATATTTTATATACCTGGCTATGTTGGACTTTTGGTTATAGGAACAGTAGCTGCTTAATTAGTAAGTCCAGGCTACCTGGGTTCAGAGCCCAGCTCCATCACTCCCTGGCTGTATGATTGCAGACTGGCTATTTTATCTCCCCAAGATTCAGTTTTCCCATCAATAGAATGGGGATGTTCATGGATATCCTACGATCCCTTTAATCTAGGTAAAGTATGTTATATAATGCCTGGCACATAACTATCAGTTAATTAATGTTAGCCACATTATCTAATTCTGTTCAACAATTATTTTTAGGATGAAGGAGGGCACTAGTATGAGTTGAATGGTGTCACTCCTCTGGTCAAAGCTGTCTGATGACTTTCCATCTCACTCAGACTGAAAACCAAAGTCCTGAAAATCACCCACAAGGCCACTGCTTGATCCGATCTTTTCTCTTCCCTGTTGGATCTCATCTCCGAATACACACCCTGCACTCACCCGTTCCAGCCACTCACCTGTTCCAGCCACTGCGCTCACCTGCACTCACCTGTTCGAGCCACTGGACCTCTTCAGTGCCTGTGAGCATGCCAGGCCCTCCTCAGCTCTGGCCTCTGCACTTGTTCCCCTTTTATGGACTGTTCTTCCCCAAGATCACCAGTGGGCTCACTTCCCCACCACCTCCAGGCCTTTCAGCAAATGTTGCCTTCCCTGTGAGTCTTTTCTTGACCATCCTATTTAAAACCATAACGTCTTAACATGCTTCTTAGCCCTAGTTTAATTTTTCCTCTTAGAATATCTTACCATTTCCCATACTCCATAGTAGTGGGTACTACGGAGTGCTGCCCAGGGGTCTTGAGAACTGAGTTTAGTGTGAAGGTGGCAGAGTGAATTAATTTTCTATTGCTATGCAACAAATTACCCCCAAAACTTTGCAGCTTAAAACAACATATATTCATCTCGCAGTTTCTGTGGCTCAAGACTTTGGGGGCAACTTAACCTAGCTCTAGCTCTGGGTCTCTTATGAGGTTTCCATCAAGGCATTGGCCAGGGCTGCAGTAATCTCAGCGTTTGAGGATCTGATTTCAAGAAGGCTCACTCACCCAATTTGGCAGCCCTCAGTTTCTTGTTGGCCACTGGCAGGTGAGCTCAGCTCCTTGTTCTGTAGACCTTTCCATAGTGCTGCTTGAGTGTCCTCACAATATGGCAGCTGCCTACCTCTGACAGAATGACCCCAGCAACAGACCAAAACAGAAGCTACAATGTCTTGTATGACCTAGCCTTGGGAGTCCCACATCATCACTTCTGCCATATTCTGTGGGTCACGCCAACCCTGACACAATGTGGAAGGGGACTTACAATGGTGTGAATACCAGGAGGCAGGAATCACTGGGTGCCATCTTGGGGACTGGCTACTGTAGTCTCTCATCTCATATTAAAAACTCAAACTCAACAGGGGAAAGTGCTTAATCTTTTTGAACCTCTGGCTCCTGTTAAATATTAAATCAGTCTATTAAGTATTAGTACTAATAGTAGTATTTAATAGTGTTTTGTGAGGATTAAATAAAATAGTATATATTATCTCAGAAACATATCTGGAAAATAGTAAATGGGCAAAAATGATTAGCTCTTTTTTTGAGTTCAAGTTGCAGATACAAAGGGTTTTACACAGAGAATGACAAGACTACATTGTTGTCACTCACTCCAGCTACAATATTGAGAGTGAACTGGAGGAGTCAACTTATAGGAGGAAGACCAGGAAGAGGTTCTGGTGATAGGAACCAAGATAGGGATGTTGTAATAAATGGAAGTGGGCAGATATAAGAGCATTGTTGAAGTCACCTTAAATTTATAATAGATGTAGCTTATGTCATTATTCCTGACATGTCTGGAATTAATCATTGATTCATCATCTTGGGTAAGTGAAATTAGACAACTCAATTTGTCTTTACTTAGAGGAAGGACATTCTTCTGTTCTACTTTGATGTAGAATTGTTCCTGTGAGGGAGTATGGTAGACTGTACTGTTGTTCACAAGTATTTATCTTCTTGTGAGAGGGCTAACAACCCCATTGATGTGGGGCTTGATCATGTGACTTGCTTTGATCAATGACATATACATGCTTTTGGCCAGTCTTCTTGATCTGCACCTTCTGCCAAGAAACCGAGAAGGAGCTGCTTCCTTAGACATCTCAGAATGGGGAAGACACGTGGAGTGATGCCAGAGCACTGCAGCCAACCAACATGTAACTACGTGAGAAATAGCCCTTTGTAGCTATAAGTTATTGTAGTTCCAATGTGAGGGGTTGCTTGTTACGTGGTGTAACCTGGTGATAGCTAACTGATACAAGGGGAAACCCTTATTCCCCTAGCTTCCTATTTCCTGTTTCCTCTATTGGTTCAGAGGGAACACCTACAATCTCTCTCTCCCTCCCTCTCTTTCTCTCTTTCTCTCTCTCATACACACACAGACACTTTATATCTTCCCCAAGGAAGGCTCAATGACAAGTGTAGGGGATGAGTCTGGGGAAAGCCTGCCATCTGTGGGCGAGTTAGCCATGGGATAGAGTCACTCTAGAGCCAACAGCATTGGGAGCTTTAGTTTCTATGCAGTAAACAGACCAGATAGGTTCTATGTGTGCCATGCTCAATCAGATCTTTGCTCTCTTTATTCCATCATTTCTGCCGGTGCTTGAAGTATTGGTTGGGATAATAAGGTATCAAGTTCTAGAATGCAAAAGGGATGTTAGAGTTGTCCAGTGTAGCCTTCCTAATCCTAACAGTGCCATACTCTGGCTCCCATGTTCGTTCTCAATTTAAAAGCTGGAAAGAGGGTGTTTGTTAAATAGCACCCTCTAACAGTTTCCTGAAGATGAAAGCCAAGATGTGGTTTTCCTAATTTAGGTGTCAAAATGCAAATGAACCTCCTCTGAGTGGTCCTAACCTCCCCTTGGTTAGGCTGCCCATTGATTTGCCTGGCACTGCTTGGCAAGCTTCACTGACCTCTGAGTCTTACACTGAAGGATGCTATTTACTAACTGAAAACAGCCCAACATGGTGAAATTGACTTTGAGGACTGGAGATGTGAGTTTGAATCCTGGCCTTGATGGCAACCAGCTGTGTGACCTGGGGCACGTCACTGACGATCTCAGTGCCTTAGTTTATACATCTGCAAATGAGGATGAAGGAAGTCCCTACACCCCTGGCATGGTATGACTGTCAAGCAAGATGGTGTTTGGGAATGGGTTTGCAGGACACCCAGCACAGTGAAGTGAATGAACGATGGGCATGGGGACTCTCTGGAGCATAGAGTTGTAGAGTCCAGATTCAGCTGGAGCCTGTTTCCCATAGGTGTGCTATTCTAGGCCTGGGTTGCTCATCTATAAAGCGAGAATAATAATTATTGGGATAATTCAATGAAATAGTCTACATAAAACCTAGAACACAGTAGATGCTTCACATTTAATCTCTTCCTTATGACCAGTGAGAAATTAAAATGAACGATATTTGCTGAAATTGTGGATGAAAGATGCACAGAATAAGACTAGAAATCATGCTTAAAGAATGGACAATTATAAAGATCAGGACTGGCAAACTACAGCCCCCAGGCTACATCCAGCCCACTGCCTGATTTTGTAAATAGCTTTATTGGAACTCAGCCACACTCATTCACTTACATATTGTCACTGGCTGCTTCCCATTACCGTGGCAGAGTTGAGTTTTGACAGAGATCATACGGCCCTTGAAGCCCAAAATATTCAGTGTCTGTGGGGCGAGGGGCGTGGAGCTTGCTTGCTTTGTTGTGGATAAGTGGAAGAGGAAGAGCATGCTCTAAGAACTAGGAAGGAGGACTCAGCATTGAGGGGGCAGTGGGAGAGCTGCAATGAGACAGAAGCGCAGACAGGTGCAGAGGAGGGATGGGAGAAAAGGCAGGACAGGCAGAATAACAAAGTAACCTGCTGGGCAATGGGGAGCCATAGTATGCTGTGGAGCAGGGGAGACATGACGTCTGCTGCTGACTCAGTGCAATTATTAGAGGGGCTTAGCCCAGATCATCCGTTTCTCAATCTGATGGAGGGTTTGCATTTCCACGTAAACAGAGCAGATGGAGAGCCTGCAAAGCAGTTGCTTGTTTGGAATGGGAGTCGGCTTAAAGAGGAGCAGCTGGGATTTGTTTCCCTACTTGTTGGTGTGGGAGTTGTCTCCCACGAAAGTGTAAGCAATTAAATTGGTAATAGCAAAACTCACAGTTGGCTATAGCGCGGCACTGCCCAATGTATGTGTACCAAGCTGGGAGTAGGTGCTCTACCAAAAATGAGCCTTCTCTGATCTAGTGGCTCCCAGAAATGCCACATTAAATCAACCCAGGCAAGTCGGTTTTTGTCCTGCAGGGCTCCTCAGAATCTGGAATGTACCAATATGTATTTTGATTTTCCTAGAGGGGATACAGGATGCTATTTCTCTCAGATTTAGTTCGCTGTGGATGTGTGTGTGTGTGTGTGTGTGTGTAAAACACTTAATAACCATCTCATAGAACATTTTTGTTTAAAGAAATGCATTTTGAAAAGGCTGGCCCAGAGGCTTTCTAAAGAGCTCAACAAGAACATGCTTGGAAGATTTGGGGAGGGTAATCTGTATCTAAAGACATTGCTATTTCTCTGTTCTATTTCACAGACTAGTCAATGCCGGGTATTCTACAGAGCTTTGCAGTTTTCCAGATAATTTATGTACATGTTGATTTCTACATTTGCCAGTGGATTCAGCTTGATTAGCAATTTAAATGGAAATTTTCTGAACACTATGAATTGGCACCTAATTTGCATCTCTTGTCAGTTATCTGTGGACTTCACTCTTGGCCCTGAAAATATTCTAGCTACAGTCACATGCCAGGAGGCCTGACACTGTTAGGGGGATAAGAGTGATTGATGGACATCTTAGTTACTTGAATCTGAAGGTCACAGAGACTTCCTGAGTGTGAAACAAAGTTGCTAAGACATTTTGTTGCAGTCGGCTTCCATCAGCTCAGGACAGCCCTCCTGGGCAGGGGCTCAAACCCGGGCTCCTCTGATGCAGCAATGTCCCCATCGGCCCTGCATGTTCTGTGAGCCGTAGCCTCGTCACTCTCTATTTTCTCATCTATTCTGTAGATCCACTCAGTGCTAGTCTGAAATCCACCTTGTCTTAGAATGTCGTGTCTTCGGCCTTTCCCTCGCTGTAATTTGAATATTTAGGCTGTAGGTTGGTGCTGGACACGGGAGGACCCCAGAGATACCACCAGTGCCAAGGTGTCCGGTAAACCAGGGCATGTGAGAAAAAATAGTGTGGGCACTCTTCTTTCTTAAAGAAGTGTGTGCTTCTGTGCTCAGGGTTGAGGGCCTCATTAGCTGGCCCCACCCTGATGGTTCCTCTGTTGTTTTTGTGAAGGGAAGTGAGTGAAACCAGAAGGGAGAGGGCTGCTCCATCAGCCTCCCCAACTGTCCACCCTTACAGCAAGGTCGCAGGCACCTGTGCCTCAGCCTCTGCCATCTTTACCAGGTACTGTATTCAGTAAAACCCCTTTGGTTCTGTAGGTAAGCATGGAACCTGCACCCATATGATCAGCCCGGACCCACCAGGAGCTGCAACTTTATTAGCCACGATTTTATCTGTACATATTTGCAGAGCCCAGGGGAACAATGGAGGGGTGGGCACTGCTGGGTCCAACCTGCATGCTCAGCTCGTGTCTCAGCACCCCGGCCTGGCTGAGGCTGGCCGCAGAGCAGCAGGTTCAGAGTGCATGTCGTAGAGTCTCCAGTTGCAACAAAGAGCTCAGAGTCCCCTGGAAACATGATAGTTTCTTCCAACCCCACCACATCCTTCCAGTTCCTGGAATGAGTTTCTGGCTCTGTGGGTGCCTAGCGTTCTGCTTCTGCACACTGCGAGCTGAGGCCCAGACCCCACACCAGCCTTGCTCTTCCCACCTCAGGCTCCTCAGCCCCATTGTGGGCCTAACCCCTGAAAGCAGAGCTAGGGATTGAAGGGCTCTGACCTCAGCTCTGCAAAGCAGCGTACAGAAGTGGGTGTGGAGCATGGAGGAGAGGAGAGTGCAGGTGCACCTGAATAGACTCCAGAGATTTCAGCTGCGTGGAGTGCGGTGGGTGACAAAGCACATTAAAGGAAGTTGCATGTTCACACTCCATGTATTTCTTTTAATTATATATAAAATGTGTCTATAGAAACATATGTTTCTAATTCTTTTCCACAACTAATATGCATTAGGGCACTACTTTGTATTTACAATTTTTTTTAATATTTGTTTTTGCCTAGCTATATAGGAAAGGAAAACACACCATTCTGACATATGAAGAAAGCACACTCCAGGAGGCCTGTCTCCTTAGACCAAAGGTACAGTGAGGACTTTTCCCTTCTGAAGACATCCTTTGCGAAACTGCCCTGAGAGCACGCACACACTCAAATGAATGCCATGCGCTAGCCTGGCTTGCAGGTGTGGGGTGCGCTACTAATGTGCTCGGCCCCATTCATTGCCACGCCTTGCAAGCTTGCACCTGGCCTTATTATAAATCTGCCCAGAGCGTCCTGCAGAATCAGTGGCCATCTTTCCTTCCTCACCAAAGGAGGCTGCTGGGTTGCCATGGTAACACCGGGGCTGGGAATCAGGGCGATCAGTCTCTATGAAAATGGCCTGGATGTGGGGCAGAGGGGCAGGGAGATACCCACACTCTTTTTTCTTAAATGCCCGAACATGAATGTCCCCCAGGTTGATCAAATTTTGTAAACTGGAAGATAGTGCTTTCCTGCTTTATTGACATGTTTCTGCACTTGTGGACTGATTTTACATCTGCCTTTGTCTTCTGCTTTAATATTTTCCTCCCGTTCCTCAACTTCCTTCTTTCCTTCCTCCCTCTCTCCCTCCCTCTCTTCTTTCCTCTTTTTTTCCTCTTTCTCTCTTCTTCCTTTCTTTCTGAAGAAAAAGATTGAATTGCCATCCTCCCGTCCCAGAAAACCCACTGTAACCGTGTTTTAACATTCACATGGGTGTCTGCAGATTTACAGTCGCCATAATAACACAGGTGTCTTTGGGATTTTTTTTTTTTACTTGTTTATTTCAGTAGGGTTTTGGATACAAGTCATTTTGGTTACTTGGATGAATTATGTTCTTAATTCTGAGATTTTGGTGCACCCATCACTTGAGTAGTGTACATTATACCCAATATGTAGTGTTTTTTATCCCTCACCCCCCTCCCAGCCTGCCCCTTCTGAGACTCCATAGTCCATTATATCACTCTGTGTGCCTCTGTGTCCTTATATCTTAGCTCCCACTTATAAGTGATGTTAGAAATGTTTGTTTCTTGGTGCCTTAAAGAAATAGTATTTGAACATTATTTAGCAAGGCCATTTTTATTTTTTCTAGAAAGGGTACGCTCGCTAGCAGTTTTGTCACGAGAGTACACTGAACAAAGGAGATGGGTCATTTATAATCTGATGAGTCCACCTTACTGCTGTATCCAGTTTCTATTGGCTGGAATGGGACCTCACATTCTGTATTTGTCTTGATTGGCTAGCAACTTAGAACTTTTAAAAAGAGGCAAAGGCAGAGGCGAACAAAGGAAGGAGGAAGTAACTTGTAGAATGTTGAGAAAGGTAAAAACACCTTTAGATAAGGAAGAGGAACAGGCTATGACCTAATGCTTGCTTGGACCAGTATAAGCATGTCAGAGCAAATATTTAAGCTAAATTGTGGGAGCTAAGAACATAAAGTACATTGATTTTTTATTATGGCTAGCAGGTATTTAAGAATGCTAGTACAGGTCTTTGAATAAATTTTGCTTTTAAGAGAAGTTACTATTTATTTTTAATTAGATGGGGAGGAAAGTCTTTGAAGAGGAACGTCTACTTTACATTTTATAGTGAGAACACACGGTATTTGGTTTTCCATTCCTGAGTTACTTTATTTAGAATAATGGCCTCCAGCTCCATCCAAGTTGCTCCCAAAGACATAATTTCATTCCTTTTTATGACTGAGTAGTATTCCATGGTGTATACATACCACATTTTCTTTAGGCACTCATTGGCCAATGGGCACTTGGGTTGGTTCCATATCTTGGCAATTATGAATTGTGCTGCTATATACGTGTGTGTGTGTGTCTTTATCATATAATGACTTCTTTTCCCAGATACTAGATACCCAGTATCACTGGGTATTTTTTTTTTTTTTACTTGTTTATTTCAATAGCGTTTTAGATACAAGTCATTTTGGTTACATGGATGAATTATGTTCTTAATTCTGAGATTTTGGTGCACCCATCACTTGAGTAGTGTACATTGTACCCAATATGTAGTAGTTTTACCCAGTATCACTGGGTATCTAGTATTGGTCGCTGCATCGAATGGTAGACCTACTTTTAGTTCTTTAAGGACTCTCCATACTGTTTTCCATAGAGGCTGTACTGGTTTACATTTGAAATGCGTTGTTTTCTTGAATAGCCTTGAAATCACAGGTGCTAACACATAAGAGCTAGCAACTGTACGTGAACCCTGGGCTACTAATTGCTCATCAGACTCCTCTAACCCCTTTGGTGTGTGCCAGATATAAAACAATGTGATGTAGGAGTTTGGGTTGAGGCCTGCAGGACTGAAGCCTGTCTGGTTCAGCAGTTCCAGGAGAGGAGGGGAGAGGATCAAGCCAAACCCACTCCTGGAAAAAGCACAGGAGTCCATACGTGCAAGAATGGGAGGGTGCACGGTAAGGGCAGAGGGCTGGTCCTCCCAGTGGGGAGGCACTGCTTATGCCCACGACTTGGCTGGGCATTTTCAAAACATCTTTCTTTCCCCATCCCAGCTCTTCTAGTCTGTAACCCTCTGAGGAAGAAGTCCTAGAAAGTTCCAGTTACTTGAAGAAATGCCCTTGTCCCTCTCTTCAAGGACTCTTTCATATATACCCAGAACCTAAGAGTGGTGCTGGGGTTGCTGCAGGCTTCTGAAACCCGCTGGCCTTGTGCCCAGAATTCCAGGGAACCCTGCAGGCCCATGATGTCCACAAGTGTCAGGGACCCAGAAAACTGTGGAGAAGGCTAAGTTTTGACCCACTTGCCCTCCCCACCCAAGCTGGGCCCCTTGAAGCCCAGATGGACCCAGAGCACTTCCAGTGTTGGAGCTCCAGAATATAGAAAAATGATGAAAATGCCAAAAGAGGATTACAATATTTGTAGTATATTCTAAAATCCTACATGGAACAAATTAATGCTTTTAATGCAAAAAATTATAATTAAATTATTCACATGGTAGTACTGTTGATGAAAAGAGTCAAACTCTGTAAAATGTTTGAAGAGATTTATTTGAGCCAAATATCAGTGATTAATGGCCTGTGACACAGCCCTTGAGAGGTCCTGAGAACATGTGCCCAAGATGGTTGGGCTTCAGCTTGGTTTTATACATTTTAGGAAGACACAAGACATCAATCAATACATTTAAGATGTACCTTGGTTCCGTCCAGAAAGGTGGGACAGCTGGAAGCAGGGGCTTCCAGGTCATTGGTGGATTCAAAGATTTTCTGATTGGCAGTTGGTTGAGTTATTATCTAAAGATCTGGAATCAATAGAAAGAAATGTCTGAGTTATGATAAGTGGTTGTGGAGACCAAGGTTTTCTTATGCAGATAAAGAAGCCTCCAGGTAACAGGCTTCAGAGAGAAGAGATTGCAAATGTTTCTTATCAGACTTAAAGAGTCTATTCTGTCAGTCTTAATTAAGGTCTGTTTTAATGTTAATGCTGGTCAGTTGTGTCTGCATTGCAGAAGGGAGGAGGGAATAATAAGGCATGTCCAACTTTTCCTTCCCATCATGACCTGAACTAGTTTTTCAGGTTAACTTTGGAATGCCTCAGCTGAGAGGAGGGGTCGATTCAGATGGTTGGGGGGCTTATAATTTTATTTTTGGTTTACTGAATAGATTTATTTAAACCCATGAAACATGCTGTTCTTTAGGCAGTGCAATCAACCTGCAAGCTCCATGCATGATGCATAACCCAAACCTCTTGTCTCTGGTTCTGCAGGTCCTTCCTGGCATTAAGGACTAGGGTCTACAGGCGAGACCCTGGAAGGCTCCAGACAGAAGGGTCAGCCCCAGGGAAACCAGCCCATTGGTGATGTCCCTTTCATGATTCTATCCTAGCTGTGATGGCTTAACCTCTGAGTGCTTTGTGTGCCTTTGCTTTATGTAGAGACACACACATAGGAATAGATTTCCTAAATTTAAGGTCAATGCCCTTTGAGGCGTGGAAGTGACAGTACCTTCCTTCATGGCCACTCTGTCCACACACACAGAGTGCAGCCTCCAGAGTTGCTGCTTGCAGCTCTAGGTTCCAAGATCCTTCCCTGCAGGCCCTAGAGAGGGGTCAGTTCTTGAACAGACAGCCCCTGAGGAATCATTCTAATCAGGCCGTTGGAAAAGTCTGCAACAGTTTGGCAGGCTGCCCTCTTTGCCCAGAACCATTTGTATGACCAGTGACACATGAGGAGAGGATGATACTTGCTACAGCATCTCTTTGTCCATTTCAAAGTCACCATTTGTTGTGGTTATTTCAGGGCCTATTGTATTGGTCACATTGCTCATGAAGTTCAAGAGGATGATCTGCTTCCTAATCCAGTTCCCCCTCTCACCTGTGGCCCTTCCCTCTGCACTCTGTCCTCCTGCTGCAGAGGACATTTAACATTTTTTGGAAATCTGGCTGCTGACTCTCTTCCTTTGGGGAATTCCCACAGCAGGAGGTCTGGTGGGAGATAGCACCAACCTCTTATTGCAGAACCCCACATATCTGGATGCTGGCTCTGCTCACACTCTGGCACTTTGGCAGGGTGACCTGGGCTTGGTCAACTAGATATCCAGTCCCAGGCTTCCCTGCAAATGAGCAAAGGTGCCCCTTCCTCTGGACAGAGGCAGCCTGTGCCGGGGCATAGGGCTTGGAAACTGGAATTCAGGCACCAGAAACAAATGGCACTAAAATCCAGGAGGCGGCAATAGAATCCAGTCTGGTTGGTGGCCTCCAGGTTCCAGTGGCAGTGCTTCCAGTGACAACATCCACTGGCCAATGATGATGCACTGTGAACTTGGTCTCAGTGTGAGCTCCTAGCCCCTTGGATCTTGCCAAAGCTCTGTCCAGTCTGAGTGTCTAGCCATCCTTTGATTCTCTGAGACCTCCCAGTGACTGTCCAGGAAACTCCTCTTCTGCCCAAGACAGAATCAGTTTCTGTCATTTGCCTCCAAACCCTGGCTGGCACCCTCCACTTGGAACAACCAATTCTAGCTCTCTCTTGCTCTGAGGGCTTTGCTGTTCCTTCTGTCGCCAACAGTTTTCCCCCTTCACACCCCAGCCATCCCCAGCATGGCTAATGCCCCTTCATTCTTTAGGTCTCACCCACATCTGGGTAGGCTACTCTCCAGGTGTTCCCTCAGTGCAGCACAGGCCGGACTCAGGCAGTCATTGCCCAAGCATTTAACTGGCTTCAATGACACCATATGACCTTAAGGTGGGGCTTATCCTTCATGCATCTTAACTCCTTCTTGCATCTTCAGGGCATAACACATTATTATCTCCACTTGACCATATGGGCTCCTCTTGCATGCAAAGCTGAACCACCTCAGTCTCCTGCAGGCTCTCTCACAGATCAGTGCAAAGACTTTTTTCTACCTTACTCTGTATTTCCTATTGTAGGAAGGTTTTCACTCCTTGAGTGAAAACAATTTAGGATGAATGGTTTGGGGTTACGGTCAGGCTGGTATTTTCCTGAGGTGGGACTGCAGCTTTGTCCCCAGCTGGGAAAAGACAAAAGCGAGGTTTCCCTGCAGCTCTTAGAATCCTCACAGCTCCCACTCTCATCATCCGAATTTGCTCAGTTCCTGCCAGGCCGTCCGCAGTCGGAGCTAACTCAAGGATTCAACCCACCCCAGGCACAGGAAGCAAATGACAAACAGGATAGAAGAAAAAAAAGAAAGGGAAAAGTAAGCAGAAAACAGAAAAAAAGACAAAGAAAATAGTTTTGTACTAACGTCGGTAATTAATTGGGTTAATGTTTCAAACTATTTTGGTAAGTTGTTCAGTTTATGACTGGTAGAATTAAAATGCAGAACCCAAGGTCTAAACTACTGTGGAATATTAAAGCAAGCAGAACGTCTTGTATATGTTGCAAAAGAAAATAAAAACTAGCATTTTGGAAGGTTGAGGTGGGAGGATTGCTGGAACTTAGGAGTTGAGACCACCCTGGGCCACGTAGCAAGACCTTGTCTGTACTAAAAACCAAAAATAAGCTGGACATGGTGGTGTGCACCTGTAGTCTCAGTTACTCGGGAGGCTGAGGAAATACTATAGCTAGAGCTTGGGAGATTGATGTTGCAGTGAGCTACAGTTGTCCCACTGCACTCCAGCCTGAGTGACAGAGCAAGATCCTGTCTCAAAAAACAAAACAAAACCCCAGGACTAATCAAAATTTTTTAAAAGAGCAAAACATAAAAATGACATCTATAGATCAGATTTATCCATTATTATAGTAAGTTCACATGGATTAAATTTTTTTCAAAAGGGCAAACAGATTTTTTTAAATCTAAAGATATTCTGCTTATAAGGCACATCTAAAAATAAAATGACTCATAAAGGTTAAAAATAAAAAATAAGGCAAAGATATATTTGGCAGACATAAATGAAAAGGAAGCAGGAATAAAAATGTTCAAAAGCAGGCAAAAGAGGACGTAGGAAAAAAGCATTAAAAAGTCAAAAGACATAATTTTATATTAGTAAAAGATTCAGCATAAATAGAAGGGCTCGTGTTCATAGAGATCTTTACACCTAAATAAATCATACAGCAAGTATTTCCAAAGCACAAGGAAAATGTGACTGAAACCAGGTTGTAGTGGAAGCTTTTCATACACAACTGTCACTTTATGGCCAAACAAATAGAAAAAAAACAGAAGATTGTAATACATTGAAAATTTTAAAATTTCTATGTGTGTAAATATGACTAAAATTTGTTACCTACAAAGAATATACAAAGAAACATGTATAAAAAGTGGCCATATTCTAGCTACAAAGAGAATTCATTGAATTCCCCAAAGCAGAAATTTCACAGGTCACATTCCCTGACCACTGTGATAATTTCTCAATATAAGGTGAAATTGGCAACAATGGCTAAATTTAACACAAAAAATTATCTACTAAAAAATTAAACTCATATAATGGCCTATCTAGAAAATAAACTGAGAATCCAGAATACCAAAATTATTCTTATCTCTATTTTTTCTTCCATATGAATTTTATAGTTATTTTATTAAGTGCTAAAAGGTAATTCCAATGGGGCGATGATGCATTCAACCTAAAAATTTAATTTGGGAAGAATTCACATTTTAAAATGTATTCTTCCCATCCAGTGTTGGATATCTCAGTCTATTTGTTTTACCTTTTTTTATATCTCTCAGTAAAGTTTTGTAGTTTTCTTCATGTAGGTCAATACATTTTACACAGCTAGCATAATTTCTGTACCAAATGCTGACTAAGACAATGCCAAAATGGAAACTCTACGCTCATCACATTTGCAAATACAGAGGCAAAAATCCTAAATAGAATCTTAGCAAAAAGAGTTAAGTAGTATATTAAAACCATAGCATATCTAATCCAAATAGAGTTTATCATGGGAATTTTATCATAGGGAATTTCTATGAACAAGTTAATAGTATCTGTTTGTTGTTGCATCGTGTGAAAATGGTTGTCATTTTTTAAAACTAAATTGGGAGAGTAGATTGGGACATCTGGTCATGGGGCGCATGCACTGTGTTACCTTGGGGGTGCCTCCAGGAGATGGATAGTAATTCTCTCCAGAGTAACTAAAACAGAGGTGAAAATAAGAGGTCAAATGACTGTCAATCAGAAATAATCTGCTACATGATAAGACACCAGGAATCGTTCAAGTTGACATTGTTTGAAACATAAACCCCAAATGAAAAGGCCCAAGAAAGGAGGTTCCAATGCCCAGGTACCAATTAGACATCAAGCCACTTCTGCCTGGGCAATCCGGCACTATCCTCCATCAAGGACACCTTGATGGCCACCTCCAGATGGCTTGAGATCTGACAGGCCCTGCTGATGAACTACCCATTACATTTCTTGTGATTTGATTTTGCAAGCAGCTAGTGACCGAAACTATGTGGCCGCTCGCTGCTTGCAAAATCAAATCACAAGGATGAGGTGTGGTAGAAGGAAAGTGATTTTCTTTACCAAAGCTAGCAGTAGGGAAATGGTCTAGGTTTCCTCTCTTAAAAAAAAAAAAAAAAAAAAAAAATTCAAATTTTGGGGCAGAATACAGGGGTTTAAAAAGGGAAGTTTGGCACGAGAGGTACACAGGAAGGGCAAGGTGGTACAGGTCTACAGGACTTGTTCCAGTGACTTATCTTGAGTTATTGTCCCATCTGGTGGATGGGCTGGCACCATCTTGGGTGCAACTGGGCTATAAATTAACCCTAGCCTTGAAGAAATCCCTGGGTGTGTGTGGGTGGGATGGGGGTGGGGTTATAATTCCATAGGCACCTGTATTGTTTCAAGATTCAGCGTCTGGAACTTCTAAGCAAATACATAGTTAGATAAGCTAACATTGCAAGGGGGTGCTTGGTGGAAAGAAGAAGAGTAAAGGTTATTATTTCATTACTAGGAAACTGAAATAAGGAATGAGCAAAAAAAGGTGGAAGAAAAAACTTTAAAAATGGAGTACTTGCTTACAACACAACTCCAGCTATGACCGGATGGCCCAGACATTGCAGGCCAGCTGATACCCTGGGGAGGCTGCCTCTGATGCCCCCAGTGACCTCTCCTCCTGGGAGCCACGGTGATGTTTTGGGCCACCCCGCCTAAAAGTTGGCATTGAAATCAGATGACTTAAAAGAGAGTCGCCTCCCTCATCTGATCATTGCTCCTTTTTCTATGTCCAGCACAGATATTCTAGGCTCACTGCAGGGTGCCTGAACCCTTCCTGATCCAAAGCCTTTCTTCATTGCTCAATTCTGCTATTTTTAGAAAAGTCTTCATCAAGGATCAAAGAAGACATTTCTTTGCCAAGCCCCTAATCATTTACAGGTCTCCCTTTAGAGAGTGAAAAATTCAGAATTCCAAGATAATTACCCAGAAGATTGTCAGCAAAGGCCTCTCATTTTCTGTCACTTTGCCATTAGACAGCTTCTGGCTGATTTCCACACCAATGTCTGAACCCTCTTCTGGGGAGCTGCCATCTGTCCTAGCTCAGGCTACCATAACAAAATACTACAAGCTGGGTGGCTTAAACAATAGACACTTATTTTCTCGCAGTTCTGGGGACTGGAAGTCCTGGATGAAGATCCGGCAAGGTTGGTGTTTGGAAGGGGCCCTTTTCCTGGAGTGTAGACAGCCACCTTCTCACTGTGGCCTCACATGGCCGTTCTTCTGTGAGTTCATGGAAAGAAAAAGATCTCTGATGTCTCTTCCACTTTTATAAGGACACTAATCCTGTTGGACCAGGGCCCCAGCCTTGTAAACTCATTTAACCTTGTCTTAGTCCATTCCTGCTGCTATAACAAAATATCCTAGACTGGGTAATTTAGAGAGAACAGAATTGTATTTCTTACAATTCTGGAGGGTGGGAAGTCCCAGATCAAGATGCTGGCAGATCTAGTGCCTGGTGAGGGCTTAGTCTCTGCTTCCAAGATGGCACCTTGCTGCTGCATCCTCTGGAGGAGAGAACACTGTGTCCTCACATGGAAGTGTCAGGCAGCTCTCTGAAGCCTCTTTCATAAGAGTATTGATCCCAGTCATGAGGGCAGAGCCCTCAAGACTTAATCACTTCCCAAAAGACTCTACCCCTTAATAGCCATATTGGGTATTAGATTCCAACATACGAATTTTGGAGGAACATATACATTTGAATCATAGCAAACCTTTTTTTTTTTGGTGGCAGAATCTTACTCTGTCACCTAGGCTGGAGTGCAATGGCATGATCTTGGCTCATTGCAACATCTGCCTCCCAGGTTCAAGCAATTCTCCTGCCTCAGCCTCCCGAGTAGCTGAGATTACAGGTACGCACCACCATGCCTGGCTAAGTTTTTGTGTTTTTCATAGGGATGGGGTTTCACTATGTTGGCCAGGCTGGTCTTGAGCTCCTGACCTAGTGATCTGCCCACCTCAGCCTCCCGAAGTGCTGGGATTACAGGCGTGAGCCACCATGCCTGGCCTCATAGCAAACCTTAATTACCCACAAAGGCCCTATCTCTTGCAGAGGAAGAAAAAATTCTTGTTCTTCCATCCTTCTAAGTGCTTAGCTGGGGCCCCTGTAACAAAAGACTAACAAGAGAAAAACAAACAGCAGTTTATTCCCATGTATATGGGGCATGTGACACATGAGGGTGCCCAGAGGCGAGTTGCTTAAAGAGGCCTCCAGCTTATGCAGCACCATGAAGCACAGCATGGGGTAGAGAAGGGACGGAACCAGGGAGAGTGGCTTTAGGTTTCCAAGGGCAGGCAACTGAGGGCAGGTAAATAAATATACGGGAAGCAACTAAAGGAGTAAAGTTGGTTCGCAGATTCATCTGGTGGCATTTCCAGGCTGTTAAGAGTCTAGAGTAGTCTCCAGTAGAGGAGAGTTTATATTCCATCTTTAGACAGAAAGGGAAAGTGTAAAGAGAGCTTTTCCTGCATTGGCTACTTATTAATTGCTTTTAGCTCAAAATAATTCTCTGTAAAAAGTTTTTTAAATGATCTTTAATTTGAGACAGGGTTCCACTCTGTCCCACAGGCTGGAACGCAGTGGCATCATCTTGGCTCACTACGGCCTTGACCTACTGGGCTCAAGCAATTCTCCCACCACAGCTTCCCAAGTAGCTGGGACTATAGGCATACACCACCATGCCTGGCTAATTTTTGTATGTTTTGTAGCGACGGGGTTTCTCCATGTTGCCCAGGCTGGTCTCGAACTCCTAGAGTCAAGCAATCCACCCGGTTTGGCTGCCCAAAGTACTGGGATTATAGGCGTGAGCCACCATGCCCAGTCAAAATAATTCTTGTGTCAAAAAGGCATATTTTGCGGCAATAGATTCTGGTTTCCCTCACTCAAAATACAGCCACATTAAGGGTTAGGGCTTCAGCATATGAATTTGGGTGGGGGGCACAATTCAGATCATAACATCATTGTATTGGTCAGTTGTTACACTGCTATAAAGAATTACCTGAGACTGAGTAATTTATAAAGAAGAGAGGTTTAATTGTCTCACAGTTCCATAGGCTGTACAGGAAGCATGGCTGGGGAGGCCTCAGGAAACACAATAATGGCGGAAGGCAAAGGGAAAGGGGGCACGTCTTACCTGGCAGGAGCAGGAGGAAGTCGGGGGGAGGTGCCACATACTTTTAAACAACCAGATCTCACTATCATGAGAACAGCAAGGGGGCAGTCCACACCCATGATCCAATCACCTGTCACCAGGCCCCTTCTCCAATATCGGGGATTACAATTTGACATGAGATTTGGGTGGGGACACAAATTCAAATCATATCAACCATCTTTCACTTGTTTCACAAAACTACTCGGGCGTGGAGAGACTCACTCCTAGCAAACCTTGCACCAGTAGGTGCAGAGAGAGGTTCATTCAGGGGCAAGTGCTGTGGCCACAGCCTCTACTCTCCTTCCTTGTTATGCATTAGCGCTGGGCTCTGTTTTTTTACAGCCTCACCCTCTCAGATACACGTCTTTTCTTCATCCTTCAGTGCCCAGCTCTGTGGTCCAGGAGGCTGAGCTCTAGAGGCTGACTCCCCAGGGCACCCTTGTCCTCTGGCTCCTGAATGGATTCAGTCAATAGAAGCCACTGACTGGAGAGCCTCAGAGTCCAGGAGAGAGGCTGGCATGTTTACTCCCCTCTACCCACTTGCTGCCTGGCTGTGTCGCATGCTGTGTACCTCCATGGCTGCTGTTCCTACCAAAACCCTCCCAGAGCTCCACACTGTCTTGGGTTTGTCAGCCCTTCTGGCTCCGTTAAGCATTGAGTAGTCCCTTCACCCACTACCCACCTCGTTCCAGTGGGCTGAGGCCACGTTCAGAGGTGGTGGATCTCAGGAGACCCATCTGGTGGCCTCACCATCTTCTTAGGGGCGGCCTGGTATGCTCAAAATTGCAACAGCAGCTGGTCAGCATTTGCAAGCCTGGCCCTAGAGAAGGAGGGCATCAGAATTCTTATGCCTCCAGCTTCATGGCTCCAGCCTGGGGCCCAGGTACACTCTCTCTAGCCAGCACAAGTGGAGGCTCCCTCTCATGCATAGCAACCTCATAGCAACATTTCTGTAGGAAGCTCCATTCACAGTGTCTGATCACGTAGACAACACAATTTCTTTGAATGAGAAATCCATTTTTTTCAGGAATATAAGCACTATCCTTTCCCCTTCCTTCTCTTTTTCTTCCTTGACTCTTTTCTTTTGGGTTATAATTAAATTCTGTCATCTTCAGTGTTTCAGCCTTTCTCTGACATCTATTTGTATAGCTCTTGAGAGCACCAATGAATGGAAGGAAGACCTAAAACCCAGTAACATACATCTCTGTCCCCATAATTATGATCACTCCAGCATCTGGACCTCTCGATCAGTCTTTCAAGAGGTTAAAAACAATCTGTAAGTCTGAGGACACATTTCATTTGCCTGCAATAGCACCAGCAGCTGCTACATGCATCCTCCCAGCTGTCATAACAACAGGGCATCTGTTGACAAGGAGACAGAGTGGAGATCCTGAAGACACTGATTGCCCATCCCTGAGACATCCATAAAATATCTTCTTCTCTCCTTTTTTTTTGTCTAATATTTTCATTTATTTTCAGATCCAAACTTATTTATTTCTATTCACGAGCTAAAATGACCATGCTAATTTATGTAAGTCTTCATTCCTTATTTGCCAACTGCAGAGTCCAGCTACAGCGTCCCCTCCCTACATGCCAGAAATGGTATTTAATCAGAACCCCTTTGAGAATCCAAAGAAAGATGCGGATCCTCTCTCCAGGAAAACGAACACATAAAACTGAATTTCTATCTCAGGGCTTCAAGGAACCACAATAAAGTCTATCCATGGGACACCTAAGGCCCGATCTTCTCAAGAGGGAGTTAGAATCCCCTGCATCAGAATCTCCTGAGGTGCTGGTTAAAACATGCATGTTTGGCTGGGCACGGTGGCTCACGCCTGTAATCCAAGCACTTTGGGAGGCCGAGGCAGGCAGATCACCTGAGGTCAGGAGTTTGAGATGAGAAACCCCATCTCTACTAAAGATACAAAAATAAGCCAGGTGTGGTGGTAGGCGCATGTAATCCCAGTCACTTGGGAGGCTGAGGCAGGAGAATTGTTTGAACCTGGGAGGTGGAGGCTGCAGTGAGTCAAGATTGTGCCACTGCACTCCAGCCTGGGTGACAGAACGAGCCGCTGTCTCCAAAAAAGAGAAGCAACAAAAACAAAAACCACTCATGTTCCCAAAACTGATGGAAAATGTATTAAATCAGAATCATCAGGGATGAAAGCCAGGAATCTGCATATTTACCAAGCATCTGGGCAATCTTCAGTCATAGTGAACTTTAAGGATTGGTAGGGACCCTTCCAACCCCGATCCCTAAACTAATCTCATTTCTAAAATGATTCAAATGTCTTGCTCTCAGCTCCTCTCTATAGGCCAATACTATGTTTCACCAGTCAATACATTCATGATCTATTGTTATGACCATAGTTCATAGATGGAGAATTCAGATCATCTAACACCTTCTCTTCCTTGAATGTTCCCCAAACCAATTACTTTAGTGTATTTTAATGTCAGCTTATTTATGAAGGTTTTACTGTTAAAAAGTAACTTGACATTTGGACAGTTTTCCTTGCAGCAGCTTTTATATTCAAGTTACAACAATAAAAAATGACAATTCATGAATTTCCCACCTGAGAAAAGCTACCAAGACCTCAGCTGTCTTGTTTTCATTAACATCAAATACTATTGCCTTCTAAACCACACGTGTTCCACTGCAAAAAGTAGTATTTATAAATTAATTGAAAAATTTTAACCAGAATATTTCGGAATAGGAAAAACACACTGAAACAGGACTCCTTGGATTTTTTTCATTGACTATCCTAGCAGCAGAGGAGAGTAAGCACATGCCCCCTGCGACTTGAGATCACAGTCTCAATGTGCTGTTACAAGCAGGAAATGTCTTTGAAATGTTGTGTTTCGCCATAATAACTAGTGCACATTTTGTATTCCCCAATATAATTTATCTATATTAAAAAATCATGTGTTTTCCTCTTCCTCAAACTTTCAAGTAAAACTGATGCTCTATGAAGATGCTTCACACTTATTCAGACTTTACATGCTTCTAAATAGACTTCCTATATGCTGGTGTAAGAAGCCTGAGCTTAAATCCTTTATAGTCATGTGTGCCATAGACTGAAGGTCTGTGTCCCTGCAACCTTCCTATGTAGAAATCCCCATCTCCAATGTGATGGTCTTAGGAGGTGAGACCTTTTGGAGAGGATTAGGCTGTGGGCACAGGGTCCTCATGCATGGGTTTGGTGCTGTTATCAAAGAGACTCCAGGCCGGGCACGGTGGCTCACGCCTGTAATCCCAGCACTTTGGGAGGCTGAGGTGGGCGGATCGCTTGAGGTGGGAGTTCCAGATCAGTCTGGCCAACATGGTGAAACCTCATCTCTAAGTACAAATACGAAAATTAGCCAGGCGTGGCAGCACGCACCTGTAATTCCAATTACTTGGGAGGCTGACGCATGAGAATTGCTTGAACCTAGGAGGCAGAAGTTGCAGTGGGTCGAGATCGCGCCATTGTACTCCAGCTTGGACGACAGAGAGAGATTCTGTCTAAAACTAAAACAAAAACATTTCCCAGACAGCTACCTTGCCCCTTCCACCATGTGAGGGCATGGCCAGAAGGCCTCCTCTGTGAACCAGGAAACAGGCCCTCACCAGACACCAGATTTGCCTGTGCCTTAACCTTGGACTTCTCAGCCTCCAGAGAACTGTGAGAAAAAACCGTCTGTTGTTTATACACCACCCAGTCTGTTGTATTGTGCTATTGCTGCCTGAAAAGGATAAGACAATGTCCATTTTAAGATGCAATTCTCTACATTCCTCCTTCTTACCTGTTTAGCAGCATATTTATTTTCAGTCAAATTCTAGCCTGAACAATAACCTGGACTTACAGGCCACTGCTGACTATGTTCTTAACTGATTAAGCCCCAGGCAGGCAGGGCTCTGCTGCCTTTAGGCTCTAGGTAGCCCAGCTCTGTGAACAGAGCCAGACACAGAGTTGGTGCTCAGTAAATACTTTCTGATGGACAACAAAACAAATAAATGAATCATCAATTCACTTTTGTTGTTGTTGTTGTTTATGAGATGGATTCTCACTCTGTTGCCCAGGCTGGAGTGCAGTGGTACCATCTCGGCTCACTGCAACCACCGCCTCCCGGGTTCAAGTGATTCTCCTGCCTCAGCCTCCCGAGTAGCTGGGATTACAGGCATGCACCACCACATGTGGCTATTTTTTTGTATTTTTATTAGAGACAGGGTTTCACCATGTTGGCCAGGCTGGTCTCGAACTCCTGACCTCAAGTGATCCGCCCGTCTTGGCCTCCCAAAGCGCTGCGATTACAGGCGTGAGCCACCGCGTCCAGCCACCAATTCACTTTCAAACCATGCGAGGGCTGGCTTATACTTGTCTTCCAATTCAACATGATTCCAAGCCTTTGTTTTAAAAGGACCTGGAAGAAGATGTGAACTCTGGCTTTGTGCAATGAAACCTTGCATTCTCCTGTCTCATAGTCCCCTCTGTTTCATTCATAACATGGACAGCCACCACCTTCTGTTCTCTCACTCACAATTTCTCAGGCAGCTCAGTTGTGGAATCTATAAACATTTCTCTCACGGATAAGCCATATTCTTCATGCACATCATGAATTTCTATCCAAGCTGACCTCTCGTATACACCAGGGTGCAGCTGGTGCTGAATGCGGAATGACTATTGATGATCCATTCGCTAGTGATGTTTCTAGAGAAACTGGAAGGTATTTGATGGATTCTCATGAGCCCTATGTCTTGGACACTGCTTGTTAACCTAAAGGAAAACAGCTGATATTGTTCACCTGTATGTCCTCCCGATACTGGGTAAGCGCATTTTAGCCACTCATTCAACATCCATTCTTCCTTCAAGCCTCTCGTGGGGAAGGTTCTAGATGACGATGATACATGATCCTTACCCGCCAGGCATTTGTATTCTCCTAGGTGAGCCCGCCTGAACAAGAAAAATGACATACTTGAAGAATATCAGCTGTGTATACACGATAATAGAAGAATTTTCTCTCTTTCAGTCTCACAGTGGACATATTCAGGGTGGTACTTCTCACCATGGTGCAGACATTTTGAGTCTCAGCGCTTCTGCTTTTCCTGACTTCTGGGGTCAAGGGCGCCCCTTCTGCACCCTCATCCCCACCGGATGACACTCCCTTTCCTCTTTCCTCTCTGTATTATCAGTTCTTTTTTTGTATGTCAGTTGGAACCCTCCTTTCTCCCCCCTCTTTTCTAGATTACTACACTCTCTTAATTCATTTTTATTTTTTTCAGAAAAAAAATTTGCAATCTGTTTGATATGAAGGAAACAGATTGTACGCAAGAAATTGTGCAAAGTAAGATGTCGGAAAAGCGTAGTGCAGAGATATTTTTGGATAATAGTAATAATAGTAGCAAACATTTATTGAGTGCTGAGGCTGGGCCAGGTGCTCCTCCGAGTACTCTGCCCGGATTAATCCATGTGATTTTCAAAAGGGCCACATAAGGTAGACTTTATTGTTATGCCAGTGTTACAGTGGAGGAAACTGAGGCACAGAGAAGAATAATTCAGTTCTGTTCAGGGCAGAGGGAGCCCCTCCCTTATGAGAGATAGGAAGCCCAGTCTACCTTCACCTGTCTGTAAGCATGTGAATCCCCTACGGCTCCTCACAAGGCCCCTCCGCAGTCCTCCCGCCCACCCACCTCTCATGGCTACAGTGCCTCCTGAATACTTTGTTCACTGAATCCTCACAGCACCTACAGAACCTTGGAATAATTATGCATTTCTTATACACAAGAAAAACGAGGCTGAGGCCAGTTAGGAAAGTTCTCCATGATCACAAACCAGCAGGTAGAAATCCAGGATTTCCGCTTAGATCTGACTCCAGAACCTATGCTCTTAGCTACCCTGGGATTGACATGTCTATGCATCTTTGTGTGTGTGTACACATGTGTTCGTGTGCTCCTATGTGCACATGCATATTTATAATTCTAGCCCAGTCCTACAAGCGAATGCAATGTCTGGACATCGGTAATCTGTGATCTGAGCAGCGCGGCACTGAGGACCAATCATGATCACTGAGCATGGCATCGCATTAATGTTCCCTGGAATTCAACCATCCTTATGAATTGCTGACCTGCAGAGATTTAATCCATTAAGAAAAAAAGAAAAAGCCAGCCCAAGTCTCTTCTCAAATGTTCGGGTTGGGTTTGTGATGGGATTGTGATTCTTAGGCAGTAGGTAGAAAGCAGTAGGTTTTTATATTATTTCAAAATGGTGCAAGTTCTAACATTAAGGCTTAATTTTTCAAAACATGTTAACAGTCTGCTAATGTGATTGTTTAAATTTTTCAACTTCCTGTGTTTTAACAGTAAGAAATTATCGTTGTAAAAACTTTTAGTGTTTTGAAAATTAAAAAAATAAATGCTAAAAGCATTGTCACATATACAAATGTTAGAAAAACAAGCTCCCTCGGTTTTTCGTGACTCTGGGCAGCTTTGTGGCTTGTCTGCCATCATCCCAAATCTCTCTCCTGCCCATTCCATGTTCCAGCTTAGAGAATCAGACTTTTCATGTTTAAAGCAACCTAATTTCCTAGGCGAGCATTACGGAAACTAGGAGTGAGATGACATTGGAATGAAGGGGTCAGCCAGGCGCGGTGGCTCACACCTGTAATCCCAGCACTTTGGGAGACCAAGGTGGGTGGATCACCTGAGATCGGGAGTTCAAGACCAGCCTGACTAACATGGAGAAACCCTGTCTCTACTAAAAATACAAAATTATCCAGGCATGGTGACGCATGCCTGTAATCCCAGCTACTCGGGAGGTTGAGGCAGGAGACTCACTTGAACCCGGGAGGCGGAGGTTGTGGTGAGCCAAGATCATGCCAGTGCGCTCCAGCCTGGGCAACAAGAGCAAAACTCTGACTCAAAAAAAAAAAAAAAAAGAATGAGGGGTCTTTCATCATCACACCTAGTCTACTCAGACCCAGGAATTGCCTAAGAGGTCTTGGCATGAGGAGATATTCTACTGGAGAGGTTTTCACTGGCCTTTGAGTCCCTCGCTTCATCCCTACACATCTCCGAGGAAGATGGTTATGTCAGGGGTCCCCAGGACCACCCCCAGGCCGATGATTTGCTGGGAGGACTCACGGGACTCAGCATACAGTCGTACTCACAGCAAGAGGATGCAAAACACAATTAGCATGGGAAAGGAGAGGCTCACGGAGGAAGTCCAGAGGAAGCCAGGTGCAAGCTTCCAGAGTTCTCACCCAGCAGTCACCCAGGAAGTGCCCGACTCCCCCGGTAATGAGCTGTGACATGTGTGCAAGCTTTTATACCAGGCATGCTCACTAGAGCCTCAGTGCCCAGGGTTTTTGTTGGGTTGGCCACATGACACCTCTGCCTGGCACACACTCACATTCCAGACTCCCAGAAGGAAAGCAGGTACTCAACATAAACCGTATTGTTCGTACAAACCGTGGAGGCACAGTGAGCCCTCTGACCAGCTTGGGGAGTGGTGGGAAGCCTCCCCAAACCGAAGGTCCCAGACACCAGCCAAGGGCCATCTTGCAAGCACAGGACAGCGGCCTCAGGCCTGTGGTGCTAACTCTCTTCTGCACGATGCCACGGCTGCCTCGGCCCCTGGCCAGGAGTTTGGGCCTATGAGACACACTCAGGAAAAGTCCGTAGAGCCTGCATGGGACTTCCCAGTGAGGCAGCTCCGCCCGGAGGAACTGGGAACACAGCCCCCAATCCCTCAGACGGGGCCTTGAGGGTGTGGGGCGCAGCTGATGCCCATCCCTGACTCAGCAACACAACCCCTTTACACACGGACCACACACACCTACACACCACACATACACCCCATCACAAACACCACACTCCGCACACCACACCATATACACACATACACACCACAGCACCCACACATACACCACACCACACACACACACCACATCACACACCCCACACCACACACACACACCACACCCCACACAATACACCACATCACATATACCACACCCCACACACATACACATCACACACACCACATCCCACACTCCACACCACACACACACACCACACACACACTACACCACACACCACACATACACCACACTACACACACACCATACCCACCGCCTACCACACACAGAAACACACATCACACACACCACACCCCACACACATACACATCACACACACCACGCCTCACATACCACACCACACACACACACCACACTACACACATACAGACCGCATACACACTACACCACACACACCACACCACACACACCACACATACACCGCACTAAACACACACCACACGCAGCACCTACCACACACACACCACACTACACACACACCACACACACTACACCACACACACATCACAAACATACACACCACATCACAGACACATACACCACACCACACACACCACATGCACACACCACGGTACACAACCTACCACACACACACCACACTACACACACACCACACACACTACACCACACACACACCATACTATAAACACATCACATGCACCACCTACCACACACAGAAACACACCACACACACAAACACACCACATCTCACATACACACACCACACGCACACACACCACACCACACACACACTGCACACACTACCTAGCCCACACACAACCCCCACCTAGCCACACACTCTACCTACCACAAACACAAACACACCACACCACACAGCACATGCCACACCACACATACACATCACACCACATCACACATACACACTGCATCACACATTCACCCCCCCACACACCACACACATACCATACTACACACCACACACACATTCCATACTACACACCACATCACACATTCACCCCCCCCACACCACACACATACAGTACTACACACCACACACACATTCCATACTACACACCACACCACACACACCATAACCACATCTCACTTCATATGTTGCCTTAAAAGTTAAAGGCAGAAGAAACACATCATTTTACCCCTGTGGGGTACTGACTAAATTGCTAAGCAAGGTAACTACTGTAACAAAACAATCATTTTTATAGTCATTTAATTATACTTAGGACTTCAGAGGTAGATGATCTTTTGCAGGTTTCGGTAGATAAAACCAGGGCTCTCATAAAGAAGGCATTTGAATATACATGTCCAATATGCACCAGTTTCACATATCTATGGAACGTGAATTAAATAGACTCCATAAATACGCTCAATCTCCCATCGAAAGTGGACAGTACAACTCGTTATTCTCTCATAGACTCAGGAAACATATTTTTAGATAAATCTGCAGATAATCATTTATTGAAATAATTACAGGCCAGAAAAGTGACCTCTGCCACATTGGTAAAGGGTTATTTTAGGGACTTACATGCAACATAAGCATGCACAGAATTAAGATGAACAATATGGCCTGATGTGACAAGAGAAAATGACAAGAGCTGATATTGTGGAGTGTTTGCTCTTCTCCAGGCATGGGGCTGAGTCCTGAAATGCCCAGGCTCCAACAGCTGTCCCTGCAGCCTCATGAGTGAGGCACTGTGATTATCTCCACGTCACAGACGGGGAGACTGCAGCTAGCGCGGCTGGCCCTCACCCCACATCAGATCGCTGAGTGGAATTAGAGCCCATATCTCACTGACTCCAGGAGCATTGCTGTGAAAACCTAAGCTGAACGCTCTTCCCAGAAAAGTGTGAGTCACCAATAAAACACAAAACATTTCCCGCTTCTATGTTTTCCAAGTAAGTGAATAGAGCATTTAGTTGTGACAGATATTTGAATTTTTCAGGGACAAATTTTTTTGATGAAATGTCACTCAAAAAATTACAAATATTATTCATTCGAGAGTCTGTACTTGAGTACCAACTGGTGCTGTTTTTGAGCAGGGAAAGGCTTTAGGGAAGCTTCCTAAATAATGACTCAGTGCCGTAATTACAGGTCGACGTAGCCGAGACACTATTCTCCATTGATTTCTGCTGCTTCTCCATTGCCGTTACCTAGTTACCCAGACATCATGGGGCTAGACTCTGGACCATCTGGTACTTTCCAGCTGTGCTTTAGTCCAGGAAGTCCATCTAACCCACTGTGTGCAGCTGTGTCTCCGCCTGGACACACTCAACAGGGGTTGCTGGGATGACCCATCAGGCCTGGAAGTAAAAGCAGAAGGCTGGGACCCCAGTGGCCACCCTGCTAATAACTCACTCCCCTGGCTGGCTACTTGCTTCCAATGGGCCTTTTTAGCTAAGCTTAAATCTAAAAATCCTGGTTAAGATTTATCCAATTGTATTAGAAAGTTTTGTCCCAAGGCTTTTTAACGATGGTCCAAGAACAAAGTGGGGGTTCAAGACCTCTTTCAAATGGTGTTTGTTGCTCCTTCTCACCCTGGCTGTGCCTCCACTTGTCTTAGGAACCAGGGCGGTGCAAGGGGCTGGAACCAGGGTAGCCTCTGCTGCCACTCCCTAGGGCTGGGCAAGATGCAGGCAGGATGGCACCACAGGTGACCACATCCTCCCGAGCATCCCTAGTGATTCCCAGGCAGGTGAGAGGGTGTGCCATCAGGAACCCCAGAAAAAGGGGTCTGGGAAATCATTCTTTGTGGGTTGGGATGCGCCTAATTGGATCCACTGAGCTCACTGAGCTATTGCAACTTTGTAGATCAGGTCAATGGTCCAAATGCTGGTCTTCTGCTCCCTGCTTCACACTGGCCATCCTAGCTCAGGGAGTCACATCTTCCCTTCAGCCCAGGGGGGTGGCCCTGTTCATCTCCTCTGTCCTCTGTGCAGTGGACAATTATTACTGAGCATTACAGGTAATGTTTTGTGGGTTCCATCTTTGTCCCCTACCTAGGTTTTATATTTTGGAAATATTCTTCTCTACCATCATTTAGGCAACTTGGAGTTGATTTTGTGCATTACCATAAACTGTGATGTTCTAGTTAACAACTAACTTCCAATTTTGTAATGTTCACATTCAAATTACATTACAATTAGTCATTCTATAGCACCCTTAAATTGAAGTTATTATTATAGGTATTGTGGGTTAAAGTTATTATTAACTTTATTATTTATTGAAGTTATTATTACAGGTATTGTAGGTAGAAAGTGGGGACTTCTGATGGGCCAGGATTTTCTCCAAACTCCCCTTACCACACCCACCTTAAAGGCCAAGGTCCCATAGTGTCCAGCCATACCTGGCTGAATCCTTCACCTCAGCCAGACATCCTTGATGCTGTCTGGGGGGAGAGGACATGGAAAGTTACTGAGTGGTCTCCTTGGCCCAAGAGGCAGCAGGGCTCCCACCACCTATGGGCCCAGATGAGACCATCAAGCTCATTCCCAACCAAATGCAGAGAAATGGGCTTATTCTCTCCTAAAGCTGGAGGCTGTGTCCTTAGATATTCTATCAAAAGGCGTGTGGCAGGGCTTCACCAGCCTCCCACTTCTCTGCTGGGTTCTGGCTGTGAGAATGAGTCAATGGTAGTGAAGGAGGTAAGAAGAGGAATGGGGGAGGAAGAGTGACTCAGTAGGGGCAATGGTGAGATTAGTTGGAATGGTCTAGGGGTGTCCATGGGACAACCCAGTGGAAACTGAACAGGGATTTGGACATAGTTCAAGGCACAGTAGAAGCAAATATCTGGGAAGAAGAATCCACTGGAAACTCAACAACAACACCAAAAACAACCAAGTTTAAAAAGGGACAAGGGACTTGAATAGAGATTTCTCCAAAGAAAACATCCAAATGGCCAATGAGTGCATGAAGAGATGTTCAACATCACTGACCACTAGTGAAATGCAAATCAAAACCACAACGAGACACCATCTCACACTCATCAGGATGGCTAGAATTAAAAAAAAAAAAAAAAAAAGGACAGGCCAGGTGTGGTGGCTCATGCCTGTAACCCCAGCACTTTGGGAGGCCGAGATTGGTGGATCACAAGGTCAGGAGATTGAGACCATCCTGGCTAACACAGTGAAACCCCGTCTCTACTAAAAATACAAAAAATTAGCCGGGCATGGTAGCGGGTGCCTGTAGTCCCAGCTACTCAGGAGGCTGAGGCAGGAGAATGATGTGAACCCGGGAGGCAGAGCTTGCAGTGAGCCAAGATTGCGCCACTGCACTCCAGCCTGGGTGACAGTGAGACTCCGTCTCAAAAAAAAAAAAAAAAAAAGAACATAACAAATACTGGTGATCATGCAGAGAAATTGGAAATTTGTGCACTTCTGGTGGGATTGTAATGGTGCAGCTGGTATGGAAAACAGCATGGCAGTTCCTACAAAACTTAAACACAAAAATACAACATGACTGAGCAATCTCATTTCCAGATATATACCCAAAAGAATTGGAAGCAGGGTTTTGAAGGGATATCTGTACACTCATGTTCATAGCAACATTATTCACAATTGCCAAAAGGTGAAAGCAACTCAAGTATCTGTTGACAGATGAATGAGTAAACAAAATGTGGCACATATGTAAAACGGGAAATTATTTAGCTTTAAAAAGGGAAGATATTCTGACACATGCTACAACATGGATGAGATTTGAGGACATTATGCGAAGTGGAATAAGCCAGTCGAAAAAAGACAAACACTGTATGATTCCATTTATATGAGGTACTTAGTGTAGTCAAAATCATAAAGACAGAAAGTAGAATGGTGATTTCCAGGGGCTGAGAGGAGGGGGAAATAATGAAACATTATTATTAATGGGTAGTTTCAGTTTTACAAGATGAAAAGAGTTATGAGGGTGAATGGTGGTGATGTTTGCTCAATATTCTGAATATATTTAATACCACTGAACTGTACATTTAAAACTGGTTAAGATGGTAAATTTTATGTTATGTGTATTTTCTCACAACAAAAACCTCCTCCTTGTGGAGGAGGAGAAGAATTCACTGGAGCAAAAAAACTGTCCCTTGAAGGCAGGTGTGGTGTGGAACAAGAGCCAAGCAGAGGGCTCAGAAAACACTCACAGTTCAGGGTTAAATGGAAGAAAAGGACTTTGTGAGAGAACCTCAAAATATACAAGAGAGCTAGGAGCAAGGACTACAATGAAAGCCAAAGAAAGGCAAGTCAGAGAGAGTTTTGTGAAAAAAGAATGTGGTTAACAGCACCAGATGCAACTGAGGCAATAAGTATGATTAGGACTAAAATAGGTCCAGTTTGTGCAGCAATTAGGAGGTGACCTTTGCCAGCACAGGTTCAGAGAGTGGGGAAGGGCATGACAGATATGAGCAGACAGAAAGTTGCATTGTGAGAGAAGCAGAGACCCTCTGAGAAGGGAAGGAGTAAAACTGTAGGACAATAGCTAGAGGGCCACACAAATCTAAAAGAGACAGCGAAAGAGAGAGGGAGACAGAGAGAGACAGGGAGAGAGAGATGAGGAGAGAGAGAGTTGAGACAGCTGAGACTTGAATAGGGGCTATATTTTAAGAGGATTTATAAATCTTTGTGCTTTTGTGGCCAAGAGCATCCCCTACACACAGTGGAAGCTCAATCAACATCTGGTAAATAGACAACAAAGAAAATTTTTATTTATGATTACAAAGCTGAGGGAATGATGGTGGAATGTTTTCCTCATATGTCTACCTGGAAGGGTCAGCAGTACGCTTGAAGGCACCTTCATGCCTTCTCTATTGTCATATGCAAATGTCTTAAGATCACCTAGACTACAGCAAATTTTCTTTGCCTCATAATTCTTCTGGATTGTTTTTTAATATACATCTACTTAACATTAAAGTTGTATTATCAGAATAAATCTTTGAGATATAAAGTGCTAAGTGTAACTGTGAAGTGTTATCAATTAACTAATATAATATACACTGTATTAATGGGAGCTTCTTGTGTTGTTGTCACTATTATCCTTCGATGCAGTAAATACTCACGGATGGCCTTTTCAGTGAGTAGTATGTTTTTGAGATTATAAGTATCCTTTTAAAATCCCCCACTTGAAGTTGGTACACAGAGACCCTTGGGAGTCTAAGAGAAAGCTTCTGATTTGGTTGCCACCTGGACTAGTCTGGGGTCTTGTCCCCAGTTATGCTTTTGGATCACATCTGTGCTGTTATACTGTAGTCTGTCTCTACCCAGAGCTACTGTCCAGAGTCCTTCTGAATAAGCGAAGCTCCTTTGTTTTCTTTTGTGAGTTTATGACACCCTCTTCCCCATCACCATCAGGAGACCACAGTGCATTAGGGTGGATATGGGGACAGAATCACAGACACCAAAGAGCTGACAAGATATTTTGCTTACCCAAATATCTGCTAATTGTATTTCTTGCTTAGAAGTCATCTTCATGGAAGCTTTCCTTGGTAATATTTGCTTCAGCATCCCTCCTACGTCCTACTCCCAAGCCCTACCCCACCCCATCCTTGCTCAGGGATCATCCATCCCTTGGAGCAGATTACCCTACTCTGTTTCTCCTGCCTGTGATGTGGCTGCATCTGTCAGTTGTCTGTAAACACTGAGCATTAGGACTATGTTTTATGATTCCATCACCTGACACAACAGGTATGTTCACAAACTGTCTTAAATGAATGATATGGAATCATTTACCCAGAGAGTGTATTTCTCATTGAAACGATGATTGATGCATTTCCTTATTATACTCGAACTCTTTCCTATGTTACACACATGGACTATTACATGTGGCTCCAGAGCACATGTGTCTATCACATGAACAGTCCTGATTTTACAGCCTCACCCAGCAGAAGGGTGTGTTATGGCCTATGACACTGGTCTGTCTATCATTTACCTATCTGAAAGTCCTTAGGCTTTTTGTTTGGATATGGGGACAGGATGAACAGTTTAGCCATAATCCTGGATGAGTATTTTATGCTCAGTAATTCATGCAACCAGTAAGGGAGCTCCTTTACTTCAAGTACCTTGAGGAGCAGAAAATGAAGTCCCGGTGCACTTAAAGCAGCAGGATTAACTGTGGAAATAATCGTCTTGGCAACCTGTATTGATACTTCCGTTCTCCTTCCTTCAGTGTTGACTTCTCAGCACCATTTCAGGCACTCTAAACACAGCATTTTTTTTAATAGTTTTTTTTTTTTTAAATACAGCAGGTGTTTACCAGGAAAATTACTTCAACAAAAATGAAGAAGTGGAAAAATATCTTAAAAATCAGAAGAAATGGTGATATCATCAGCTTGATTATAAGATCACATGAGGCATATATGCCTTGGAGAATCCTCTGACATTTTTACAATATTTTCAAATTTTCAATTCTATGTATTGCTTATTATAAGAGAAGTTTCTAGAAAGGAAAAAATAGACAAATAACTTTATATTTGGGACCTGAGTGAATCAAACACAGTGACTAAGTTCTTTGGCTTGGGTCTTTACAATGCCCTGAAAAAAGGAAAGGAATGAGTTTACTGAAATTATTGTGGAGAACTCAAAAGATCAATTCGATGCGTGCAGACAAGATCAATACCAGTCATGCTGACATGTTTGACTACCCCGGTGTACTCAATTGTTTCCAGAATTACAATGTGTTATTCTACACTTTCTGGTCCCTTGCATAATTTCATTAGGAATTTGATTAAAAATTAAAAATGGTCTGGAAGAATGATTTCTTCAGGAAAATGTTACTTCAACAAGAGGCACTGAGGCTTGAAGGAGAGAAGAGTGTCTGTAGCTATTGTACACATTTAGTAAAATAGAAGGCGGTTCTATTTTGGGCTGATAAGGACTGATACACAAATAACATATGTCCTTTTGAAATGAAAGGTGTCATTTTGTACACAGGAAACTCTGCCTAGATAGCCATGAGCCATGCACCACACGTAAAAGACTCAACTCTGCCTCATTCCTTGCTCCTCATGCAACATCGCTGCACTTGGCTCTACCCAGACTAATACAGAATGTATGAAAAGCCCTTATGCAAAGCCAGTTCTCCACTACCTGTGGAAACTCTGCTGGGAAACTAGTTTTCCAATCCTATCATGTGATAAGGTGTTAATGATAGGTAGATTAAATGTCATTAGGAAAGATAATTTGCATGCACAAACAGCAGAAAGAAAGAATTCTAATTCTTAAGTAACAGCACAAAATATCTGCAGTATCCTGGGCCTGTTGCAGTCCATTGTTTTATATCTCAGGGTCCGCCCTGGAAAAAATCATTTGAAAACCTGCTGAGAACTTGGGATACTGGCAGTATTAACACCTTCCAGGAAGGTTAAAGGTTTCAGAAGAGCTAAACTTCTGCACTTCCACCTCCATGGGAAATCACTTCTAAATGTTAATGTTTCATTTCACCTTGTCAGCCTGACCTTGAGGAAGGAGGATAGCAGCTCTAGAGAAAAACGATGCTCTCCATCAATTTGCCCCTGGATGCTCAGCCGCACATCTCAGTCATGCTTGAAGGCTACCTTTATGGATCTCATGCTGCTGAACATGAAATCACTTATTTATGGATATCTGACATTCGCTGGTGTGTTGATTCGCTCTCTGGACACTTGTACTTATTTTAATTCTTTCTAGAAAGCAGTACAAAGTTTAGAGCTTCTTAAATCTGCATATGGTTGCAGGAATTTTTTCTTTTTGTGCATGCATTCATTAACTACATTTTTTTCATTGTTATTATGAAAATAATACTTTCATGCATGGAGAACACAAATTAAACAGTACAAAAAGATTTACAGTAAGACATGAGGCTGCTTTCTATTCCTCCTCAGTTCCATCGTCCAGATAATCAATACCAGTAGTTGTTTGTGTACCTTTTTGGGAAATTATCATGGATTTCATATATATATCTTACACACACGCATTTTTTTTTAATAGAGATGGAAGCATTTGTGTATCATGCTTTTTTTGCTTAACAATATCTGGGTCTTCTTAACCATATCAACACACAAAATTTATCTCATTCTTTTTAATAGTTGTGAAGTTTTTGATTGCGTGGAAGTATCTCAGATTACTTCATAATATAGCTAGCGATGGGCATGTCAGTTCCTGGCTTGTATGAACAACTTTCTAGGGAAGCTTCCTGCTGGCACCAACTCTGTGTCCCTACAGTGACATGTGAATTTAAGCCTGTTTTTTTTAATGTGATGGTTAATACTGAGTATCAGCTTGATTGGATTGAAGGATGCAAAGTATTAATCCTGGGTGTTTCTGTGAGAGTGTTGCCAAAGGAGATTAACATTTGAGTCGGTGGGCTGGGAAAGGCAGACCTACCCTTAATCTGGGTGAGCACCATCTAATCAGCTGCCATCGAGGCTAGAATATAAAGCAGGCAGAAAAATGTGAAAAGACTGGGCTGGCCTACCCTCCCACCGTCCCAGCCTACATCTTTCTCCCATGCTGGATGTATCCTGCCCTTGAACATCAGACTCCAAGTTTTTCAGTTTTGGGACTTGGACTGGCTCTCCTTGCTCCTCAGCTTGCAGGCGGCCTATTGTGGGATCTTGTGATCATGTGAGTTAATACTTAGTAAACTCCTCTCCCTCTCTCTCTCTCTCTATATATATATGTCTATATATATACACACACATAGATGTCTATATCTCGATATCTCTATATATGTGTATGTGTGTGTGTATATATATATGTGTATATATATATATGTGTATATATATATGTGTATATATATATGTGTATATATATATATGTGTATATATATATATGTGTATATATATATATATATATATATATATATCTCCCTGTAGAGAACCCTGACTAATACATTGCATCATCATTCTGCCCAGAATCTAGACCCAATTTTTATATTTGACCTTTTTTTGGCAAGGAAAAAACTGGGATTGTTTTTATTTTAACTATTTTCCCCACCTAGCGCTAGATAAAATCATAACAAAGACATGGTCCATGAACAGTAGGCTGGAATTTAAGAAATACTAGACCAATAAGCCAGAATTCAAGACAGGTAAGCTTCTTCTGTGACAAAAATCAAATTTATTCTCATTTCTTTGCTTTTGCTTTTCTTTATTTTTTCTTTTCGGTCTAAGCCATTATAGGCTGGAAAACTGCTGGCTTTGCTTTCTGGAGTTATCGTGTTTTAGTTTGCCTTTTTTCTCCCGTCTAAGCCAGTCCAACAAAATGGGACGAACTAGGGCTGCATGGCCAGCAGCTATAGCTACAGTCACAGGCAATGGGAAGGCTGGTTCCAGATGGCTAGGCAGATGTCAGGGTGCCTGCCTAGGATGGAGCAGAAGACCTGTCTTCTGGATGGTGAGTGCTCAGTGCACGGCTGAAGTTCCCAGGGGCTGGCTCCCTAGGGATGTACCTGGAGCTTCTATCTGCAGGGTAATTGCAGAGCCCAGCTGCTCTTGGGAGCAGGTCTGTCTGGGCTCAGGGTCTGGGCAAGGCTGGGCTGCAGGATGAAGATATTCATAACTACAGCAGCAAAGGTCTAGTAGCTTCTTACTTTCTCAATAAGGCTTGTAGTTTCTCTCTGGAGTCCTTCACCTTGGTGTGGCATGGATATATTTTGGCTCTGCTAGACTCCCCATGACCACATTAACTAACAATATGGCCCTCCCTTTGCCTCCTTTGCTTAGGATTCTGGAGATGCCTAAGTGCATTCTAAGGTATGGCTCTGTGAAAAAGAATAATTAATTACTGGAGGAAACACAAAACATTAATGAATGCAGTCACCTTTAAGGAGAGGAGTTATGGTGGGGGCAAGGGTGAGGGGGTGAGGGAGGGTGGTGTTCCTTATGAATGTTATACCATGTGAATGTTTTACCTAATTAAAAAATACTAAAAAGTTATCAACTCAGTCATTTCTTAGTTCTCTTAAATGTCAGTTTCTCTGGAGAGAAAAATTTGCTCTGCAGTATGCAAATAAAGGGCTAGATACTCCACAAAAATTGTGATACTTTTGACCAGAATAAAAATATGAAAAATAAGTAAAAGTGGGATGATGAGAAGGAGGAGGAAATAAACTCTCCGCTTTTATTTTTTGTTGTCTGAAGTGTCCTTTCATCCTATCTTGGCACCTTTTTATTTGGGTCTCTTCTCTCCTTAGGGTTTTCTCGTTGTAGCCTAGAGGTCACGTCTTCATGTTCCATATTGGATGCCAAAGAGTTTAGTGGAATTTCCTTCTGGGTTATGTGAGAGGTTGAGTGTTGGGTTTATCACTTCCCTATATGGACCAGGTGGTATTACTTTATCAAGCTGGGCAAACACTGATGGACATCCTCCTCCATCTGTTTCTAGAACTCTGCAGTAAATGCTAGATTGAAGCAAGCAGCTTAGGCTGAGGATATAAACCAGCTGTGCCTTCTCTACTCCTGAACATAAGGTGGCCAATCCCACAGAGCTTACCCGCCCCTGACAGGCAGAGAAGGGGACACTAAGCCTGCCCTTAGAAGCACATCCCTTCATTGAGCACTCATCAAAATGGTACCAATGAAGTATTAAGCTTGGGCCAATCAGATTGTAAGTAAGCTTGGGCCAACCCTCCTCCCTGGTACCCAAGCAGACTGGATAGAGGCCCTTGCTAGTGAACTTGATGAAGTTTGCTCTTTTCCACATGCAAAAATGGAAGTAAATACTGCATTTATTGAGGACGTAAAGGCAACTGTCATGAAGAAAAAACAATAAATGTGGTTTAAAAGTGCTCACAATTTTAATTCCAAGAGCCATTTCCAAAGTAAAATCATCTGGACATTGGTTGACTGGATGCAGAGGGTAAGCAGAGGGAGGGGAAAGACAATGAGTTTGTCTATCATCTTGTGCTGGTTGATGTGTTTGCTGGATAATCTCTTTCTGTCTGTTTATTGATCTATCATCTATCTATATCATCTATCATTTATCTATCAATCTGTCGTCTATCAATCATCTATCTATCTATCTGTCATCTATCTATTTATCATCTATCATCTACCTATCTACAGAGTGACAGAGAAAGAGAGCATGCTCTGAGTCCAATAGTCCATGTTGTTCTCTTCTGGCTTTTGACAGTGACAGAGATTGAGAAATCATGAGAGCTAGATGGAATTAGATGCTGAGAGAAAGAAAACATCACAGACCCAACACTGACGACCAACACAGTCTGTGGCTGATGACTAAATAATGAGAAGACTCACACAAAAAGTAGTATTAGTGATCAGGGAGACAGAGAGAGCACAGCTTTGTAAGACGCACGTTTGGAGGTCCTGGTGGATGGTGTGCCTGTAACCCATGAGCATCTCCATCCCAAACAGCCATCCGCACAGATCAGCCCTTTGGATTTTTCCATAGGTCATCAATGACCTTAGGAGAGCAGCTGCAGGAGACTGGGAGAGGCAGAAGCAAGAGAGTAAAAGGGATTTTCTGTGATTGATGGAGCAAAGCATCAGGTTACATGAGCACTGTGTGACTCATAAGGAAGAAATGATCATCTCAAGTGGCTATCACTCCAACAGAAGCAGCAACGGGCCAAGGAGCTCTGTTCAGATGCTGTGCTGTATCCACACAGAGGATGGTTCTACAAAAGCCAACTGTTGTATTAAAGGGAAGAGTCATCCTGAGTGACCACACATTAGAGAGGGTGGCACTGGCAACACACCCCATCCTCCCTGCTGCACTGTAGAAAGCCAATAGGGTTTGACAGGGGCACAAAAGCGTGATTGTTTTCATCTCTCTGGGGTCCAGCCAAGTAAGCTTAATTAAATGAAAATAATAGCATTTCAGTTCACCTGCAGAGGTGGGAGAAGAGGAATGAAAGTAATCCAAGTTTCCATCAAATACTTCTTGGTTCATGGTGCAGCTCTCTAATCACCTGATATTTATTGTTAACTTGTTTTTTTTTTCCTTCACTGTAGCTATTAGAGTAGAAATTTAATTACTGTGATTGAATTATTAAAGGATTCAGAAATACCTTTTGCATACTAAGCCTTTTCTTCCCCCTGAACTGGAAGCTGGCACTAAGAACTTTTCTGTCACTTTGGTATGCCTGAGTGCTGACTTCCAAAGCTTTGAGTCTTAACATCCTTGACAAAGGTTCATTTAATACATGCCATGTAAATATTAGGGAGAGATGTAAAATAGTGTTATATAAGAATTATATTTGAAAATATTACTGATAGGAAAGATAATGGCTTCTATTTATTATTATTATTTTTTGAGATGGAGTTTCGCTTTTGTTGCCCAGGCTGGAGTGCAGTGGCGCGATCTTGGCTCACTGCAACCTCTGCCTCCCAGGTTCAAGCCATTCTCCTGCCTCAGCCTCAAGAATAGCTAGGATGACAGATGCCTGTCACCATACTCGGCTAATTTTTATATTTTTAGTACAGATGGGGTTTCACCATGTTGGTCAGGCTGGTCTCAAACTCCTGACCTCAGATGACCCTCCCACCTTAGCCTTCCAAAGTGCTGAGATTACAGATGTGAGCCACCATGCCCAGCCCAGATAATGGCTTCTAAAATTTTATATCTATCTCAGGAATGTAATAGAGATCGACAATTATTAAGGAAGACTTGAAGCGGGGGAGCCTTTTAGCTTTTTGATTTAAATTTTTTTTCTTGGAGAAAACAGCAACAACAACAACCATACAAAACACTAGCAGTGGTGATCATTGGGAAAATAAAAACCTGAATTGTTTCAGCCCTGTTGCTTAGCAAAATAAAAAATAAGGCACCCTGATTTTTTTTTCCTTAGAATTATAAACTTGAATGGCCAATAGAGTAGTGGATCTTTTTTATTTTCAGGCTTTGGACCACTTGAATGAAGCAGGAGCTTGCAGGCATCACAGATTTTCATTTATCTCCCCCCAGATCTACCGTCCCATCCACAAAACTTCCCTTGGCACCAGTGTCTTAGTGGCTTCCACTGTTACGTAGCCTGAGTCGGCGTTTCTCCTGGAGTTGAGGGGGTTGCACTGCAGTGATGGTGACTGGTTTGTCTAGCATGCCCTGGGGCTTCTGGAAGTATTGGTTTGGTTCTTCCTTAAGGAACCTCTCCTGACAGATAAAAGGCTTCAATCCTGGACCACCTGGCTTCAGGAGCTTCAGGCCTTGTCACTTTGTCTGCCAACTGGCCTCCTTCATTCTCGACTCCCAGCCCCATTCTCCATTTACAGCTGCTCATGCCTGCCTGCGAATTAGATGCAAAAATCAGTTTTCTTCCCTTCTCTGGTCTCAGCTGGGTTTCCTGGATGCTCTTTTCTGATCTCTTCCACCAATTGTGATTCTTTGAACAGTTCTCCTAGTAAAGCGACTTCCTGCTCTGCCAGGTTCCTGGCTCCCCTCTCCCAGCAGATAACCCACAGGTCTCACAGACAAGACCCACACTGGCATCAATGGCTCTGAGCTCTGAGCCCCAAGCAAAGCACCCATGGGCCCCTGGCACTTTCTCAGTTTAACCAGTAGGGCTCTATTCCTGCATCTCCATAGAGAGAAGAAAAGCAGGGGGTCACTTATCCATCATTCATTCCATAACTATGGACTGAACATTTGCTAAGCACTAGGCCAATGTGCCTCTGTAGAGCCCTTCATCTATTATCCGAGAAGCTCAGCAGAGGGCACTCCTGTATTATAACAGTTAAGCACCGGGGCAGTGAACCTGAACCCAGAGTTCCACAGCAGGTCTGCAGTGAGAACATGCAAATAACCCCACACTTATGCGCGCACGCGCGTGTGTGTATGTGTGTACACGTGTGCCCATGTTCTGGTCTTTATTTACTCATCATATTCAAGAATAAATGGGATGCTCCCTTTTGCATTTTAGGTTATTAGCCTTACTCAAGCAAAGATAATAATGCCATGATATATTGCTCATCGGATTCACTCAAAAGTCATTTTAATTGGTGGCACATTTTATTTCAAAGCCCTTAAAGGGAAAAAAAAGAGAATATTTTAGGATGCAATTTCAAAATTACTGCCAAGTTATTGCCTTCTGTTTGCTTGAAATAATTGAGTTCTTCTCTGGATGCAGTCATCTTGATGAAGAATAGAAAGGAGAGGACCTGAAATGTCACTGCTGCTGGAAGAGGAATTCATCTCAGGCAGACACAAGTACATGCTATTCTTTGAAAAAATCTCTCCTTCTGATTAATTAAAATGAAGTAAGTGCCACAGTGCAGCCAATATTTTCCACTCAGTGGAATTTAGCCATGATGTATGTCCATGAAGAAATAGGCTCAAAGTAGGCCTTACATGTCTGATATGAGTGGTAAACATTACCTTCCTTTTCATAATTCCAGTGTTTTTCAATAAAAATCCACATTTGAAGGAAAGTTACCAGTCGACTCAACCAAATGATATTTTTATGTGTTAGAAGTTAAATTATCAACTGTAAAATTAACTTATCACCTGGTGAGTGAAATTAGCAGGTAGAGTGGTTGCTATTCAATTATGGTGAGTTGCTGTTTAATGGCTGTGTTCTGGAAGGCTCTATTAATGTCTATTAATCTGTTTTTTCCTACTGGACAGCAGACAGCCCTTTATTGCTAAACCCCATCATGGTGGTGCAAAATGTGGAGGCTGCAGTCAAAACCACTGAGGCTCTTGGTAATAATTAGCATAGCACCAAAAAGATACATCGGATACTTTACTAAAATATCTCCTTCCTACCACCTTAAAACTTAAAGCAAGTCTTGACTAGGGGAAAAGGAAGTAACACAAAGGTAATCTGTGGAAGCCGGATGGAGAGGCTTCCAGTCTGATCTGTCTCTTTCCAAATGTCCAGGTCCCAGGCTACTAAACCAAAGGCTCATCTTGGGTTGGGGCTCAGCCTCGGCCCTGCCTGTGGCAGAGAAGAAAGAGAAACAAGAAACAGTCTCATGAGAAGCTGGCTATCTATGGGGCAGGCATTAAAGAGAGTCAAGAAAATCACTCCAAAAACACAAAATCCTGTCTCCCCAGGGTTCCCAATAACGGAAACATCATCATTATGAATTATGCCAACATATGTTGTTTCTGTTGCCTCACTAGAGTTGCTCTTTTGGTGACAGATCCTGGATTCTTCTTGGAGAACCACCCTTCCCGATTTCAACCCCTGGGCCACATCCACTGGTGTGTTCCCTCCTCCTGGACTGCAGTCCTTGATCCAGGGTGCGTGCTCCAGGCTTTGGTTAGAGTTACTGGGAAAGAGTTGTACCTTTTCCTTTCCAGGATCTAAACCAAGGATGTGAGTCCAAGGCTGCCAGAAGGAAAAAGAATCAACACAGGGGAACACGGAGGAGGACTGGAGAGACACCTGCTCGAAAGACTCCTTTTGAGCTCCTGGGTCTAGCCATGCCTGAAGAGGACCTTTATCCTTAACTTTTCAGTGATGTCAGTGAATACATTTCCATTTTTATTTAAAATGAAGTAAGTGGCACAGTGCAGCCAATATTTTCTGTTGAACTCTATCCTTCGGGTGGCTCACTTTATTCCTCATTGAAGGAAATAGCGTGTGGGTAGAGTGGGATGTGAGGAAGAGGGCAGGCAGGTGCCCAGTTTTGTGCATACAGACCCTTGGTCCTGGAGCAGGCAGTGGGCCTCTAGGTTCTGCCTTAGCCGTCACGGGCGCCTAGGCCTTGTTACCTCACTGGACAACGTTGGGTGGAATGATAGGCAGGGTCCTTTCCAGCCTGATACTTCGTTTCCAGCCCCAAATCCACTCAGTAGAGTGGATGGTCGCTCCGGCTGCCACCTTGGGAATTCCAAGGATAGGGGTGGTGGTGGCTTGTCCTTCCTTCTACAGGTGAGGTCTTCTCACATGCTTTGGTACCAACGATATCATATGTCTTTTCGTGGTTTGTGAACAGAAGGTGATAAAGTATTTCTCTAAAATTCTAGCTTTTATTCATAAATTCTTAGCATTTTCATTTTCTTCTCCCTTGACCCCGTTTCCGTCGTTTCTGTCTCATAAGCTAGAGCTGGGAAGATGCGGTCGCCCATGCTGCGGCCTGCTGTCTCCTGCGGAGCAGCTCTCCCCAGATCTGTGTGTTTGCCATAATATACTCTCACTTTTCTCCGCACCCAGAGAGGATATACATTTGTTACATGTTTACAAACCAGAATAAAACCATTGAACTGAGGTGACAGGAGGTGGAACCCGTGGAATATCAGTGTTTGTAACCCACTGCGCCACCAGCTCCAAGCTGTAGACACATTTTCTTTCAGCCCCCGGGGCTGGTGTTGCCATTTCTGCGGAGTAGTTCACCTGCGGGCAGGTGGTTCTCAGTTCCCAAAGTCGGGTGGCAAGGGGTGCTCTCCCGAAATGCTGACGCTTCCCCTGGGATGTCAGCAGAGTCGATGCGGACGAAATGAGGTAGCCCAGGCGTGTCTGGGAGGGTGAGCTGTCCGAGCTACTTGGGGCAGGTAGGTCTTCTAATCCCCCATCGCGGCCTAGGTCCGACCCTGCCCCAACCGCCGCCACCGGGCAAGAAAGGCTGGGCCTCCAGGGTGCCCTGGGCACAGGCCTGGGCTCCGGAGGGCGGCGCTGGCCGGGTGCAGCCCCCTGGAACCCAGGCAGGAGGCGAGCCTGGGCGTCACTGGGGGCCGGGGCCGGCGACAGCCGCGGCGCGAGGGTGGGAGGGGACGCGCCCGGCTGGATCCAGAGCGCAGGCTGGCAGCTCACCGAGGCCAGCCCCGTCCCGTCCCTTCTGGGGTTTGGAGGCCCCAGCCTCGCCGCCCTCACTCCCCAGAGCGGCGCTCTCCCAGTCACCCTGGGGGCCGCCCTGCCCCGCCTCGCGCCCACAGAGCTGGGACCCCGGGACCCACTCCCTCAGGCAGGCTGCGTCGCCCACGGCTGCGGCCCGGAGGGGCAGGGGGCGGGCTAGGACCCGGGCGGGGATTCCGGGAGCCGAGAGCTATTTTTGCAAACGCGTCAGCCGCTGGGGAGGAAGAGCCGGCTCCGCGCCCATTGTGTCTGCGCGGCGCGGCGCGGGAGGGGCCGGGGGGCGGCGGGGGGCGGCGGGGACGCAGCGAAGCGCGCGAAAACGGCCGGCTGGGCGGGGAGGACCGCGCCTGACCCCCGGCGGCGGGCGGGGCGGGGCCCGGGGCGGGTCCGGGGGCGGGTCCGGGGCGGGGCGCGAGGGGGCGGGTCCGGGAGCTCTCCGGCCGCTGCAGGCTGGCGGCTGCTGCGGCGGCGCGGGGACTGTGAGGCTGCCGAGCGGACAGCGACTCCCGGGGAAGCCCGCGCTCCGGGAGCGGGAGCGGGAGCAGGAGCAGGAGCAGCGCCGTCCCAGGCCAGAGGCGAGCGCCGGGCGCCGGGAGAGCGGAGAGCCCGGGCAGCTGCCGGAGCGCGGGGGCGCGGCCCGAGGAAACCACAGAGCGAGCCCAGGCCTGGGGAGGGCGCCGAACATCTGAGGCGGCTTCGCGGGAGACAAAGCCGCGCGTAGAGACGCGATGCCCGCCGATCGCGAGCCCGGCCGGCGAGGGCGCGGGGACTGCGGCGTCTGAGCGCGCCAAGCCGTGCGCCCGCGGGGACGCCGAGCCCCGGGGCCGGTGCGGGCGGCGGCGGGCGGGGCCCAGGTGCGCCCGGCCGCGTCGGGCCCGTGACTGCTCGGGGGGCGGCGCCCTCCCGCCGCAGCCGCAGTGGCTGGCGCCGCAGCCAGGAGCCATGGGCAACATCTCCTCTAACATCTCGGCCTTCCAGTCCCTGCATATCGTCATGTTGGGCTTGGACTCGGCCGGCAAGACCACGGTGCTCTACCGGCTCAAGTTCAACGAGTTCGTGAACACGGTGCCCACCATCGGCTTCAACACCGAGAAGATCAAGCTGAGCAACGGCACGGCCAAGGGCATCAGCTGCCACTTCTGGGACGTGGGCGGCCAGGAGAAGCTGCGGCCGCTGTGGAAGTCCTACAGCCGCTGCACGGACGGCATCATCTACGTGGTGGACTCGGTGGACGTGGACCGGCTGGAGGAGGCCAAGACGGAGCTGCACAAGGTGACCAAGTTCGCCGAGAACCAGGGCACGCCGCTGCTGGTCATCGCCAACAAGCAGGACCTGCCCAAGTCGCTGCCGGTGGCAGAGATTGAGAAGCAGCTGGCGCTGCACGAGCTTATCCCGGCCACCACCTATCACGTCCAGCCGGCGTGCGCCATCATCGGCGAGGGCCTCACCGAGGGCATGGACAAGCTCTATGAGATGATCCTGAAACGCAGGAAGTCCCTCAAGCAGAAGAAGAAGCGGTAATGCGCCCGGAGCGACCGGGGAGCGAGCGAGTGCGTCAAGAAAGAATGAATGGATGGATGGATGGTTGGATGGATGGATGGATGGATGAGCGAGAACCCGCGCCCGCGAACAAAGAGCGAACCAAAGCGATGCTTCGAATTTTTAAAACGGAATCTCTGCACCCAAATGCAGGACTGGTGACTTAAGGAGCTGCGAAGTCTGATTTACCGGCCTACTCTCGACCTGCCCCCCACCCCCAGCTCAGGGGACCTTTTGTCTGAACGCCAGAGCTACTGACCAGGTCGGGGGGCCGCGGTGGGGAGTGGAAGAGCCGGTCCTGCTGTCCGCCCTCCCAGCCCCAGGTGGAAGGCTCAGTTGTCGGAAAGACAAAAGCGATTTCTTCCCACTCCTGCAGGGCCAGAAGTTCAGGCTGCCCCGCCTCCACTGGGGGATCGCACCTGTGAATTACCTGAGGTATGCATTTCCCAGAACCGTGGGCGTACCCACCTTGGGGGGCATGTTGGTTCTGGGGGGACCACCTCTCCTTGCATTCAGGGGCTGTGAAGCTGAGTAATTTTCGGTCACAGGGCAGGCCCCTGTTGAAATTTCATTTGTCCTGCTCTGGGCCCAAAGGTGGTGGTGGTTTGGGTCATCAGAGGACTGCCTGGGACGGTTCAGCGGGCACGGAGCGCTGTGCTGGCCTGGCTGGGGATGGCCGCGGAGGTGCCCTTTTCCTGGTGCTTTGTGGTGGCTGCAGAAGACCAGTTTTGTTGAGAACTGCTTTTCAGCCTGGAATCAGACATCTTCCAGATGGTTTGGACCCTGTCCATGTGTAGGTCATTATCACACAAAGAGACCAATAAAAATAAAAAAAATAAAAAAAAAAAAAGACGAACTATTGGAGGTGGTGGCCAATGATGCATTTACTGTTTGCAGGATAGTTAAAGGTGTTTAAAGGGTAAGGCTTTTGGTGTAAATGCTGGATGGGGTGTGTGTGTGTGTGGATATAGGGACCTCCCTCTGTACTGTGTACTGTGTAATCGGCATTAATACCTAGACTCATATGTATGGAATTTTAAATTCTCTTAGCCTACTGATTGGTTTGGATGAGCACACCAGCTGCAGGTGTGTGCTGAATTGCAAGATGGTATTTTTTTTTTTAACCAAGGGATGTCTCTTGTAATACTAACCGCGTGATAATGGGTTTTCAGACATGATGAAAAAAAAAAACTTTTACAAATGAATACTTACCTTAGAAATATTCACCTTAGGAAAAAAGACTTTGCTCTGCCCTTTTATATTCCTTTATGCTGCAAGTGGTGACATGTTCAGATTTCTAATTTGGTTCATTGTGGCCTATCTGGTTTAAGTCTTTCATTAAAAATGTCTCGTTAGAGTATTTGATGTCATGCACCAAAAAAATAAAACCCCACCTTGTTGCAAAAGCTGACCTCGTTGCATGGAATTAAAAGAGAAGGAAAAACACAAGGATGAAGTCTTTCCGAATTCATTCTTGTGGGAACTGGCCTTCGGAGCCAGCCAGCACTTTGGGCAAATGCAAACAACAATGAGTGCTTGAGATAAAAGAAAGTGTGACGTCATGGTCACTGGTACTCAGGCACTTCACAGTTTACTTGAAAGAGGCTTTGGAAAATAGATAAAGTGAAAGAAGAATAAATACATATTTTTAATAATGTAATTTTAAAAATCCTTTATAATCAGGACTGAGTCTTGGTTTGCAGAAGCTGTCACTTACCCTGAAACACAGTATCAAAAGGGAAACTTAAAACATACTGTTTGATTTTTTTATTTCCTCTTACAATCCATGTTTTCAGGTAGAATTATGACTTTCCCCCCATTGTTACACATTTCTTTACAAAGGAGGCCTGTAGAAATTGGACACGATCATGCTTGAGCATGTGAGTTAGTCAAATTATGAGTCCCTGCCTATTGTCCATTACACACCGAATGTTAATTTAAGAACCAGAGGCAGAAGTTCTGGCTTCCTGCTTGAAACCCAATTCTTATATGAAATTTTTTAAAAGCAGAAACCTAGCAGCCCATCTGCTTTTTCTCTTTTGTCGGTGTATTTGGTACCCCTCCAATGCTGGTCTTTTTGTAGAAACTCAGTAGAGAAAGTCTAGCTAAGCAGTGTTGAAAAGCCTGCAAGATTTCAGTTTACATATCGACAGCATATCCACTGATTTCTAAATGGGCTGGTCCCATCATCTGAAGATTCTGTATAGAATTATTAAAAAAAAAATCCATCTTTCTTTATTTTCTTCACATGCGACAATTTCTTAAGCACTTTGACATTTTGGTAGTTCCACACTATTGAGAGAATAATATATTTATTTTGTGACATTGCAGATGCCAAATACTGTAACCTTCTCATGATAACAATACTTAGGTTCAAGATCACTGTTCAAACCCTGTCATGCTTTAAAACTGATGCGAGATGATTTTGTTTTTTGCATAATCAATACTTAAGGGTGCAATCAACTGTTAGTAATTGTGCAGTAAAGTAAAGCCCTGTGGTGTATCAACTACTAGTTAAGAGTCTCAGTTGATTTCTGTAATGTTTGACCTAATAATAGCCCGTTTCGTCTCTGACCCAACAGAGGAAGCACAGATCAAATCACCTTGGAGTGGTCACCAGGGGGACAGGGAGCCCCCCACCAATGTATCAATGGGTGATTTATGATGCCTTCTGCCCTTTGGCGAGTGAATGGGTTTCCCATAGGGGAAGTTGGCCTCCCTCCGTGAGCTTTGGAAATGTTTTCTAATAGACACAGGGAGGCCAGTTCTGTTTCAGAGCAATTATCTTCCCAAATTCTCTGTTCTGGTGTTGGAACTGTGTGCCCTGGTTTCTGTTTTCCTTTCTACTGCTGTAATTCTCTGTCTCATCATCCTTCTCTTTTGTTTCCATAGCCTTTTATAATGCATATATGATGCTGTGAACAGAAATAAATTATTTATACAATCAAATGACTGGGGAGATTTTCTGTGGAATTTTTTGTTTGTTTTTTTGACATTGCTGGTATTCATTCTCTAGGCCTCTGCTGAGTGGGGGGATGGATCACAAGATGGTGTCTGGAGTTCTAGTCGGTATATCAGTCATCTCAATTTTTGGTGTCAGGGTCTAGCTCTGCCGTGAATGGTGGATCCGGATGCTAAAATGCAGGAGTCTGTATGCATTTGAGGCTCGTTCACTTGCGCCTGTCCTTCATCTGGGTGCCTTCCACTGCGTCATTTCAAATCCTTTAGGAAAATGGCCTCAATGTCTAGCCCTTCCTCAGCACTCTCATTTACTAAAAAGGTCATGAATTGATAATTACCTCAAAAAGGTAATTATATAAAATTGGAAATAGCTTTGTACTAATATAAGAACGCTGGAAGTTACAAAGCTACTCAGTATCTTGGCTTTGTCTCTCTGCTCAGTACCTGGGCTGAGTCCATGCTTTTTGAGTCCAAGGCTTGAGCTCTCTTAAATAGCAGGTGTAGTTAGACCCTCACACTCTGTAGACTCTGCAGAGAAAAGGTCCACTTTCTAGAGAAAAATGCGATTGGGCCAGAACCAATAGAACCTTGAATGGGTGCAATGGGTAGCATATGGAGGCACGTGGCAGCTGTTAAGCGACAGGCTTAATTGCTACTAAGTGATGGTTAAGACCCTAGTGGGGTATGGGGTCTCTTAAGCATGGAGCCCAAAAGAGCCAGTTCCAAAATCTGGCTCAAGTGCCTAGGGCCCTGTGATTTTGCTCAAGTCCTTTCCCTCTAAGCCTCAGTTTCTCATATGTAAAATGGGATCATAATGGTACCTCAAAGAATTGTTGGGAGGATGAAGCAGGATAATACAGGTGAAGCGCCTATCCCCATGCCTGGCACACAGTAAGTGTTCAATCGCTTTCAATTTGTTGTTATTGGCTGCCAACATGTGGAACGTGTGATAACCTCACCCGCCTGCAGGTCTTTAAGTCAGGTCCTTGCAATCTCCCTTTTAGCCACACTTCTTGGTATCCTCATCCCACTAAAACCTAGGCTGCTGACTCTGGGCTTGGGCCAGAATGGAGTGAAAACAAGCACCTGGAGACCGTCTGATCAACCCAGGTGGTCTTCTCCTCCAAAGGTGTAAGAGGCTGAATTAGGTGTCAAACTTAGGTTGCCGGACTCTTGAATCCATTACTTTTCATACATCCCATATCACTAGGCTGTGATCCCCTCAAAGCAGGGAGGAGATCTTCTTTAATTGCTGGTGCCTAGCATAGTACTGAGCATATAGCAGGTGCTCAGTAAATATTGGCTGAATGACTTAATTCCTGTCAATTAGTTTTGGTCATAAACTTTAGGAATTAAATAAAATTACTATCTCCTATTAAATATTTAAATGAAAATAGACAAAATATTGTTATTCTTCCAGATCAGTATTGTGAGATGAATCATTGCTCCAACCAAGCGTGTTGAAACTTACACATTGGTGAACACATTTGTGGGTTTAGAGGTTTTTCTTTAAAAATGAGCGTGGCTTGACTTTAATCATTTACATTGCTGCAGGAACTAATTATTGGGACATAGATTACATCAAAAGGGCACGGATGCTGTTTCTGAAACCTAAAAAGCGGCTGAAAAACCACTTAGGGACTATTGTGGCTCCCCAGGAGTAAAAATGTTGAGAATCAGAAGAAGCAAAGACCAAAACCCTTGCTTTATAGGGCAACCTTAATTTAATCTTGATTCAACAAATACATTCTTGGGGAGCCAAGTGACATCTGATACTTAGACAACATCAATCATGTTATGTTTTCTAGAAAATTAACTGCAAGTGGCCCCATCCCTCTGACCACTAGTAACCGAGGAGGTTGGTGTTAATCCTAAGCCGCTGTCCTATTTCCCACAATCTGAACTTTTCCTTCAAGGTTTCGATTCTTCGTTTGCCACAATCTGAACTTTTCCTTCAAGGTTTCGATTCTTCGTTTGTAAGTTTTTTTCGGTAGACCAGGGACGCCTGGCCTTACTGTTTTGTGCCTTTATGCTCGTCTCCAGAGCTTGGGTTCTTGGAACGATCCTGTTACCAGCGTTAACTGTTAGACTGTTTTGATGTCACAATCATGTGGTAGCAAGGAACGACAAAATTATGTGCATATAACTGATGTGAAGATTAAGGGTTTGACATGAAAAAAGTAAGAAGAGAACAAATGCAGAACTTGATAGTCCTTGATTTAGCAGCTCTCTGGCTGCCCAGCTGAATAACCTCTCTTCTGCTTTGTGTCCTGTTGTAGGTCTGATGCCCACAGCTTGGCATTTGCCTGCCAGAAAGAAATCCGCCATCTCAGTTGATATGCAGGCATTTCTCTTCTCTCCTCATTCAGCTGTCTCGTACATGTTCACTTATCCTTAAAACAGCCCTCTCCTTCTGGCTCTCCCTGGCTCAGCTGAAACTCGTTTAAAATAGAATTTGCACAAGACATTGGAGGATTTTATACATTTGTTTTGCACCAGTTCTCAACTTAAGCGTGGGGCTGCGTCAGTTTCAGAGAGGAACTTGCAATGTGAGGGTTTCTGAGAAAGTAGCCTGTTGTTTCTTCCCCAAGATTAGAAGTGAGAATGAAAGATCTGTGTTACTTACTCCACCTAAATTTTCAGAATATGCCGTGGCTTTCTTTGAATGGTACCACCTTACACACAACTCTGGGCGTGAACTGCTCCTAATGCAGGATGTAACTGTGACTGCATTCTGCATGGAGCATGGCAGCATGGTGTGAAAGAAGTAACCAAAACAAGCAATTTTTAAAGTTGTTTTTATAACATGCCTTTTAGAAGACGAGCATCTCGTTTGCATTTGTTAATTAAAATTACTGTAACATAGTAACATTAGGCACAGCCTGGTTTATAGTCCCTGTTAGTCCTAGATGATCATGGTAATAGCCACTGCAGCCTTTACTGAGTGCTTAGTATATGCTAGATACCATGCTAAGTGCTTCACTTCCTTGATAATTTTTCCTCCCAAAGGCCCCAAGAGATCAACTAATTTTATTTGCACTTACAGATGAGGAAACCGAGGTTCAGAGGAGATTAGCTAATGTTCTGCGAGGGTGGAACTAGTTTAAGACCCAGATCCCTTCAACCCAAGGGCTGGGCTCTTGGAGGCTCCACTAACCTGCTGCCCTTTGATCAGGAAGGTTCTGCAGTTTAAAAAATATTGGGCTCTGGGCCAGGCGCGATGGCTCACGCCTGTAATCCCAGCACTTTGGGAGGCCAAGGCAGGTGGATCACCTGAGGTCCGGAGTTTGAGACCAGCCTGGCCAACATGGTGAAACCCTGTCTCTACTAAAAATACAAAAAATTGGCCGGGCATTGTGGTAGGCACCTGTAATCCTAGCTACTTGGGAGGCTGAAGCATAAGAATCTCTTGAACCCGGGAGACGGAATTTGCAGTGAGCTAATATTGCACCATTGAACTCCAGCCTAGGCAACAGAGCGAGATTCCGTCTAAAAAAATAAATAATAATAAATCTGGGGCTCTGGATCTAGGAAGACGAGGATGGACGGTTTGTGTTGCCAGCCTGCATCACCACCCTCATGCTGATGACAGAAAGGGTGACCTCCTTCCCCTCCCCCTTCCCCCACTGCCAGGGCTCTGCCGACATCCCAGCACTGCACCTTGCTTTCTCTCCTTAGCACCTCCCAGTGTCTAGAAGACAACCCCTCTTGCTTCAGATTCTGTCCCTGAACAATTTTGTTTTCAGTTTTCCTTTCAGGAGTGTTTGTGTCGGGGACGATGCCTACCCCACAGAGGATGGACAGGGAGGAGTGTCAGGTGTCACTGGGTCTGCATTTGGGGATGTGATCTTGAATGAGTCACCTGTCTAACCCCACTCAACCTCAGACCGCTCAACTACAGGATGAGGCTGAGAATCCCCATCCTGCCTACCTCTCAGTATTGTTTTAAAGGTAAAATGAAACACTAGACAGAAAAGCACCATGCAAGCTGCAAGGCAAGTCACACACACGGCAAGGATGCATATGATGCTTCGGCTGTGACCCCTTCTCCCCGCTGATGGCAGGATGCCCCCTCCTGCGTGTAGGGGAATTCTGCTGGTCTGTTTTTCACAGACAGGCCAAACAGCCCTGGTGCTCGCTCCCTCTTCATTTTCACTGATAAGACTTCCAGCTCATGGAGAGTAAACCAAAGGAGACTTCCTAAGGGAAAACATCTTTCCTTGTGAGATTCTGGGCATTGAATCTTTAGTGGAAGTTTCCAGTAAGTGGCTGTGGGGGAAATGAGCCTCCTCTATCTGTGGTTTGCAGAATTCTCATTCTTCTAATGGCTACTCCTGGGTGTTTCCATTTCCTTAAACGCTAACTCACTGTGCAGTTAATTTCAACTGCCTATGCCTCATAACAACTAAAAAAACTACAATTGTAACATTTAAAAGGCATCATGGTAAGTAATGATCATTGCAACAGTTTATTTCATAAATATGTGTTTGAATCCATTATTACATGAATGAAAATTTGCATTGCTATGTAATTTGAAGTGTGCTGGGATGCTGTATTTATCATATAAAAAAGCTTCCAAAAACAGAATGGACAACCAATAGTGACACCCACAATATTGGGGAGACTGTGATATAGGCAAAGGCACTTGTCCTCAGAGGGCTGATATTCTAGTAGGTGAGTCAGGCCTAAATGATCAAGTGAGGTGCTTGACTCCAGTGCAAAGCATCCATCATTTTACCAAAGAGAAAGTCACAAATTTAACCAAACCCACCATTGCAAGCCACACCAGCCTTGGGATAGAGCCAGAAGCAATGTATGTTCCCTAAGGATATTACTCTGTGGTCCTGGTACCTGCCATGTGAAGAATTCTGCCCCCCTCAAAATCCTTCTCCAACTCTTTCAGAGATTTCCTGGGGCAGGGAGGGATGTTCATTGTACACATGTCCTCAGCCTCCTCCACATGTCCTCAGCCTCCTCCACTTCCTTTCCTTCCCTGACTCCTGGAGGCAGTGCCAGTTTTGCAGGTTTTGGAGAAGCTGATCATCATGATCAGCATGATGGCTCAAACTGCTAACCCCAAACACTGGTGACCCCACCTGGGTCCGCCCCATTCTCAATGTCCTGCAGATATTTCGGGGGCCTGGCTCCTCAGTGTCTGCTCTTGCACATAAGGAACACAGGAGTCAAAGAGCCCAGGGATTATCTGAGTGTCTAATGCTGTGCCATCCCAGAATCCCCCTTTTATCTGACACTGGCTCTCTCTCCTGGAGCCTTTCTCAGGTGTATCAGCCCACTAGTCCCCTCCATGGAGTTCTTCCCAAGAGATGCCTTAACTGATTAGAAATCCTGGGATGGATGGGAATCTTGGTGTGGGCCCAGCTCCGGGTTCTAAACCAGGGCTCCATCAACCTAAAGGGAGATGTGTGGTCTGCCTGCAATCCGGTTGCTGTCATAGAGTTAAGAATTTCCTGCAGAAGTATTGCGAATGACTACTTCCCCCTGAAATCCAGGCTGTGTCTTAATTCTGCTCTTCCTGAATCTGATTGTATAGATAATTGGATGCTGGAATCAGAGATTAAAGGGTCTGATATGGGGTGAAGGCCTCAGAAGGAGACACTGCAGGTAACCTATACAGTCAATATCTTATCTTGCTGGCAGGACCCTGATTTTGCTTGGATGGCACCTTCTGTCTCATGGTTTTGTATTCAGAAAAGGCTACCCTATCCCCAGCTTTAAGAGAAATTAATATCAACCATAAAATCAATCATTCCTGTTGCCCGCAATTTGCTTAGGATAGGTCCTGTTGCCATTCTGACCAATGAGGATGAAAGGAAAGGCTTTTTGTAGAAGAGAGAGCGGGTGGGCTTTGGAAAAAAAATTTTATATTGGAAAATGAGACATAGGGACCATATGGCTCTCCTTTGCTGTCTCTGAATTTCAGCAAATGAAGATGTGATGCCTGGAGTGACTGCAGCCATCCTGATCCCATGAGGAGAGCCAACCCAGACACTGAGGATGGCAGAAAGGAAATATGAAAGGAACCTAGGTCTTAGAAAATGTCATCCAACTGCTGGAATAACCAACCCCAGGACTGCCTGAACTCAGGGCTTGGGATTTCAGCTATCCTTCAGACACCATCACCAACCCTGATGTTGCAAAAACAATGAGAGCTCCCCACAAGAGCTGCCATGTGAGAGAAGCCTCTCCACCCTCTCTGTGTGTGACAAGAGGTCACAAGCAGATGGAAACCTGCCTTGCTTGGCCCAGGCTGGGGGAGTGGAAGGACTGACTGCTCCCATCCTGGTTTGACAATTACTGCCAAGGAGCCAAGGACATTCTGGCCACAAGAGTGTAATTCAGAGTAAACAGCTGAGAACGTCATTCATTGTTAAGCCCTTTACCACTGTTCATTTTCTCAAAAGAAATTATTCTGATAATATTAATTACTGCCATTCATGCAGTGTTTGTTTTATATTAGATGCTGAATTGAGCACTTGACAGTCATCTCATTTAATCCTCTCTGAAGCACTATGAGGTAGGCATGTACTTCCTGCCTCCACCAACTGCCTCCTTTGGATAGACAGACAGACAGATAGACAGACAGATAGATACTCTTAAAAACAAAGGTTGACCACTTTTGGAGTGCCAAGCACTGAGCCAAACATGTTAGTTGGGCTGTCCTTCTTACCCCTGACAGTAAACATCATGGAATCAGGACTATTTTTATCATTAGCCTCACTACAGAAATACAGAAACAGGCTTGGAGGTGCTGGGTGCCTTGCCAGGGTCACAGTGCTACTATGCAGAGTGAGGATTTGAACCCAGGCAGTCTGACCTCAGAGCCTGTGCACCTGCCATGAGGCAGCTCTACACAGCCCTGAGCTGGAAACTTGCACATGGCAGGTACCCCAGGATATCTGTCTCATGAATGGACTCCTAATTGGTGCAGCATCCACCACCATTGCAGCTGAGAAGGACCGCACAGGGATCTCTGAACCAGCGCCTTTCAAATCTGATGGGCATACTTACTGCCTGCCTGGGGATTCCGTTGCATCGCGCATCCTGACTTGGTGGGGCTGGGGTATGTCATGAGATTCTGCTTTTCTAGTAAGTTCCCAGTGAGGCTGATGCTGCTGTTCCCTGAATGCAAGCATCAGAGCATTCATTCATTTGTTGGGACCTTGGCTTTGTATCATGCCAGCACCCCAGAAAATTTCGTGCCTCAGCCATGTTTCTCTGGTCCCTTTAAAGCAGTGGCTGTCAACCATGGGTGATTTTGTCCTCCAGGTGCAATGGCAATGTCCTGAGACATGCTTGGGTGTCACCATTAAGGGGAGGGGGCTACAGGCATCAGGTGGGTAGAGGCCAGGATGCCACTGAACATCTTACCATGCCTGGGACAGCTCCCCAGACAATGATCTGGCCCAGAATGTCAATAGCACTGAGGTTGAGGAAGCCTGCAAGAGGTCCTTGCACTGGCAGTTCCCTCTCCCTAGGACACTTGTCCCCCAAGGGACTGCCTGGCTCCATCCTTCCTTTCCTTCAGGTCTTTGCTCCAACATCCCCTTCTGGGTCCAGCCTTGCCCAGCCTCATTTTAAATTGTAACTCCCATCCCTCACTGTCTCTCCCCTCCCTGCATCATTTTTCTCCATGGCACATAATTCCACTGACATAATACGCATTTTCCTCAATGATTTGTTCATTGTCTGTCTCTCCTATGTGTTAGTTTCCACTGCTCCTGAAAAAAATGGCCACAAACTTAGTGGCCCCAAATAACACAAATGCATTCTTTTACAGTTCTAGGGATCAGAAGGCCTCAAATCCAGGTGTCAGCAGAGGTTGCTCCTTCTGCAGCCCCAGGGGAGAGTCTGTTCCTCGCCTTCTCCAGCTTCTAGAGGCTGCCCATGTTCCTTGACTCATGGCCTCCCTTTTATTAGGTTGGTGCAAAAGTAATTGCCGTTACTAATGGTAAAAAATGCAATTATTTTTGCACCAACCTAATATCTTCAAAGCCAGCCGCACAGCACCTTCAAATCTCTCTCTGACTCTGGTCTTTCTCTTATAAGAACCCTTATGAAGACACCGGGCCCACCCAAATAATCCAGGACAAACTCCCCACCTCAAGGTCCTCAGCTTAATCACATCCACAGCGTTCTTTATGCCGTGTGGGGTAACATATTCACAGGTTTCAGCAATTAGGACATGAGCATTTGGGGGACCATTATTCTGCCCACCACACCCTCCTAGAATGAAAGCACCACGGAGGCAGAGAGTTTTATCCAACGTGTTGATTTCTAAATCCCCAGAGCCTAGCACAGGGCCTGATACTTAGGAATACCTAAATACCATTTAGTGTTTATTGGATGATGAATAACCCTTGGTTTTCAGAAGAAATAATCAGGAAACTGGAAGCAACAGAAGACACCCTCCCCATTGAAAATATGGCTCACCTGTAAGAGTCAAACTGTAATGTCGATTTGTCACGGATGAGTATCGGTATATAAGAAGGAAACTTAAAGAGACAGCCTACTGTCCTGGCCAGAGTTAGATCTGGACAAAGCAGTTAGTGGATCCACATAAGGATGGTGTCCACCCACAGGGCCCAGGCCAGCCAACAAGGCGTGGAAAACAGGAGACCCCAAGAGACGCTGGCAGCAGAGACCTCACTCTTTCAACAGCCAGTGTGGCCACTGATGGCTGCCATGGTTTTCCTACGTGGGGTGGAGAGCCTGGACAGCAGACACAAATAAATGCCCCCTTGGCAGGTACAACTCTAACGGCAAATTAACCCGTTTACATTTTGGTTTGTGAGTTGGTGTGTTAGTTTCCCAGGGCTGCCATGGCAACACACCACAAACAGAGGGGCTTTGGCAACAGAACTGTGTTGTCATCTAGTTGTGGAGGCTGAAAGCCTGAGACCGAGGTGTCAGCAGGGTTGGTTCCTTCTGAGGCCACCAGGGTGTGTGTTCCAGGCTTCTCCCCCAGCTTCTGGTGGTTTGCTGGCAATCTTTGGTTTTCCTGTTTGCGGCAGCATCACCCCAACCCTCACATGACATTCTCCCTGTGTGCAGGTCTCTGTGTCCAAATTTCACCTTTTTGTGAGGACATGATCATGTTGGAATAGGGCTCACCTAGTGACCCCATCTAAACTTGATCATCTGCAAATACTCTATTTCCAAATAAGGTCTCATTCACGGTACGAGGAGTTAAGACTTCAATATCTTTTGCAGGGGATGCCATTCAACCATAACTCATGATTTCTGTGAATTGAGACGTCGTGAATCTGAATCTCCAAGTTTAATTAGCTTCAAGACACCAGGAAACCACAAACTATGGGGAAGTCCTCACAGAAGGCACTGGGGACAGCTGCCTATTCACTGATTACACCTGGCCCTGTACCCACTTCCCATTCAGCCTCCTACGTTCACAGGGAGCTCTTATCTTGTTAATATTACATAAGTTTTATAGCTGAGTTTCAGGGTAAAAATCCGTGCTAAAATGCTATATTGGCTGGGAGCGGTGGCTCATGCCTATAATCCCAGCACTTTGGGAGGCCGAGGCAGGTGGATCACCAGAGGTCAAGAGTTTGAGACCAGCCTGGCCAACATGGCAAAACCCTGTCTCTAATAAAAATACAAAAATTAGCCAGACATGGTGGTGCATGCCTGTAATCCCAGCTACCCGGAAGACTGAGGCAGGAGAATCACTTGAACCTGGGAGGTGGAGGTTGCAGTGAGCCAAGATCGCGCCATTACACTCCAGCCTGGGTGACAGAGTGAGACTCTGTCTGAAAAAAAAAAAAAAAAAAAAAAAAAAAAAAAAAAAACTATCTTGAGATGTAACATATTGGCATAAATATTTGAATGCAGAAAAATAAGCCTGCTATGCCAGGAGTGAGGTAAGTCAAATCCCACAGTGAGGAGACAACTCAGAGATATGCATGTCACCATGCTTAGATGGATTTTTACTTAGAATGAGAAATGTGGTATGAATTAACAAAAATGCCAAAAGAGACAGTGTAACCTCAGAGCAGGTGGCAGTTTTGGAATCAGGCCTGTGTACATTCAAACTGTAGCTCAGGTTCATAACTACCATGTGACCCTGGGTAATTTTCTTAACTTTTCAGAGTCCACATCCATAGAAGATGCTAAATAAATGAACAATATTTTCATTCAATTCCTGTCACTTATTAGCTGTGTGACCCTGAGTAAATTGTCACACACTCACTCAGCCTGTTTCCCTATATTTAAATTGGTGCATAAGACCTACCTCACAGAGCTGCAAGTACTAAGAATAACCTATCATGAGACACAGATGCTCCTGAAGGAACCGTGTATGTGACATTTGTGACAGCCCCTAAACCTTGGTGGGATGTTAATTCTTCAACAAGATTGGAGAATCTGCTCCAAAATAAGTGCAAATAAGATTCTACTATTTTATATGGAAATACTAAAACTGAGACATGGAGATCACTTCTCTTGTTAGTAATGTTAGTGAATATAACTTTTTTTTTTTTGAAATGGAGTTTCGCTCTTGTTGCCCAGGCTGGAGTGCACTGGCGCGATCTTGGCTCACTGCAACCTCCACCTCCAGAGTTCAAGTGATTCTCCTGCCTCAGCCTCCCAAGTAATTGGGGTTACAGGCATGCGCCACCACACCCTGCTAATTTTGTATTCTTAGTAGAGACAGAGTTTCTCCATGTTGTCAGGCTGGTCTCAAACTCCCTACCTCAGGTGATCTGCCCTCCTCGGCCTCCCAAGGTGCTGGGATTACAGGCGTGAGGCACTTTGCCCGGTCTATAACATCATTTTGTGAGCAAATCAAGTTAATCCTCATCATCAATTTCTCCCTGTTCAATTCAATAAGATACTGTTCATCTCAAGGGAAACTTTTATAGATGTGGCCATAGAAACCCAGTGTATAAGACAGCCATTAGGTTGTCTCTTATATGCTTTGCCAGGTGAAAATGTCTCTGCTAAAGGTAGTGATATAAGCAAAAACCATTTACCTTTAGCTAATTTAACCAATTATGACACAAAAAAAATACTATCTTCAACAACAAAGACAACCTAATTTAAAAATGGGCAAAGAATTTGAATAGACACGTCTCCAAAGAAGATATACAAATGGCCAATAAGCACAGGAAAAGAGGCTCAACATCATTAATCATTTCTGGATTGCAGATAAAACCACAATGAGACATCATTTCACACCCCTGAGGATGGCCATAATTTTAAAATAAAAAACAAAAACCGGGAAACCAAACGTTGGTAACCCTCATACATTACTGATGAGATGTTAGATGCTGCAGCATCCGTGGAAACAATTTGGCCATTCCTCAAAAAAATAAACAGAATTACCAACGGATCCATCAATCCCTCGCCTAGGTCTCCACCCAAGAGAGTTGAAAGCATGTGTTTACAGAAAAACTCGTACATTTATGTTCATGGAGCATTATTCATAATAGCCCCAAAGTGGAAACACCCAAATGTCCATCGACTAATGAATGGATAAACAAAATGTGGTATATCTGTACAGCAGAATATTATTCAGCCATGAAAAGGAATAAGGCACTGACACACACTACAACACGGATAAACATAGCAAGCATTATGCTAAGTGAAAGAAACCAGACACAAAAGAACACATATTGTATGGTGCCATTTATAGGAAATGTCCACAATAGGCAAATCAGAGAGACAGAAAGTAGATGAGTGGTGGGCAGGGGCTTGGAGGGGTTGTGGGTGGGAGAGATTGACAGCAGTGGGTACAGGGTTTCTTTTCTGGGTGATGAAAATGTTCTAGAACTAGGCAGTGATGATGACTATACAGCACTGTGAATGCACTCAAAATCACAACATTGTTTTTTAAAAACATGAATCTCATAGTATGTGAATTTTATCTCAAGTTTTAAAATTGAAAAAGAGGTCAGGTGCGGTGGCTCATGCGTGTAATCCCAGCACTTTGGAAGGCCGAGGCTAGGGGATCACCTGAGGTCAGGAGTTCGAGACCAACCTGGCCAACATGGTGAAACTCTGTCTCTACTAAAAATACAAAAATTAGCCGGGCATGGTGGCACATGCCTGTAATCCCAGCTACTGAGAAGGCTGAGGCAGGGGAATCACTTGAACCCAGGAGGCAGAGGTTGCGGTGAGCTGAGATCATGCCACTGTGCTCCAGCCTGGGCGACAGAACGAGACTCTGTCTCAAAAAAAAAAAAAAAAAAAAAAAAAGAAAAAAGAAAAATAAAAAAATTGAAAAAGAAAAAACCCACCCAAACATAGTACCTTATCTGACAAGACTTGTCATCTTGAAAGATCCTTAGGAACGGATTCCTTTCTAGCCAGCCTGATGAGAATGATAAGTGATATCACAGTTTACTTGTTTGTACCCAGTAGAGACTGCCATTCTTATACGACTAAATTTGAACAGCCAAGGAAAATGATATCCCAGGCAGATTTAATTAAGTTATTAACGAGGGCTTGTTTGAGTTTCTGTTATCCACTTTAACTGCTACAGTTGGGCCCTTGAGTACTAAATCACATTAGAGGGTTCCTCTGGTAAGACTCAAGGGTTGAACAGGCCTGGGAGAAAAAAAAAAAAAAAAAGAAAAGAAAAAAACAGCCTGGTGCCATTGACCAATGATTTCTAACATTTCTTCTTTCATCTTTCAGATCTTAGGTTTTCACACTCCCAGAAATATGCACTGATTCCAGAACAGCACTCCATGGTGTAGGCTGTGACTTTGCCGTTTGTCTTACAGTAAAGTCAGGATGCTGATTCCAATTGCAGGTGCTTTGCCAAATGAAAGCATTTGAATGTCTACCTGTGTGCACATTTACACTCTTATACTCCTATAAGGAACTCATTCATCATTATAGTTCAGCCAAGGACTCAATAGTCTGTAAAAAGGGTTCTTGTGTTTCCAAGTTGTTCTTCCTTGACCAAGTTGATCTTCCAGATCGGTCTTTGTGTCTGGATCTTCTTAAACTCAGATTAACTCTTGTCTATCCGGTTCCCTTTTAGGATTATGATCAACACCATTCAAGTTAGACATTAATCTACCGTTCTTACTGACTTGCTCTGGAATGAACACATTCTATAGATCTTTGCTTCTCAAACTGTAATACACATAGGACTCACCTGGAGCACTTGCTAGAAAAACACCAAGTCTTGTTTATTAGGCCCAGGTGGGGCCCAAACTTCTGTACTTCTAACAAGCTGCCTGGTGATGCTGACCCTGCTGGTCTGAGTAGCAAGGAACGAAGCCATGGTTTCAGTATTGCAGAAGACAGATGCAACGCGTGATAGGCTGCCCTCGCATGTACACTTGCCGAACCCAGTGTAGAGGGTGAACGCTACAGAAGGGAAATGCATGCCCACAGCTGGAGAGCACCTGGAAAATGCGCAGCTCTGCCTTCATGACGTGGCTATTGCAACGGCCCCTGCCAGCACATGGGGCAGGAAGGGAAACAGCAATACCAGTTGGTTGCTGGTGTGGCCTCACATATTCATGAGACTTGTTTTGTCAGATTTCAAGGACATCTCTCAGTATCCATGACTTTCGTAACCTTTTTTTTTTTTTTAGAATCTTAAGATGCTTGGACCTCGGAATAGCTGCATGCATGACCCGAGGTGATGTGCAGTCTCAAGAGATGCTGGCAGTCACTACCTACACCCGACATCACAACCCCTCCTGGTCCCTTCCACGCCCACTGAGGCAGAATCTCCCTGCGCCCCTGCACACTCACATGTCTCCCCTTTCTCAGACCCATGGATCGAGATGGGACCATGCCACTGGTTCTTACCAATGTAACTAGAGGGGAAAAGGACAGTTCCAAGAGAATATCCATTCTCCTTGCTTCCATTCCCCTCTGGAGAGGGGAGTGGAGAGCAATGGATTCTAAGATAACTGAAGGAGGCTGGGCGCAGTGGCTCACACCTGTAATCCCAGCACTTTGGGAGGTTGAGGCAGATGGATCACTTGAGGTCAGTAGTTTGAGACCAGCCTGGCCAACATGGCGAAACCCCGTCTCTACTAAAAATACAAAAATCAGTTGGGCGTGGTGGCGTGCACCTGTAGTCCCAGCTACTCAGGAGGCTGAGGCAGAAGAATCGCTTGAACCCAGGAGGCAGAAATTGCAGTGAGCCGAGATCATGCCACTGCACTCCAGCCTGGGTGACAGAATGAGACTCTGTCTCAAAAACAATAAAAAATAAAAAATTAAAAAAAAATAAGATAACTGAGGGGCAAGATGAGAACTGCCTGGAAGCCTGAGTCACTTCTTCCTAGAGTCACTGTGCTCAGTCTGCAGCCAACTGTGATGTGAGCTAGACAAAAACTTCTGCTGTGTTGCACCACTGAGACTTCAGAGTTTATCTGTTGACATAGCAAAGCTTAGCATGATTAGCGTTGAACACCTACACACTCCACCCACCACCACAAGAACCTGCAATGCCAGGCAAGCTGCTGGTTATTAGATGGTTGGTGACAATGAGTCTGTGCATGCAAAATTTTCTCCAATTTCTGGGCATATGTTCTCTGGGGTCTCGTTCAACCACCTTCTATTTCTTACTTTAAAAACATTTTTTTCTTCTTTAGAGTTGGGGGTGGTGGTGTTTCTTTGTGGTCCAGGCAGGAGTGAAGTGGCATGATCATAGCTCATGGCCACCTCAACTTCCTGGGCTCAAGACATCCTCCTACCTCAGCCTCCTGAGTAACTGGGACTACAAGCATGTGCCAACACGCCCAGCTAATTTTTTAATTTTTTGCAGAGACAGAGTTTTGTCATCTTTCCCAGGCTCATCTTGAATTCCTGGGCTCAAGTGCTCCTCCCTTCGACCTCCCAAAGTGCTGAGATTACAGGCCTAAGTCCTCACATCTGGCCTATTTCTTATTTTTTGTGACACAGTGCACTGCCCACTGGCACTTCCAGGTCCTCTTAATCTTTTGGCATCGAGGGTAATGCCTCTCAAAGGTCAGCATCAGGCAAGCATCCGGTTTATTTCAATCTTAAGTTTCGCTGGCAGTCATGTATGGTTATACTCCAACAAAAATGAGACTAAGATTAAAGCTGGTGCTGGGGGTCACTGGGCAATGAAAGCTTGTCTTGGGAGGTGCATTCACTACCTGTGGCTGCCGTAGCAATGACCACACATTGGGTACAACAACAGAGCAACAGAATCACAACAAGAGATGTATCCACTCACAGTTCCCAGAGACTAGAAGTCTGAAATCAAGGTGTGGTCACGGTTGGTTCCTTCTGGAGGTTCTGGGGGAGACACTGTTCCAGGCCTCTCTCCAGCTCCTGGGGGCTTCCGGCAGCCCTCAGCATTCCTTGGCTTAAAGAGGCATCCCTCCAATCCCTAACCTTCTCTCTGTCTCTCTCTCCCCTTCTCTTCTCTTACTAGGACACTGGTCAATGCATTCAGGGCCAGTTCTAAATCCAGGATGACCTCATGTCAAGATCCTTAACTTCATTACACCTTCAAAGATGTTTTTTCCAAAGGTCTCATCCACAGGTTCTGGGTGGACATACCGTTTAGGAGGCCACCGCTCCACTCCCTACAGAAGCCAATGAGAAGAGGCGTACCCCCAAACAACTTATTGAAATATTCTCAGAGCTTTGTAAGCTGGGAGGACACTATCTGGCTCAAGCCCATTCTATGTACCTCTCATTGTAAATTACAGTCATCCCTCAGTATCGGCAGGGAGCTGGTCCCAGGACAACCCCTTGGATACCAAAATCTGCAGAGCCTTGTCCCTTATATAAAATGTTGTAGTATTTTCAGATAACCTACGTACATCCTCCTGTATTATAAGGAATCATCTCTAGATGCCTTATAATGCTGAGTACAATGTAAGTTGTTATACAGTATTATTTATTTGCATTACCTTAAAATTATATTGTTATTTGTATTGTTTCTTATTCCCAAATATTTTTGATATGCAGTTGGTTGAGTCCTCAGATATGGAGCGGGAGGATACGGAAGGCTGACTGTATCCGGATGCAGTATGGACAAGGTGTCATCCTGTGAGCCTTTGGGAGAGGACCTTGTCTTAACACGCCCTCTGCCTGAGGAGCAGCACACTGCTGTGGTGGCTGTCGCTCTCTATCTCTCTCTCTCTTTTATTTTTTCTGAGACAGAGTCTGGCTTTGTTGACCAGGCTGGAGTGCAATGGCACAATCTCGGCTCACTGCAACCTCCGCCTCCCAGGTTCAAGGATTCTCCTGCCTCAACCTCCCAAGTAGCTGGGATTACAGGTGTGTGCCACCACACCCAGCTAAGTTTTTGTATTTTCAACACAGACGGGGTTTCACCATGTTGGCCTGGCTGATTTTGAACTCCTGACCTCAAGTGATCCACCCACCTTGGCCTCCCAAAGTGCTGGGATTACAGTCATGAGCCACCACGCCCGGCCTCTTTTTGTTTTTGTTAGTGTGTGTGTTTGTGGTTTTTGGAATCCAATTCGAAGCACCAACATCTGATGGGAAGCCAAAGAACTTATTCCCCAAGTGGAGGGACACAAGGCAGGCTGCCCTGACCCTCTGGGGGTGTGAAATGGGCAGCCCACCTGACACCCTTGTCAAGAAGCATTTTGCTCAAAGTAGCTGAACTCCCAGGAACAGAAGGTGTGTGGGGCCCACACTTGATCTTCCTGGGGGTGCTGGCTACAGCCATGTCACAGTTTACTCATTGAAATTAGAACAGAATGGACTTCATTATATCATTGCAAGTTTTTCTAATGTAATTTCACTTGTTATAACACAATTATGAAAGATGATTGACAAAAGGAAAATGTGTGTGAAGATGGATGCCATATGCACTTGACCCAGTTTGATTCTCTCCCAATAGTTGAACATTGAGCATAGATCCTCGTCATTCACCTTCCTAATCAATAAATATCTCTAGTGTTCTTCCTGTGCTGCTGTGGATTTCTGATGATATAACCCTCCTAGAAACCTGGATGCCTCTGTTCTAGTAGGATGTTGGCCAGGCACGGTGGCTCACGGCTGTAATCCCAGCACTTTGGGAGGCCGAGACGGCCAGATCACGAGGTCAGGAGATCGAGACCATCCTGGCTAACACAGTGAAATCCCGTCTCTACCAAAAATACAAAAAAAATTAGCCGGGCATGGTGGCAGGCGCCTGTAGTCCCAGCTACTCAGGAGGCTGAGGCAGGAGAATGGCGTGAACTCGGGAGGCGGAGGTTGCAGTGAGCCGAGATCACGCCACTGCACTCCAGCCTGGGCGACTGAGCAAGACTCCATCTCAAAAAAAAAAGGATGCTAACAATGGTCTTTCTTAGTCAGTCCTAAAGTTAGTGGGTATTCCCCAGTGGGGAAGCTGCGGGAGGTTACTTGTGGCTTCTTTGTGGACCCTGGGAGCACCTGCTGCTAACTCAGCAGCTGGCCTGAGGTCATCCTGGCAGGCCACATGTCTGTAATCAAGGTCACTAGCAAGAAGGAAGAGGCTGGTGAGAGCAGGAGAGAATGGTGGTATGAGAAGGAAGGTTCTGGGATCACTTGGGGTTGGCAGCAGGACTGGGCCATGGGGCAGCACTGAGACCAGCAGGCTTGGAGGCCTGGCCTTAAGGAGGCCAAGAAAAGACGAGTAGACGCTAAGGAGCTTTTGAAATCTGCTGACGTCAGAACTGTCCAAGGCACAAGGGTGTCAGGGAATCCCCAGGAAGTTTAGTGTAATAAGAAGAAGAGCCATCATTTACTGAGGCCATATTATGTTCAAGAACTTGCTAAACGCTTTGTATTTTCATTTCATTTCATCTTTGCATCAGACCTGGGAGGCAGTATATGAGTCAGGTTTCTCACTTACAAAAGCCAAACTAGGTCAAATTCAAAATAGGGAATGATTGGAAGTACGGTGGTGTTACTCAGAGAACTGGAGGAGAATTACAGAAACCGAAGCATCCCAAGGGGCCTGCGGACTAGGAAGCAGGAGTAGGTCACCAGCACACACCCCCACCTCTGCTCCCTTCTAGATGTTGCCTTTTTTCTCATTTTGCAGAGTGGAAAGGTCTTCATATAGTGAAAAAGCACACAACTTCCCCTTCTATCATGAGAGCTCTTCAATTGTCCACTTCGAAAAATTCTAGAGAAAGACTCGTACGTCCTGCCTGTATGCAGGGGCCAGTCCTGGGCTGATCCCTGTGGCCAGACAGTGACCCATCTAGGGCATGTGCCCACCCTGTGAAAGCTGGGCCTCTTAGAACAAGAAGAGGGGAGGGTACTAGAAAACACATAGCACAGGTAGGAATCATTATCTGCTTTGACAGATGAGGTGCTGAGGCTTGGAGAGGGTCTGTGACTTCCCCTGGGATTTGAACCCAAGTATATTTGACACTGCATCTTGGCTCTTAATTTGCCCAGGTGCTGCTTTGGCCAATGCCAGATAATCTTCCAGGCACAGGCTCAGGGTGCCCATGGGAGGGCCTGTTGGGAATGAATGGATGAGAATGGGGGTGTTATTCAAAATGTTTAACAACAGGTATGGCTGGGCATTGTATTCATTCCCTGTTGCTGCTGTAACAAACTGCCACAAGCCGATTGGATTGAGACAGCACATACTTATTATCTCAGGACGCTGAAGGTCAGATGTCCCCAAGTCAGTCTCACTGGGCTAAAACCAAGATGGCAGCAGGGCTGGTTCCTTCTGGAGGCTCCAGGGGAGCATTCATTCTACCTCCTTTCCAGCCCTAGGGGTCACCTGCATCCTTGACTCCTGGCTCCTTCCTCTAGTCCAACTTCTGCTTCCATTGTCACATCTGCTTCTCTGACCCCGACCCTCTTGCCTCTCATAAGGACCTTGGCGACTACCTTGCTCCCTGCCCCCAGAGAGTCCAGGATCACCTCCAGGGTAAGACACTGCCGTGTATGCCCGCATCTTCACAGGTTCTGGGGATTAGTTTGTTGATATAGTTTGGATGTTTATCTCCACCCAAATCTCATGTTGAAATGAGATCCCCATTGTTGGAGGTGGAGCCTGGCGGGTGGTGTTTGGATCACAGGGGAGAGTCCCTCATGAGTGGCCTGGGCCATCCCATTGGTCGTGAGTGAGTTCACAGGAGATCTGGTTGTTCAAAGCGTGCGGCACCACCCCCACTCTCTCTCTCTCGCTCCCATTCCTGCCATGTGAGACACCTGCTCCCCCTTCACCTTCGCCATGATTGGAGCTTCCTGGGCCTCCCCAGAAGCCAAGCAGATGCTGGCACTGTGCTTCCTGTATAGTCTGCAGAACAATAAGCCAATTAAACTTCTTTTCTTTATAAATTATTCAGCCTCAAGAATTTCTTTACAGCAGCACAAGGATGGCCGAATACACATGTAGACATCCTCAGGAGCCATTTCTCTGCCCACCGCAGGCGTCAGCCAATCCAAGCAGAGGTCACTTGTGCCACTGGGGCAGGGTCTTGAGACCTCCACATGGCCAGGTGTTACCTCTGCAGTTGCTAGGTCCTACCAAGGTCCCTGAGTAGGAGCGGGGGCATCAGGCAGGTGCTATTGGCCAACTTGGCATGGATGGATTTCAACAGTAACAAGCAGCATGGTGGTCCCGGTGAGTACCAGCTGGGGATCAGCTGGATGATGGCTGGTGACCAGGGCGTCTGTGGAGTGCAGCCATGCATGAAGGCTGGCAGATAGGCAGCGTGCTGCCAGAGGGTGCGCCGGAGCCTGTGGGAAGGAGGGTGGTGCACTGAGAGTGGAACAAGCTCCATGCTGCTTCCCCTGGCATGGGTGCATCAGGCAGGCGTGCCCAGAACTCAGGGGTAAGGGGCTCTGGGGGGGGAGTCCAGCCCTGCTGCCATCTTGGTTTTAGCCCAGTGAGACTGACTTGGGTACATCTGACCTTCAGCATCGTGAGATAATAAATTTGTGCTGTCTCAAGCCAATCAGCTTGTGGCAGTTTGTTACAGCAGCTTCAGGTTAGGTCCAGGTGACCAGATATGGAGGCAGAGGAAGCCCAGAGCAAAGAGGCTCTGGATGGGAGTGGCACTACCCCAGAAAGGCCTCGCTCCAGACTCTTGGGGTAATTTCAAGCCTAGGGTTTCCTGGGCCAGGGTGCCTTAGTAACATAATGGACGGAAGGGCATGTTTCATAATGAAGAAACCAGCAATGCACCCTCTGTCCTACAAGAAGAGCAGCCTCCAGAGAGAGATGGGAGTCCTCCCTTTGGTGGGGTATGAGCCTGTGTCGTCCTGGCTTGTCAGGCCCACTGGGATCCAGGCAACCACAGACCTTCCCTGATGGCTGCTAGACCCATGTTGCCTGAAAAGACCACAGGCTGGGGCTGTAGAGAATAAATTGATTCTACAAGAGGGTCATTGGCTGGAAATAAGGGACTCCTGGCATGGCCTCTGCTCTAATCCTCTGTGTGGAGCTGAGATTTCCAGGGACTTACGCAGTGCCCACTTCATGGGTGTGCAACCTGCGCAGGTGCCCAGATCGTTGTGCCCAGAAGGACCATGTAATGGATTGAATGGCAGCCCCCAAAAAGATATGTCTCTGTCCTGACTCCCAGTACCTTTGGATGTGACCTTATTTGGAAATAGGATCTCTGCAGACATAATTAAGTTAAGGACCTTGAGATGAGATCATCCTGGAGTTAGAGTGGGCTCTAAAGTCAATGACTGAGATCTCATAAAACACAGGAGAGAAAGATTTGAAACCCAAAACCACACACAGAGAAAAGCAATATAAAAATGGAGGTAGAGGCCAGGCACTGTGGCTCATGCCTGTAATCCCAGCCCTTTGGGAGGCCAAGGGGACCAGATCACCTGAGGTCAGGAGTCTGAGACCAGCCTGGCCAACTTGGTGAAACCCTCATCTCTACTAACAATACAAAAATTAGCCAGGCGTGGTGATGGGCACTTGTAATCTCAGCTACTCAGGAGGCTGAGACAGGAGAATTGCTTGAACCTGGGAGGCAGAGGGTGCAGCGAGCCAAGATCGCACCACTACACTCCAGCCTGGGCAACAGGAAAAAAAAGGAGGTAGATATCAGAGTGATGCAGCCACCAGCCAAGGAAACCAAGGATGCCAGCAGCCACCAGACACTAGGAGAGAAGCATGGAATGGATTCTTCTGCAGAGCCTGTAGAAGAGGCCAAAACTGCCAACTCCTTGATTTGGGATCTCTGGGATCCAGAGTCATGAGACTGTATGTTTCTGTTGTCTGAAGTGGCGCTGCTTGTGGTAATTGGTTACAGCAGCCCTAGGAAACAAATGCAGGCTTAAATGCTGAGTTTAGTGTTTTGCTCTGTTGCTCTCTCAAAATTCTTAATAACTTTCAAACAAGGGCCTCATGTTTTTACTTTTCCCCTGGCCCCACAAATTACATAGCTGGCCCTAGGCTTAGGTTTCCATGGCAGGTAACGACACTGCCTTTGCCCACAGATCTGCTCATCAGTATCTCTCGAGAGCAGTAAGGTGGCCTCTAGACAACAGCGCAGGTGCCGCAACGTTCTCCCTGGAATGGCCCCTTTGCATTCTTCCAAGTGGCTTGAAGCCTCATCCACAGGAGAATTTGTTTTTTAATTCCTCAAAGCAGGCTGAGCATCTGCCCAGTGTTTGTCTGGAGGTCGTCAAGGCCCTCCTGGCTTCTGATGATTCTACAACCTTGAATGCAGGCTCAGACCACCCTGGGAAACTGGGCCTCTCTTTTCTGCCCTACACTCAAGACTCTGTGCCCAGCCTGGCAGAGGAACAGGAGCCTCCCCTGCCCATTCCTGTGTCTTGAGTTACCCAGGCTTTCACAAGCACCTGGTGTTCTTTCTAAGTCCAAGGAGCACTTTCTTATAGTGTTTGTTGTTAGTTTTTACATAAAAGGTGCAAATTATCCCTGTTTGTTCTGTGAGAGCACTAGTCTGGAATCAGGACACATCATTGATGGATTGATGATTTGAGAAATCACACTCTGCAAATGAAGACAGAATCACTTGCGTAACATTGAAGGATGCACTTGTTTTGTACCAAAACTCTAGGGGAAGCAAAGTTGCCCTATAAGTCAGATGCAAAGGTCGCACTGGAGAATATGGCAGAATGGGTGTCTGCAACTACACTGAAGCATAGAATTCTAGAGCTGGGTGTTTCCTTGGGACCTTGAAATTGATCCCTGAGTAGGGTGGCTTCTCCAGAGTTCTGTCCTGGAAATCACCATGACCAGTGGCCTCTGTTACTACACAGTTGGCATCTCTATCCTTTCCCAATTCAGCTACCTACGGTTGCTGAAGTGAAGTTGTGCTGTAGAGTTTAGCACAGCCTTAAGAGAAGGACCCCTCATCACTCTTGATGCTGCTGATATAAAGAGAACAAGGCCGGGTGTGGTGGCTCACGCCTGTAATCCCAGCACTTTGGGAGGCCAAGGTGGGTGGATCACCTGAGATCAGGAGTTCAAGACCAGCCTGACCAACATGGTGAAACCCTGTCCCTGCTAAAAATACAAAAAATTAGCTGGGCATGATGGTGGGCACCTGTAATCCCAGCTACTCAGGAGGCTGAGGCAGGAGAATTGCTTGAACCTGGGAGGCGGAGATGGGGGTGAGCCAAGGTCGTGCCATTGCACTCCAGCCCAGGCAACAAGAGTGAAACTCTGTCAGAAAAAAAAAAAAAAAAAGGGAGAGAGAGAGAGAGAACAAAAATATTATTAGTGTGTGGCTAAGACACAGGCCCCAGATTACCTAGGAGGCCACAGGCAGGCGGTACCTAGCCAAACTCAGACAGACCTTGTTTGGTCACCTAATTCCCTGTGGGTGTCAATGCACTGACACCAGGCTAGTTTCCTCTTGACCCACAAGTCTTGCTCAAGCTCAGACCATCACAGTGTCTCGTCCCTGGCTTCTGAGTCTGTGTAGACTCCATACCAGGTTTCCTCCCCAAAACTATATTCTTGTGAAACCAAAAAAGGAGAGCTGAAAGACAGAATGTGTTCCACTGGATCTACGACTTCATTATTAGTCTTGAAATATCCTGAATTTGTAACCTATTGAGCGCCAACAGAAAAATTCTTTCAGCTAAGTCACTATGGAGTGCTGGCAATAGACTTTCTTTGTGCTATCGTTATTTGATGAGTGAAGGGATGTGTGAATATGTAGACTAAAAAGTCTAAGTTTGATATGTGCTTGTTCAGGGTTTGCCTTCTGCTGTCCCATCCAGAAATAAAAATCTTAAGAACAGAAGTGTTCACAAATGGACGGTCATCAGTTGGGTATTAGAGAATGATGCATGTCTTAGCATGAAGCTAGACTGGATGAGCCCAAGGAACCTTCCAGCTCAAATTCTATACTTCTCGGGAAGAATTCTATGCCTCTGTGCAGTCATGAAGACCCATTCTGCCAGACTCTGCAACGTGACCTTTGCGTCTAACTGACTCATATGACAACCCTGCTTCCCCTTGAGTTTTGGTATAAAATAAGTACCTCCTTCAATGTGACTCAAGTAATGTCTGTTTTCATTTGCAGAGTGTGATTTCTCAAATCATCAAACCATCAATTATGCGTCCTGATTCCAGACTAGAATTTAATCGATACTTACTTATGAGGGCAAGTGTCTGCCCGCAGCTTGCTGAGCCTAGCAAGTAAAATATTTATGACCAGACAAACCTGTTTTAACTATTCTCTGTCATTACTCTGTCAGCAGCTCAAATCTAAAGCTAATTCATTTTGAGTACAACTTGTAGAATCTATGTTTTAATAATTCTGAGGATACTTAGAAGCTAGGAATAAAAAATTTACATCAAAAGATATCTATTCCTTCCCAAATGTTCATTTATAAATCTTTTAGGTGAGTGCCATATTTAATATGAGTTTCTCCTGCCTTTCCTTTGGGCATAGTAATTGTCTCAGGATACTGAGAGGGAACCAAGACAATGCATGATGAGCTGCCTTCCCTGAGAATGAACGTCCTCTCAGGGAGGAGTCAGGGCAGACCTCAGCACAGCCCCTCAGGTGTCCAGGCACCTGCTCACACGCCCTTCAGGGCCCTAAGCACATCTCACAGAGATGCTCTCTGTCTGAGTCTCTCTCCCTCTCTAGCCTGTAAGTCCCTCCAGGATAGTATCTCGTTTATCTCTGTCTCCTTATCTCATGGCTTGGCAAAGCATAGGCACTTACTACATATGGTTGCAATCAAGTAAAGTTTAGAATCATTGAACATTACTAGTAACTATGTCCCCCAAACAAATTCAATGTCAGGCCTCTGGATCTTCCCCATCCCTTTCCTTCCCAAATAGGATGAGTAGTTGCCACGTGCCCCTGGGCCTGCCTGGTCTGTCCTGCAGAGTCCCGGCCTGTTGCTATGTGCCTGTTTTCCCTGGAGCAGCAGGAGCTCTGCGGTTGGCATGCATCCTCCTGGTACGCCCTGTGCCCAGAACATGCACTTATTTTCAGTGTAGGCCACTTAATAGCTGAGTCAGTGGTGGAGCAAAGCTACAGGGAGAAAGTGAGTGGTGGATGGGGTGCAGGGGAGTGGGGAAGGGCGGTGGTGAGAAGAAGCAGAACCCTCTATCATAGGGCAGGATGGGGACCTGAGGGGCCACGGGCAGAGTCAGGGTCCCCTAAACTGTGGGAGCACAGACATCAGGGAATGAGTTCCTCCAGGAGGACACACCAGTATCCCCTTCAGTAAGGCTTAGAGAGGCTTGCGTGGGTGACAGCTGGAAAATCCGGACCTGACTTCAGGCCTGTGGAGCTCTGGGCTGCTTTGGATAGAAATAAACGAGTTGTATAAAAGACGTGTAGCTGCAAATGTGGAAAGGTTGGTGTGAAGGGATGCCCAGTCGGTGTTTCCAAAACGGCCCTGCTTCTGTGTGTCTCCTGGATGCTTGTTAAACATGGTTAAACGTGCACATTATCAGGTTTTACAGTTGGTCTGGATTGGGGCCTGGGGACAGGAAGCATTTTGACTTAGAGAGATTTCCCAGTGAGCCTCATCCTCTGGAATCTCTGGAAGATGGAGCTCTGGTTCAGAAAGTGATGGCTCTGTCACACTCAGTCCCTTTCATGGCTGCGGTGTCCACCACTCCACGTATGAACACCTCAGGCCACGGGAGGTCACCAGCAATAGTGCAGAACGGGAAGGGTGCCCTGAGAAACTCCCACAATACCCAAGGAATTCCACTGTCCCCTGCATGGCACATGCCACTCACTGGCAACCTCAGCCGTTGCTCCTTTTCAGAGAGGCATCCTGGAAGACAGCAGTGGAAGGTCGAGGTCAGCATCCAAAGCCTGGCAGGGCAGGCTGGCCATGATTGTATCCCAAACTGTATTCCCTTGAAGGCGCTGATGGAGAGGCAGCCCTAGTGTTGGGGGACTGAGAACACTGACTGCCCTAACAAGCCTGATTCTGCATTTGTCTCACAGATCCTGTTACCTCCAGCTCACAGGGATAACAGGCAGCCACAGAAGAAAGATCACGAAGTTGAGCCATAGCTGAATCAGCCTCTCTAGTAAAACGTAATCCCATCTAGCAGAAGAATCCCAGCAGATGTGTGTAGCCACATGTATGAGTCAGCTCAGGCTGCTATAACAAAATGCCATAGACTGGGTGACTTAAGAGCAGACCTTTATTGCTCACAGTCCTGGAGGCTGGAAGTCCAGGATCAAGGCACCAGCAGATCGGGTTCCTGGCGAGGGCTCTCTTCCTGGCTTCTGGCTGTGTCCTCACACAGAAGAGAGAGCAGGACAGTTCTGGTCCCTCTTCCTCTTCTTATAAGGATATTAATATCATCATAGGGACCCCACTCTCATGACCTCATCTAAACCCAATCACCTCCCAAAGTCCCCATCTCTATCTAGCATGACACTGGAGATTCATGAGAGCTCTAACATGTGAATGTGGTGTTGGGGCACAAACAGGCAGCCCCTAACACTATGTTGTCCATTTCATCCGTAGCACCAGTGCCTTCTCGGTATGTCCACAAAGCACACCGGAGGACTCAGAGGTCCAGCTTGGAGCTGTGGACTGCCATGTTGGCTGCACACATTGATCCCTGAGGAGCTCCCCTTCCTTCTGGCCTGCAGGGGTCTTTCCAGATTGTTCACCTGATGGTGATGGGGCATTATAATGAGTAAACAGCTCTCCTTACCATCCGGCCAGAACATTCTTGAGAATCCACCAGGATGTAAGGGAAAGCTGTGGTTTGGTCTGAGTTCCCAGGCCCTGTGGAAAGGCACTGTGACCCTACAATAGTAGGCTGCTCAGTTAAAGGTTATGGACTTGATTGAAGTTGAATTGAACTGGGACAAAGACAATGGACCTGCCTGACCAAACACAACACACAGGCGCCCCGGCTGTAGCACAGGGTCAGAAATAAGATGGCACGAAGACAGTCCGTGCCCGTGGGGCCACCCTCCCCCATCAGCGGAGCCTCTCCAACCCATGGTGAAGTTATGAATGTCCACACGTGAGTTGCTGCCCACCAAAGGGTGAGCTAAACGTTGAATGGAGACTCTGCTGTCTGCTTTCTTGTATCTTTTAAAAAGAAAAGATTGATTGGCTGATTGATTTCAGATCATTCCAGGGCTTTGAGCTAGGCAAGAAATGATTAGAATAGCTGGCAAAATAATCTAAGGTTAATTACAAAATGAAGCAAAGCATCCCTTCCTTCTGTCTTGCATTATAGGCAGGTGTTTAGATGTTATGTTACCCACTACAGTTTGGAGCTGGAAGGAACCTTCCAGAACGTAAGTCCAACTTCAGTGACTTCTCATGGTTCCTTGGATAAGACTGAACTTGACCTGAGATGCCAGGCCCTTGACTGCTCCTCGACCCACCCTGTGCCCGCCCCTCCCTGCCCTTCTTGCTCAAGCCACACCACCCCTTCCTTGGTGCAGTTTATTGAATTCACCTGGCTCCTTCCAGCCCCAGGTCCTCTGCACGTGTTGCTGCTGCCCAAAGAGCTCTCCTTCCTCTTTTGTCCTCAGGGATCCCTCTCTCAGGCTCTCAAGCAGCCTCAACTTGCTAACAGAAGCCCCCCAACCCTCCCCACCATTCCCACCCTGGCATGTCCCCCGACATCGTGTACCCCTCTCTCTCAGCGCCTTCCCAGCTTCCTCTTATTGTTACTTGTAGGATTGTTTGGCTGCCATCTGTCTCTCAGAGCAGGCTTGGAAGGGCCACGTGAGCGAGGATGGTGTCTGCTGTGTCACTCAGTGTCCTAGCTTCTCACACTGTGCCTGACTCCCCAGGGATGGGAGGCATGAATGAATGAGTTTTGTCAGGTCACAAGTGAGGAAACAGAGCAGGAGAGGACGAGGTCACTCATCGTGGGCCACACAGCCAGGGAGTCGATAGAATAATAACCATGGCATGCCTTGGGTGCCGAGTGTGTGCCAGGTACTGTGCTAATTAATGAGCTTGTATTGTCCCAGTTGATCCTCACAATGACCTCAGTGTAGGTACATAGTATCATTATCCTCCTATGTTTACAGCTGAGGAAACCGAGGCTCAGAGAATGTGGCAGTTGCTAGCCGTGCCCCATCCACATCTACTTGGCTTGCCCAGAGCCGCCTGCTGACTGGGGACAGTTTCCTGTGTCACTTTTTGCCTCAGGATGTCCTCCGGCCCTGGGAGCAGACTCAACCCACACCAGGGCAGGACAGGGTTCCAGGAGCAGCTCTCAGTCATTGAGCGGGACTGGGGGGCGGGGGGTTGAGGAATACAGGGCATTTGTGCCCTGCAGCAGGACAATTCTAAGGGTCCCTAGAAGGCCTGAGCCCCACTGCCCACAGTGGCCACCTACTCATAGCTTATTCCTTTTTAGCTTCCTGCCCTGACGAATGTCCCCACACCCTCACAGTGCTTCCTGGAATTACTTCCAAAATAAATGCCTTGTGCCCCAAACCCTGGGAATCCAAACTAACACAGTGACTTTCCCAAGGGCACACACCAGCAAGTGCCGAGGCCAGGTCCAGATGCAAACACCTTCTTCACCTTCCAGGCAAACTGGCACCTGCAACCTGGCTCCAGCACTGCTGGGCAGTGAGTGAGATACATCCCTGGATAAGTAGGTCACCACTGGTCTGCAGAAAAATAGCCCCCTAGAGGGGTTCCTGTCACAGGCCCTAAAATCTCTGTGTGTGTTACATTACATGGAAAGGGAAATTGATGCTGTGGATAAAATTAAAGCTACTAATTGACTTTAAAACAGAGAGATTATTCTGAATTGTCCAAATGGGCCCAATGTTTAAGGATCCTACAAGGATTAGAGGGCAGCAGAACTGGAGAGGGAGAGAGGGCTCTGGAAGGAAGGCAGGGGAAGGCACCATCGCTGGCTTTGAAGGTGGAAGAGGGGCCCCGAGTCAAAATAGATGGGTGGTTCCTAGAAGCTGGAAAAGATAAGGAAACAGCTTCTCCCCTGCATTCTTCAGAAAGAACACAGGCCTGCTGACACCTCAATTCTAGCTCAGCGACACCTGCGTTGGACTTTTAATAGATTCGGGTTGTTTAAGCCACTGATGTGATGGTTTGTTACAGCAGCCAAAGAAAACTCATGCAGCCACTTCAAGAAGTTAGCACCTCATCTCCGACTGTGTTTCAGGGACGTGGCTGATTCACTTTTATGATTGTGACTTATATGTCAATTATACCGCAGAAGATCTTGGAGCTGTTTGTGCAGACTGGGTGGATTAATTTTGTTCTGAAAACGTACACCTTGCGCTTTTAAGCATTTTCAAGCCAGGCTCTTAGAATGCTTTGCAGACACCAGCAGAAGAGAGCTGCGCGTGATGACCTGAGGGCTGCATTTGCCTGGGTCTGGTTTGATGAGCCTGGTGTATCGCTTCCATCCGTTCTGCTCATAGAAACCACAGAGATATCACTGCTGTGATATCATCAGTTCTCAACTGCACGGTGGAAATGCACGTGAATAATAAGCCTCCCGTGCCGCAGAACGGCTCCCACCTGCGCCTTTGGCAAACATTCGGAGCACAGTAAACAATGACGAGAAGGGGAAAGAGAAAGCAAGTGATTACTCATCAAGGAGCAGATTTTTAATAATACTTTAGGAGAATTTTTCCTAGAAGACAGTGGCTAATGTGAACACGTATTTGCCTAGACCATTTGGGGACCTGATAAGTGATACTTTTGAGTAGTAAACTTAAAAAATTCAACCGAAATGGAGAATGCCTTACCCAACACAAGGAAGCCTAAGGGAGTTAGAAATGAGTGCAGACAGGTTGAGCCCAAGCATATCTTCTCAGGGAAACACCGAGGTGGCATAAGTAGGCCCGTGGTTCCAAGAGGCTGAGAAAAGCCAGTGTCATAATGAATTGATGTCCCTCCCTCAGCTCCTTCCAGGAGCAAGGGGAAGTCAGACATTGTCAGAGGGAAGCCTCGTATGTGATGGGGTCAGGGAGAGTCTGAAGAAAGGACTGCCCGGACTATCTCATTGGAAAGCAATTCCTTAGGAACAGATTTCACTCAATGAAATACAATTTTAGGCCAGGCGCGGTGGCTCAGGCCTGTAATCCCAGCAGTTTGGGAGACCAAAGCGGGCGGACCACGAGGTCAGGAGTTCGAGAAACTCCTCGAGCGGTGGGGAAGTTGAGGAATACAGGGAATCTGTGCCCTGCAGCAGGACAATTCTGAGGGTCCCTATCAGGCCTGAAACCCCGTCACTACTAAAAATACAAAAATTAGCTGGGCTTGGTGGTACACACCGGTAGTCCCAGCTACTCGGGAGGCTGAGGCAGGAGAATCACTTGAACCCAGGAGGCAGAGGTTGCAGTGAGCCGAGATCATGCCACTGCACTCCAGCCCAGGCAACAGAGCGAGATTCAGTCTCAAAAAAAAAAAAAAAAAGAAAAAAGAAAAGAAACACAATTTTAAAGATCTGCCACCATGTTCCAAGCACTGTACTTGGTATTTGGAGTAGAAGGATGTACCAGGAACAGGCTCCAATGCCCTGAGAGCCTGGAGGCTGCTGTGGGCAGAAAAACAAATCAATTCCAAAACCTTGTAATGTGTGCAGCCTCTGAAAATGGACAGAGGTATGAAAGGAGCTCAGAGTATGGCATTGTTCGATTTGGGCACCCTGTAAAGCCCTCAGGAGGAGGTGTCATTGGAACTGCTGGCCAGAGGAAACACCAGCCCACGGCCACATCTGGCTGGCATCACCATCTCTCCTCTTCCCATGCATCCGTTCCTTTGATGGTGTTATTCACTGTGTGTCTTTCTGCTAGCCTGTGTCTCTTTTTCACCTTGAGCAATGCAGCTGCCTTTCATCTTCTCCAGGTCATTGGGCTAGAGTTCAGGGTTATCAGATGACCTGTAAATAAAAGTTTACTGCCCCACCTTGAGCAACCAGAGTGATGTCTGCAGAGCATTCTTAAGTTGGAAGATTGCGTAGGCCCAGGGAATGCTCTCCAGGGCACACCAGAAGGACCAGTTGGAAATGGCAACTATTGAACCCTGGGCAGTGGGGTAGGGGGGCAGTAGTGGAAGCCTGGAAGGCTGTCCAGGGGAAAGCTGCTGACTGAAGTGGGAGAAACATGCTCCTATGATCTGTGGAAAGAGTTCACTCATAAGGACGGATGCAGCCACAGGGGCTGTAGCCAAGTCTTGCTGTGAGGCCACACCCATCTGGCTAAGATTTCACCTACTGTGGCCCTAAGAGGATCACAGCCCAAAGTGGTAAGGTTGAGTGAAAGTGTGAATGTTGCAATCATCAGAACTTTGGAGATGAGGTGGGGACGTGGGTTTGTCGGCCAACGGCATATCCATGAAGATGACTGGTTGAGTTTGGGGGCCGACTTGCTCCAGAGTGTGCAATGTGCTGCCTGGAGAAGCCGGCTGGTAGCCAGGCTGGGCCCTACCTGGGGAAGCAATTGGGGTCAAGAATGTGACCCTCTTCCCTGAAGGCTCAGGAACTCTGTCGTTTTAGGGACAAGAACTGATCAAGACTATAATGCCGATGAGCTGGTTTGTAGGAAGAGCCATACCAGTCAAGCAGATTGGAAACTTGCATGAGCCTGACCAATGAATGTCCTCCTGTGTTGTTTCGGGGGTGAACAATTCAACTGGTGCTCTCCCAGACGCAGTCCTGGGCTGTGCTCAGCCCTTTAGAAGTTATAGCCACTTCTTACTGGTTCATCCATCGTGGTGGTTATGTTTCTGCTCTCCATCAGGTTGATTTTAAGGGTTAACTCTACAACAGGGAAATTAGATTTTTAAGTTCTAGAGAAATCCTACTGTAAAGAAACTCAACCTTTGGTTATTAACTCCTACACATACACTCATATATGAATTTGTGAGTCCTGTATTTCTCCTATTTCTGCTATTACAAGTTTAAAATCAAGACTAAGTTTATACCCCATAATAAGCTGGTTTAAATTTATTTATTTTAAATAAACAAAAAGCTTAAGTCTTACATTGTCTAAGAGATATAGAATTTCCTTAAAAATCGAATAGGAATTTGGTGTTTATAAACAAGTTGCAAATTTGATTAGAAACAAAGAAAAACAAAACTCGGGTATGTGTTTTATATGGTGAGTCCAGAAAAATTTGCAAGCAGCAAGTTGATAATACCAAAAGCTTATATTTGTGTGTTAACAATGAGTCAGGCATTGTTTGATGCATTTTGCATATATGACCTCATTTATAATCTTCAGAGGAACTTAGCCCCCTTATAAGAATGAACTTTTTTGAAGTCGAAATTTCTAAGTATTTTTTTCTTCGTATTTTATAACTGAAGAGTTTCTGGACCATTCGTTTCTTATATATGAGTTTTGGTGGTAGTTCCAGCCAATTTTGCCCATTAAAAATTTTTGAATCAAGATGATAGGACGTGAACTTTGGGAACACCAACCCTAACTGAACGTCTGGATTCCTTGAGGTTCCCCTGCCCGCTTCAGCTCCTTCTAGGAGGCCCGTTCAGTCGCAGAAAGGGCTCCACCGCACAGGCAGGCACTGGCCAACTATGCTCACCAACGCAATTCAGAAGGCAGGTTTGACTTATTTATGATGGGACCTGGGATGTTGAGGCGGAGGTACCGGCTGCTTCGGGCTGTGTGCGGACACAAGCTGCCAAACAAGTCCATCTTATAAACTCTCAGGGGAATTTAGCCAATTAATGGGAAGAAGAGAGCCTAAGAAAATGTAGGGTGTACTGAGGCTGGCACTTGTGGATAAACAAGCAAATCAAGTTTCCAGCGTCTTTGATGATCTTTTATACAGCCTGGAACACGTAGACTTGGGAGGAGGAACTCTAAGATGTGTGAGGGAGAAGATCCCCACAGTCCCCACCCTGGCCCTCCTCAGTGACAGGAGGGGTCTGGTAGAAGTGGTGTGCACGTGCAGGGAATTGAACCCTTCTCACACTTACCTCCTCCTCTCTTTCCCATGGATTTAGCATGCTCTGCAGATAGATTATTAAATGATGAATGAATGATCCAAGAATTAGTAAACCACAGTCTTGTACTGCAAATTCCTGGGAATCTGAGATACAAAGAGATGAAAATGACATACGATTTAAAACTGGGTCTAAGGTAGCCTGATATAGCCAGGATGGTATTTCACTGCCAGTAAAACTGAAACTGAAAAATATAGATTACTCTTCAGCTCCTAGCAATAAACACTAGATTGTATTATAGATAAATATGTTAATGAAACTTTTCTTGTTTTCTTCTTCTTCTCCTTTTTATTTTTTTATTTATTTTATTTAATTCTTTTTTTAGACAGGGTCGCACTCTGCTGCCCAGGCTGGAGTGGACTGCAGTGGCACAACTGTTGCTCACTGCAGCCTGTAACTCCTGGGCTCAAGCAATCCTCCCACCACAGCCTCCCAAGTAGCTGGGACCAGAGGTGTGCACCACCATGCCCAGCTAATTTTTAAATTTTTAGTAAAAATGGGGTCTGACTATGTTGCCTAGGCTGATCTTGAACTCCTGGGTTCAAGCAATCCTCCTGCCTCAGCCTCCCAAGTTGCTGGGATTGCAGGAGTGAGCCACCACACCTGGCCTGTATGGAACTTTACTATGTGCCTTGTTTTAGTCTATTTTTGTATTGCTATAGAGGAATACCTGAGGCTGGGTAATTATAAAGAATGGAGGTTTATCTGGCTCATGGTTCTGCAGGCTCTACAGGAAATGTGGTACCAGCATCTTCTTCTGTTGAGGGCTTCTGTTGAGGGCTTCAGGCTGCTTCCTACCACGGCAGAAGCCGAAGGGGAGTTGGTGTGCAGAGGTCACACAGGGAGAGTGAAAGCAAGAGAGAGGAAGGGAAGGTGCCAGGCTGTTTTTAACAACCAGCTCTTGGGAGAACTCTTGTGAGAACTGATAGAGCAGGGCCTCCCTCATTACCTACAAGAGGGCACCAAGCCATTGTGAGGGACCCGCCTTAAGACCCGAGCACCACCCGTTAGGCCCCACCTTCCTCCCGTGAGGTGCCTTCAGGGATCAGATTTCAGCATGACACTTGGTGGGGCCAAACAAATTATATCCAAACTATAGTCTACTTTTCCATATTTGTTCTTTTATGAGTGTCACAAATATCCAGCAAAGAGGTTAAGGCAAGAATTACCCTCTGTTTTACAAATGAGAAACTAAGATGCTTGTCCAGGTTCACAAAGCTAGAGAGTATTGCAGCCAATTCTTGACTTTATCCACAATTCATTCTCCTCTACTCCAAGCTTCAAATTGGCCATAGCAAGTTTCATTACGTGGTCAGTTCTGATTGTTATCAGCATGCTCTTTCCTCAAA